>NC_000006.12:35514545-35817575 GCF_000001405.40 Homo sapiens
GACTTTGTCTCTACAAAAAATTTAAAAATTAGCTGAGCAATGTGGTACATGCCTGAGGTCCCAGCTACTTGGGAGGCTGAGGCAGGAGGATGACTTGAGCCCAGGAGGCAGAGGCTGCAGTGAGCTAAGACAGTGCCACAGCACTCCAGCCTGGGCAATGGAGTGAGACCCTGTCTCAAAAACAAAACCAAACAACCAAACAACCAAACGAAAACACCCTGATATTAAAGGTGAGGAAACTGACAGCTGAGTGTCAGTCAACAAGTATTTCCTGAGCACCTATTGTGTGCCAAGCGCTATGCTAAATAATGGTCATACAGAGATGAACAACATGATGTGGTCCCCGCCCTCGTGCAGCTTACATGCTTGTGAGAGAGACAGATAGTAGAGACATAAATACCCAAATTAGTGATAATGATCTCATTATTATTAGTTGTGAGAAATGCCAAGAAGGAAAGGAACTGGGCTCCACGAGACCAGCAGGTGGGTTCCAGTCTGGATTTAGAGTACAGGCAAGGCTGCCTGAGGAAGGAAGGTTTCGTTTTGTTTTGTTTTGTTTTTTGAGATGGAGTCTTGTTCTGTCACTCAGGCTGGAGTGCAATGGCACGATCTCAGCTCACTGCAACCTCTGCCTCCCAGGGTCAAGCAATTCTCCTGTCTCAGCCTCCTGAGTAGGTGGGATTACAGGCACCTGGCTATGTTTTGTATTTTTAGTAGACAAGGGGTTTCACCATGTTGGCCAGGCTGATCTCAAACTCCTGACCTCAAGTGGTCCGCCTGCCTTGGCCTCACAAAGTGCTGGGATTACAGGCATGAGCTACCATGCCCTGCCCTGAGGAAGGAATTTTTTTTTTTTTTTTTGACATGGAGTCTCACTCTTGTCACCCAGGCTGGAGTGCAGTGGTGCAATCTGAGCTCACTGCAACCTTCGCCTCCCAGATTCAAGCAATTCTCCCGCCTCAGCCTTCTGAGTAGCTGGGACTACAGGCACCCGCCACCACGCCTGGCTAATTTTTTTTTTTTTTTTTTTTTTGTAGTTTTGGTAGGGATGGGGTTTCACCATGTTGGCCAGGCTGGTCTCGAACTCCTGACTTCTAGTGATCCGCCCACCTCGGCCTCCCAAAGTGCTGGGATTACAGGCCTGAGCCACCGTGCCTGGCCAAGGAAGGCATTTTTAAACTGAAATCTGAAGGAATTTTTTTTTTTTTGAGACGGAGTTTTGCTCTTGTCTCCCAGGCTGGAGTGCAATGGCGTGATCTTGGCTCACTGCAACCTCTGCCTCCTGGGTTCAAGTGATTCTCTCCTGCCTCAGCCTCCCAAGTAGCTGGGATTACAAGCGTGTGCCACCATGCCTGGCTAATTTTTGTATTTTTAGTAGAGATGGTGTTTCACCACCTTGGCCAGGCTGGTCTCAAACTCCTGACCTCAGGTGATCCGCCTGCCTCAGCCTCCCAAAGTGTTGGGATTACAGGCATGAGCCACTGCACCCAGCCTGAAGGATCTTGAAGGCTAGAAAAGAGAATGTTCCAGGCACAAGGCACAGCATGTGCAAACTGTTTTCAGGCAGCAAAGAACTTGGCACACTGGAGCAGGACTGCCCCCTGGACCGGGACAAGAGTAGTCCTGCCTGCGACCTGCACTTCAGAGGGCTCCTGAGACTTGCAAATGCCAAACAGATACATTGCTAAGAACTGTCTCACAGTTGGGCAAGGTGGCTCACGCCTATAATCCCAGCACTTTGGGAGGCCGAGGTGGCCAGATCACTTGAGGTCAGGAGTTCGAGAGCAGCCTGGCCAACATGGTGAAACCCTGTCTCCACTAAAAATACAAAAATCAGCCAGGTGTGGTCGTGGGCACCTGTAATCCCAGCTATGCGGGAGGCTGAGACAGGAGAATCCTTGAATCCGGGAGGCGGAGGTTGCAGTGAGCCAAGATTGCGCCATTGCACTCCAGCCTGGGCAGCAAGAATGAAACTTCGTCTCAAAAAAAAAAAAAAAAAAAAAAAAAAAGAAAGAACTAAGAACTGTCTCACGAGGGGTCTGGGGCTCAGTGCTGACCTGGCAGGACTGTAAGAACATCCACCCTCTGACACAGCTCAGGCCCCAGGGACACTTCTCCAGTTTCTCACCTTCTGTCCTCAAAACTACAGGTAAAGCTGGGTGTGGTGGCGCATGCTGGTGCAGCTACTCAGGAGACTGAGGCAGGAGGATTGCTTGAGCCCAAGAGGTCGAGGCTGCAGTGAGCTGTGATTGCACCACTGCACTCCAGCCTGGGTGACAGAGCACCACATCCTCTCTGAAAAAAAGTAGAACGAAAACACAGGTACCTGCATCCAAATCTGGGAGAGATATGTGGGTTGAGCTGCAGTGACGTCAGAGATGGAAACTACTTTGGAGTGAGGGGAGGATTTGAGCTGCAGAAGCTCTTAGGCGAAAGAAAAAATCATTTCTCAGAACTTTCCTCTCAGGTTGCATGGGTGTGATGGATATTTGCATAACAAGTGTCCATTTTCTTGCTTCTTTCCATGTTCTGGAGGTTCTCATGTATTCGTGTGCTATTCCTAACAGTTGTACATGGCAGCTGAGAAGCATCTGACAATACTCAACAATTCATATTACTGTTAAATTCGTATATATGTAACCTCAACATATGTGAAGCATGATAGCACTTTTTTTTTTTTTTTGAGACAGGGTCTTGCTCTGTCACCCAGGCTGGAGAGCAATGGCCTGATCACAGCTTACTGTAGCCTTGACTTGCCAGACTCAAGCCATCCTTCCCCGCTTCAGCCTCCCAAGTAGCTGGGAGTACAGGCGTGTGCCACCATGCCCAGCTTATTTTTGTATTTTTTTTTTTAAAGACGGGGTTTTTCCATGTTGTCCAGGTTGGTCTTGAACTCATGGACTCAGGGGATTTCCTGCTTCAGCCTCCCAAAGTGCTGGGATTACAGGTGTGAGCCACCTTGCCTGGCCTGATAGCAATTCTTTATATTGACAACTAGAGGGACATTGGAGGCTATTTTGCAAACAGTTTTGTTTTTCTAAAAATATTTAATAAGATGGAATTAAAATTTCAAAAAACCCAGCTGGGCACGGTGGCTCATGCCTATAATCCCAGCACTTTGGGAGGCCAAGGCGGGCAGATCACCTGAGGTCAGGAGTTCGAGACCAGCCTAGCCAACATGGTGAAACCCCATCTCTACTAACAACACAAAAATTAGCTGGGCGTGGTGGCAGGCGCCTGTAATCCCAGCTCCTTGGGAGGCTGAAGCAGGAGAATCGTTTGAACCCAGGAGGCAGAGGTTGCGGTGAGCTGAGATCACGTCACTGCACTTCAGCCTGGGTGACAGAGCGAGACTGTCTCAAAAAAATACAATAAAATAAAATTTCAAAAAACCCATTTGATTAAATTTTTGATATTTATTAACTATAAGCCATATTTTGCCTTTTAATCTTAATACAAAATTTTGAATATATTAAAAGAAAACTCACTTTTGAATGCATGTAAAAATTTTAATTTAAAAATGTCTTACTTTCATCACTTTTGGGAGAATGTATTCAAGTTTTTCATACTTTGGATGCAGTTCCATTTGTTTTCAGCCCTTGAGAACAAGCACAGGTTGAGATCATGACAGAAACAGGAAGTGCCAAAGTGGAGCTGGGAAAAGCATAGCAAGAGGCCGGGCGCGTGGCTCATGCCTGGAATCTCAGCACTTTGGGAGGCCAAGGCGGGTGGATCACCTGAGGTCAGGAGTTCGAGACCAGCCTGACCAACATGGTGAAACCCTGTCTTTACTAAAAATACAAAAAATTAGCTGGGAGTGGTGGCGGGCGCCTGTAATCCCAGCTACTCGGGAGGCTGAGGCAGGAGAATTGCTTGAACCCAGGAGGCAGACGTTGCAGTGAGCCCAGGTCGTGCCATTGCATTCCAGCTTGGGCAACAAGAGCAAAACTCCCTCTAAAAACAACAACAACAACAAAAAGAATAGAAACTCCAAGGTTTTGGTGCAGCTACACTGATGAGCCGATGAGCATGTGGAGGGAACTTAGGGGCAGTATAAGTGTCCAGATTTGGGTCAGGGGTGTGTTTAGGAACAGGAGGCAAGATTTTAGTTAAAATGAGACTTCTGTTTAGGGATAAGATCAGGAACAGAGATAACCTCTAGCACCTTTTGATCTGACATAGGTACTCCAGGCTTCCAGAAAAACAGGCTTGAGGCTCTATAATTATACCTTGTTTGGCCTAAAAATGACATTTCTGGCCGGGCGTGGTGGAGCACACCTGTAATTACAGCACTTTGGGAGGCCAAAGCAGAAGGATTATTTGAGCCCAGGAGTTCCAGGTCAGCCTGGGCAACATAGCAAGACCCCGTCTCTATTTAAAAAAAAAAAAAGACTCAGCTTGATCACTGGCGTTAGTTCCCAGACTTAATCCCATATGAATTTTATCTGTTTCCTAAAGTTAAATCTACTTTCAGAAGATGAAGATTTGCCACCACCAGCAATGCTGACACTGATCAATAATGTCTTCTACTACATGTCAGGCATGGTGTGTGCCCAGTGTTCTCAATTCATCCTCACAGCACACTCACATATCTGTGGCTCAGAGAAGTTAAGTAACTTGTCCAAGGTCACACAGCCAGTGTTTAGTGGAGCCATTCCACTGACCAAGCACCTACTATGTGCTTGGTTTTACTTGTGTTATTTCTAGTCCCTACGGAAACTTCAAAAGGCAAGCAGGCATTTTTCTTCACCTCCCTGTGCCTCTATTTTTCTAGTCCATAAAGTGGTGACGACACTTGGAATCGACTTTATGGAAATTGCCGTGAAAATTGAATAGATAGAAACGTGCAGTGCTTAGCACAGTGCTGGCCACAGAGCAAGTATCCTATGAAATGTCAGCTATGTGCTGTTTTACCTTCATTTCACCAGTAAGGAAATGGAGGCCCAGGTCCCTAAAGGAACTCCACCTCAGGCCTCCAGGGCTTAGCTTACCTGGCACAGAGGTGAAAGGAGGCGACTTTGGAGAAAGTTAAAGGAGAGTGGTTTTGCCCAGAAACAGACCCAGTGTCCCGCTTCCCCAGGTTTCTGCTGGGTGGCCTTGGGCAAGCATTCCCCCTGCTTGGAGGCTCCAGCCTGGGCATCAGTGTCTCAAACGGGCAAAAGACATTTTGCATCTCAAAAGGATCCATGCAGGTGGGCTCATCAGAAATGGGAACTGCGGTCACCTGAGGGTGTGTCTGGGCTCTTGTGAAATAGAAAGTAGGGCTGAGCTTTGATCAGGCTCACACAGGCTTAAGTTTTGTCCAGGTTGTGTTGTTACATCACATAGCCCCTGGCCGTCTGTTCTAAAAGGAATTTTCTCTCAGTGAACCCTAGGAGTCCAGTGCCAGGGTTCTTGTGTTATCCTTGCTTCTTGGAGGCTCAGAGAGGTTAAGTCACTGTCCAGGTCTCCCAGGTGGGCAGTGTGAGTGAGTGGGATTCGGGCAGATTCTCTGAGCTCAGAGCCCGGGCACAGCCCCACTTTGGCCCGCAGAGGGGCTTCTCAATTGTTGGTTGGACAAAGCCCTGGGTGGCAGCTGGGCACTGGCTGCAGGAGCTGGAAATGCAATGCAAGCCCAGTCTTTGCCCTCATGGAGCTCACAGCCTGGGAGATGAGAGTTGCTGGTGGGCATGTACAGAGAATGAAACAAAAACACTCATGTCTTCTCTAGAGAGAAATCTGGACGGGGCACAGTGACTCATGCCTGTAATCCCAGCACTTTGGGAGGCCGAGGCGGGCGGATCACCTGAGGTCAGAAGTTCGAGACCAGCCTGGCCAACATGGCGAAACCCCGTCTCTACTAAAAAATACAAAAATTAGCCGGGCGTAGTGGCAGGCGCCTTAATCCCAGCTACTTGGGAGGCAGAGGCAGGAGAATCGTTTGAACTAGGGAGGCGGAGGTTGCAGTGAGCCGAGATCAAGCCATTGCACTCAAACCTGGGGGACAAGAGCGAGACTTCTCTCAGAAAAAAAAAAAAGAAGAAAAGAAAGTGGAATCTGGACTGGGCGTGGTGGCTCACACCTGTAATCCCAGCACTTTGAGAAGCCGAGGCAGGTGGATCACTTGAGGTCAGGAGTTCGAGATCAGCCTGGCCAACATGGTGAAACCCCATCTCTACTAAAAATACAAAAATTTGCCAGAAGTGGTGATGCATGCCTGTAGTCTGAGTTACTTGGGAGGCTGAGGCAGGAGGATCGCTTGAGCCTGGGAAGTGGAGGTCGTAGTGAGCTGAGAGGGCACCACTGCACTCCAGCCTGGGCGATGGGAGTAAAACCTTACCTCGAGAAAAAAAAAGTGGAATCTGACAAGTGATGCTACTGGGGGCCTCCATGGCTTTTCACAGAATCCATGTGAATCTGAGCTGGCCCCAGCAGAGTCAGGAATCCCTGGGTAGACACAGTTCTTCCCTCTGCTCACACATGCCCAGGCACAGGCTGCTCTCTGTCTTCCGAAGCCATCATGCTGCACAGGGACAGCTGCTTGGGAAGCTTTTCCACCCATGAGGCCAATTCTGTCTCAGTACAGCACCCCTCTGTGGTCCACTGGGCCCCCCACAGTGGGACAGTCACAGTCTTAGTTCAGCCAGAGAGGGGCCTCCACCCTCCAAGCCCCCAAGGACCCAGGGGTAGAAGCAGCAGCAGTCCCCTGGTCCTCAGCTCCTATGCCCAGGGCAAGTGAATGGGGACCAGATCTGCAGATCTGTTTCTGTCCAGTCAGGCAGAGACCAATAGGAGAGATGGATGAGGGCCGGAGCCAGAGGACAGACAATGAGACAGGTCAGGCTGTTGTGGTGCGGCGTGAGGTCCATTCAATAGCTATTCATTGAGCCCCTACTGTATGCAGGGCACTTCTAGGCACTCCACTCACAGCAGTGAACAGAATGGACCAAAGTCCCTGCCCCTGAAATACTCAAAAGATGTCCTTGAGCCTCTGCGTCCCATCCCTACTTCCCTCTGTGTTAACAGGAGGGGTGCCTGTGCACCTTTCCTGTGTCCATGCCAGTCCCCCCAAGAGGGGCCTGACTGCCCTGCTTGCTTACCCTGGCTCAGTCGGTTGAGTCCAGTGGTGGGAAACTCGGATTACCGGCTGGATCCTGTGCCTGCCTCTGTGCCCGCTCTCTTTGATGGCTAGCCCCTCCCTATGGGACAGTGATCTTTCTAGAACAGAAAAGAGCAGTTCTCTTGATAATTGGCGAGTAGTCCAAACGGGGTGCGACTGATGGAGTAGTGATACTACTATTAGCAGTAGCAGTAGCTGTATTCATTGAGAGCTTGCTGGGTTCCAGGCACTGCTCTAAGTGCTTTATCTGCTGTATTAGCTCGTTTAATACTCAACAATTAGGCCCTGCAGGGTGGCTCACGCCTGTAATCCCAGCACTTTGGGAGGCTGAGGCAAGAGAACTGCTTGAGGCCGGGAGTTCAAGGCTGCAGTGAGCTACGATCACACCACTGCACTCCAGTCTAGTCAATAAAGCAAGACCCTGACTCAAACAAAAAAAGAAAAAAAAAACTCGACAATTTTACATGATTTACAGTTTTCACACCTGTTTTACATTGGAGGAAACTTCACGGAAATGTGCAGTCACTTGCTGAAGGTCAGTACCCAGCAAAGCCTCCCTCCAGAGCCGCTCTGGAGCCACCCCACCCCACGCTAGGGGCAGGAGGATCAGAGCCCCTGCTGCAGGCTGGAGGCTGTCCCGAGGTGCACGCCCTCTGCTGCAGCTGCATATTTGTGAGTCCCCGGAGCCAAACACTTGGCTAGCACCCCCAGAGCAGAGGGAAGAGCCCCGAAACAGAATGGGCGAGTTCAGAGCAGTGGCTGTCACTCTGGCTGCCCATCAGGATCCCTCCTGAGCCTTACAGCGCCCTAGACTGGTTCATCAGAACCCCTGGTGTAGGGCCCAGGCGTCAGCATTCGTCAAGGATCCCCAGGTGAATTCAATGTCCAGCCAAAGCGGGGAACTACCAGGGTAGAGGCCTTGTGGCTTATTGGAAATAGTTGTGGGTTAAAACCCACCTGGGCTTGAGACTTGGCTCCGTCATTTCAAGCTGTGTGACTCTGCGCCAGTCACTTAATTTCACTGAGCCTCAATGTCCTCAGCTGTGAAAAAGGGGTAAGTCCCTCTACCGTACAAAGGGGTTGTGAGGGTGGAATGAGACAGTGTCTGCAAGGACTCTAGCACGTAGGCTCCATCTTTACTAGTAAGGAGGGGGCAGGACAGACTAGGCTGGCAGAGCGGAGGCAACGACTCATCATCGCTGGAATGGGTCTGTGGAATGTGTTGGGACCCCCGAACCCCAGGCCCTCCCACCGTGGGCTTTCAGCTCTTCCGGGAGCTTAAGGCTTCTGACGGGGGCCAGCCCAGGCTTGGAGTGGGAGGGCGGGGAGGGTGCACTGACTTAGCCTTACCACCAGGTGGCGACACGAACACACCCACCGGGGAGGACACCGGCCCCGCGGAAGGTGAGGATAACTGGGAATACCAGGCATGTTACAGGACTTGGTTTTGGTTTGGTTTGGTTTTAGTACTAGGTACATATTTTCTTTCATTTCCATTGACTTCGTGCCACAGTCCTGTGGTAGCGCCACTGCCCTCCTTTAGCGGGTGAAGAAACTGAGGTGGTGCTGGCAACTAGGATGTGAACTCCACATCCGCTTCCTGACCACGGAGTCAACAGCAGTCAGAGCTGCAAGGGAAAGCGTCAAGTCCCGCGGTTCCTAAACCTGTCTGATGATAAAAATCATCCAAGGCTCTTAAAAAAAAGAAGAAAAATATCCTGGGCCACAGGCCAGATATTGAATTAGAATCTCCTGGGAAAAGAGGCCTGAGAATGTGTGTGGTTAAGAGCACCTGGCCGGGCGCGGTGGCTCACGCCTGTGATCCCAGCACTTTGGGAGGCCAAGGAGGGAGGATCACTTGAGGCCAGGAGTTCAAGATTAGCCTGAGCACATAGTGAGAGCCTGTCTCAATTTAAAGAAAAAGTTAAAGGCCGGGGGTGGTGGCTCACACCTGTAATCCCAACAGTGGGAGGCCGAGGCAGGCGGATCACTTGAGGTCGGGAGTTTGAGACCAGCCTGGCCAACATGATGAAACCCCATCTCTACTAAAAATACAAAAATTAGCTGAGCATGGTGGCGGGCGCCTGTAATCCCAGCTATTCGGGAGGCCGAGGCAGGACAATTGCTTGAACCCAGCAGGTGGAGTTTGCCGTAAGCTGAGATCGTGCCACTGCACTCCAGCCTGGGCGACAGAGTGAGACTCTGTCTCAAAAAAACAAAACAAAACCCAAACAACAACAACAAAAACCACAAGAGCACCTGTTTTAGAAATAAGGATCTGTTTCCAGAGAGGAAAGTGACCTGCCCACAGTCACACAGTGAATCCCCTCTAAGCTCCTATCGAAGCTCCTCACACCCTCTAGTCCAGAAGCCAGGCCACTCCCCACAAAGACGAGACCCTCTACCAAATGACCCAGCAATCTCAATTCTGGGTTTATGCTCAAATGAAAGCAGGGTCTCGGCCAGGCGCGATGGCTCACGCCTGTAATCCCAGCACTTTGGGAGGCCGAGGCAGGCAGATCACGAGGTCAGGAAATCGAGACCATCCTGGTTAACACGGTGAAACCCCGTCTGTACTAAAAAAAATACAAAAAAATTAGCCGGGCGTTGTGGCGGGCGCCTGTAGTCCCAGCTACTCGGGAGGCTGAGGCAGGAGAATGGCATGAACCCGGGAGGCGGAGGTTGCAGTGAGCTGAGATCGTGCCACTGCACTCCAGCCTGGGCGACAGAGCGAGACTCTATCTCAAAAAAAAAAAAATATGAAAGCAGGGTCTCGAAGAGATACTTGTACATTCATGTCCTTAGCAGCATTATTTGCAGTAGCTGAAATGTGGAAGCAACAGTAGTGTCCATCGTCTGATGAATGGATGAACAAAATGTGGTGTACCCATACAGTGGAACATTATTCAGCCTGAAAAAGGAAGGACATTCTGACACAGCTACAGATGGAGGAACCTGGAGGACATTATGCTAAGTGAAGTAAGCCAGACACAAAAAGACAAATACTGTATGATTCCACTTATGGGAGGTATTTAAAGTAGTCAAATTCATAGAGACAGAAAGAATGGTGGTTGCCAGGGGCTGAGGTAGGGGGAATGGTAAGTTACTGTTTAATGGACACAAAGTTTCAGTTTTGCAAGATGAAAGAATTCTGGAGATGGATGGTGGTGATGGTTGCACAACAATGTGAATGTTACATTGAAAAATGGTTAAAATGGGTTGGGCCCAGTGGTTCATACCTGTAATTCTAGCACTTTGGGAGGCCAAGGCAAGAGGATCACTTGAGGCCATGAGTGGTCAAGACCAGCCTGGTAACATGGTGAGACACCCCGCCCCTACAAAAAAAAATGGTTAAGATGGTAAATTTTATGTCATGCATATTTTATCACACATATACACCCAGAGCAGAGGGCAGTGCACCCCCAGAATACACACACACACACACACACACACACACACACACACACACACGAGACAATCTGCGCCCAGTCTGATTTTTTTTTTTTTTTTTTTGAGATGGAGTCTTGCTCTGTCGCCCAGGCTGGAGTGCAGTGGTGCAATCTCAGCTCACTGCAACTTCCGCCTCCTAGGTTCAAGCGATTCTCCTGCCTCAGCCTGCTGAGTAGCTGAGATTACAGGTGCCCGCCACCACACCTGGCTAATTTTTGTACTTCTTTAGTAGAGACGGGGTTTCGCCATGTTGGCCAGGCTGGTCTCAAACTCCTGACCTCGGGTGATCCACCTGCCTGGGCCTCCCAAAGTGCTGGGATTACAGGCATGAGCTACCACGCCTGGCCCTGATTTTCTTTATCTTTTTTTTTTTTTTTTTTTTAGTGAGATGGTCTCACTCTGTTGCTCAGGCTGGAGTGTAGTGGCTCCATGATCATGGCTCACTGCAGCTTCCTGCCACCACTACTGACTAAATTTATTTATTTATTTATTTATTTATTTTAGAGACTATGTCCCGTTGAGTTGCCCAGGCTGGTCTCAAACTCCTGGGCTCAAGCAATCCTCCCACCTCTGTGGTCCAAAGTTCTGGGATTACAGGCGTGAACCACCACGCCCGGCTGATAGTTCTTCATTGTTGTTTAAATTTATGTGAATATTTATTAGATCTAAAGTAGAATGTCCAGAATTTGCTACTGTCCTTGACAGCCTCAGAATGATTTTCCCCAAAATGTTAGTATCCAATTTATAATATACTGAAGAAAACAAATCCATGGTTATTGTTAAAATAAGTCAATAAAACTGCTAAGTTGGCCGAGCACGGTGGCTCACGCCTATAATCCCAGCACTTTGGGAGGTTGAGGCAGGCGCATTACCTGAAGCCAGGAGTTCAAGACCAGCCTGGCCAACATGATGAAACCCCATCTCTACTAAAAATACAAAAATTAGCCGGGCATGGTGGCGGGCACCTGTAGTCCCAGCTACTCAGGAGGCTGAGGCAGGAGAATCACTTGAACCCAGGAGGTGGAGGTTGCAGTGAGCCGAGATCATGCCACTGCATGGAGCCTGGGCGACAAAGTGAGACTCTGTCTCAAACAAATAAACAAACACAACAAAACAAAAACTACTAGGGCTATGATTGAAGGAGGAGACGGCTCTTGCTTTGACTGTTCCTCCTTATTCAGCAGAAGTTCCGGGTTTTCACAGGGAGGCTCTTAGGGCAGAGGGATGGTGATGGGGAGCACTTAAATAAAACCCCTGCTGTTCATTTAGACTCAGGGCCATTTTCGTTTGTTTGTTTGTTTGTTTTTGAGACGGAGTCTGGCTCTATCACCCAGGCTGGAGTGCAGTGGCACGATCTCGGCTCACTGCAACCTCCATCCCCCAGGTTCAAGTGATTCTCCTGCCTCAGCCTCCCAAGTAGCTGGGACTACAGGTGCCCGCCACCATGCCCGGCTAATTTTTTGTATTTTTAGTAGAGGCGAGGTTTCACCATGTTAGCCAGGATGGTCTTGATCTCCTGACCTCCTGATCAACCTGCCTCTGCCTCCCAAAGTGATGGGATTACAGGCGTGAGCCACTGCGTCCAGCTGACTCAGGGCTGTTTTGCTGCTCCACCTGCTGGTATTAGGTGGCTCCTAGGTCACTCCCCTTGTGATAGGACAAAAATGGTCAAGGAGAAGCTGGGCAGATTTCTCCCACCCTGGCCCACTAGAGCCCCATAATTTCTCCGCCATCTCACCTCCTTCTTAAGACTGATTCAGGGCCAGGCACCATGGCTCATGCCTGTAACTCCAGCACTTTGGAAGGCCAAGGCGAGTGGATTCCTTGAGCTCAGGAGTTCGAGACCAACCTGGGTAACATGGAGAAACAAACCTCGTCTCTACAAAAAATACAAAAATTAGCTGGCGGTGGTGGCACATGCCTGTAGTCCCAGCTACTGGAGGGGCTGAGATGGGAGGATCACTTGAGCCCAGGAGGTCAAGGCTGCAATGGGCCGTGATTGAACCACTTGTCTCAAAACAAAAAAAAAGACTAATCATCCCATATTGGGAAAGTGGCTAAGTTGAGGTGGGTTTGGAAGAGGAGAGTTTTTCTGGTGGGAGATAGAGATTGAAATGAATCGCACAGAGTTGCTTTAGGAAGGAAGAAAAGAGAAAGGAAAGGGGATTTTTATTAGTGTGGCTTTGACTATGTATATGTATATGAATCATTTTAAAATCTTTTGACTTTAAAGGAAATGGCTTTTTAATTACCTTAGGCAATTAATTTTTTTTTTTTTTGACAGGGTTTCACTCTATTGCCCAGGCTGGAGTGCAGTGGTGGGATATCGGCTCACTGCAGCCTCAACCTCCCTGGCTCAAGCGATCCTCCCACCCCAGCCCCCTGAGTAGCTGGGACTGTAGGCGTGCACCACAGTAATTGTATTTTTTGTAGAGAGATGGGATTTCACCATGTTGTCCAGGCTGGTCTTGAATTCCTGGGCTCAAGCAATCCTCTCACCTTGGCCTCCCAAAATGCTAGGATTACAGGTGTGAGCCACCACACCCAGTCAAGTTGTATATCTTGAATCAGATACTATTCTGAGACTGAAGCGTGTGGGACTGAGCTTTATTAGGGTGACACCCTTATTAATGAAGACTCCTCATGGGGCTGGAAAACCAACACCTTGGTGTCTTGGCTCCTGGACAGCTGGGCCACCCACTGCCATGGCCATGCCCTGGACCCTGTCATCACCCGAAACTGCTCCACCTCTCAAATTACAATTCAGATGCCCATTCTCTGACGACAGTCTCCTCCACCACACCTCTTCTTTGACCCCATTGGGACTTCCAACCCGTAGCTCCCAGTTCTTCTGCCCAAGCATCTTTTTCCTTTTCTCTTGGTAATGGTACCCACTTTTCCTTTGAGGAAAATCCAGTTTCCCCCCATATGGATAATCAGATTCAGCTGAGGCTGACTCCATTCTCCCCAACTAGAGGCACAGACCATGACCCACATCTGGTCACCCATCCTATGTTAGTCCTTTGGCCTCAGCCATTGGTCAAGCATGGGCATGCGACTCTAGCCAGTGTAGGGAGAACAAGCCCCAGGACTATTGCTAAGACTTCAAAGAAGGAGATGTTTTCTTTCTGTTCAGGTGGCTCGACTGGAAGGACATAGCCTGGACTTGCTGGGAGCTGTCCTCAGTGGGGAGCTGTCCTCAGTGGGGAGCCTGCAGGAGAATGAGAAAATCTGAGCAAAGAGATAAAGAGACCAATTCCTAATGATCTTGTTGGAGTATCTGAAAGTAGCCATTCCTGAATCTACTCTGGATTTTTCAGGTTCTGTATGTGAGTCAGTATTTGAGATCTGTGAATCAGAGTTGGTTCACATCACTTGAAACAGACTTGACTTCTGTTTTGTTTTGTTTTGTTTTTGAGACGGAGTTTTGCTCTTATTGCCCAGGCTGGAGTGCAATGGCACGATCTTGGCTCACTGCAAACTCCACCTCCAGAATTCAAGCGATTCTCCTGCTTCAGCCTCCCCAGTAGCTGGGATTACAGGTGCGTGCCACCACACCCCGCTAATTTTTGTATTTTTAGTAGAGACAGCATTTCGCCATATTGGCCAGGCTGGTCTCAAACTCCTGACCTCAGGTGATCCACCCACCTCGGCCTCCCAAAGTGCTGGGATTACAGGCATGAGCCACTGCGCCTGGCCAGACTTGACTTTTCTTTCTTTTTTTTTGTTTTTCTTTTTTTTTTTTTTTTTTTTTGAGATGAAGTCTCGCTCTTGTGCCCCAGGCTGGAGTGCAGTGGTGCGATCTCGGCTCACTGCAACCTCCGCCTCCTAGCTTCAAGCGATTCTCCTGCCTCAGCTTCCCAAGTAGCTGGTATTACAGGCATGCACCACCACACCCAGCTAATTTTTGTATTTTTAGTAGAGATGGGGTTTCACCATGTTGGCCAGTTTGGTCTCAAACTCCTGACCTCAGGGGATCCGCCCGCCTCAGCTTCCCAAAGTGCTGGGATTACAGGTGTGAGCCACCGTGCCCGGCCACAGACTTAACTTTTTTTTTTCTTTTGAGATGGGGTTTCGCTCTTCTTGCCCAGGCTGGAGTGCAATGGCGCGGTCTCGGCTCACCGCAACCTCCGCCTCCCAGGTTCAAGCGATTCTCCTGCCTCAGCCTCCCTTGTAGCTGGGATTACAGGCATGTGCCACCATGCCCGGCTAATTTTGTATTTTTAGTAGAGACGGGGTTTCTCCATATTCGTCAGGCTGGTCTCGAACTCCTGACCTCAGGTGATCCACCCGCCCTGGCCTCCCAAAGTGCTGGGATTACAGGCATGAGCCACTGCGCCCGGCCCAGACTTGACTTTCATAGTGTCTCTCCAGCAGGCTCTAGAGCAGGAGTCTCTCTAAATGTGGTTGTCCATCGGAATTATTTGGGGCTGGGCAAGGTGTCTCACTTCTATAATCCCAGCACTTTGGGATGCTGAGGTGGATGGATCACTTGAGCTCACAAGTTTGACACCATCCTTGGCAACAGGTGAAACCCTGCCTCTACAAAAAATACAAAATTAGCCAGGCATGGTGGTGCGCACCTGTAGTCTCAGGTACTCAGGAGACTGAGGTGAGAGGATCACTTAAGCCCAGGAGGCAGAGGTTACAGTGAGCTGAGATAATACCACTGTACTCCAGCCTGGGCAACAGAGCCAGACCTTGTCACAAAAAAAATAAATAAATAAAAGAAAAAAATTACAGGGAAGATTTCTTTTTTATTAAAACCTTTATGTGAAGTAAAACATACTTATTGCAGAGAAGTGCATAAAACATAAATGTACAAGTTAATGCATTACTATGAAGCCAACTCCTTTGTAACCTCAACTAGGTCAAGAAATAGATATTGTCAGGTGCCAAAAGCCTCATCCTTTTCCTCACCTTCAAAGGCACCACCACCCTGATTTCTATGGGTATGTGGATTAGTTTTGCCTGCTTTGGAGTGTTATATAAATGGAATTATACATTAATTTTTAAAATTTATTTTTAATTTTTATTGCCTTAATTAATTTTTAAACATTTTATTATTATTTTTTAGAGACAGGGTCTCACTCTGTTGTCCAGGCTGGAGTGCAGCGGCACGATCATAACTCGCTGCAGTCTCAAATTCCTGGACTCAAGTGATCCTACTGCCTCAGCCTCCCAAGTACCTAGGACTACAGGTGCCAGCCATACACCTGGCTACTCCCTATTATTTTTTATTTTACTTTTATTTATTTACTTATTTTGAGACAGAGTTTTGATCTTGTTGCCCAGGCTGGAGTGCAATGGCGTGATCTTGGCTCACCGCAACCTCCGCCTCCCAGGTTCAAGTGATCTTTCCGCCTCAGCTTCCTAAGTAGCTGGGATTACAGGTCTGTGCCAACACGCCCAGCTAATTTTGTATTTTTAGTAGAGACGGGGTTTCTCCATGTTGGTCAGGCTGGTCTCGAACTCCTGACCTCAGATGATCTGCCTGCCTTGGCCTCCCAAAGTATTGGGATTACAGGCATGAGCCACCGCGCCCGGCCTATTTTATTTATTTATTATTTATTTATATTACTTTTTGAGACAGTGTTTCACTCAGTCACCCAGGCTGGAGTGCAGTGGTATGATCATGGCTCACTGCAGCCTCAACCTCTCAGGCTCAAGTGATCCTCCCATCTCAGCCTCCTGAGTAACTGGGACCACAGGTGTGTGCCCAGCTGATTTTTTGAACTTTTTTAGAGACAGGGTTTCCCTATGTGGCCCAGGCTGGTCTCAAACTCCTAGACTCAAGTAATCCTCCTGCCTTGGGTTCCCAAGATGCTGGGATTACAGGTGTTAGCCCCTACACCTAACCCTATATTATTTTTTATAAGCTTTATTCTTTTGCTTTTCGTATTGAAGACTATAGCCCACCTGGAATTTATCTGTTGATGGTGTGAGGTAAGGGTCAGGTTTCATTTTTTTCCCCATAGGAGCACACTCAGTTGATTTACTGAAAAGTTTACTCTTTCCCTGTGTGTGTGCTTTTTTGTTTTTTGTTTTTTGTTTGTTTGTTTGTTTTAAGACAGGCTCTTGCTTTGTAACCCAGGCTGGAGTACAGTGGTGTGATCTTGGCTCACTGCAACCTCCACCTCTCGGGTTCAAGCGATTCTCCTGCCTCAGCCACCTGAGTAGCTGGGATTATAGGCGTGCACCACCACACCTAGCTAATTTTTGTAATTTTAGTAGAGACAGGGTTTTACCATGTTGTCCAGGCTGTCTCAAACTCCTGACTTCAGGTGATCCACCCGCTTCGGCTCCCAAAGTGCTGGGATTACAGGTGTAAGCCACCGCACCTGGCCTTCTGTAGTGTTCTTTGCAAATATTTTGTTACATTCATTCCTGTGTAATCGATTTATCATTTGATGCTATTCAAGAAGCTTATTTAAAGCCCAGGTTCTTGGCCAGGTGCGGTGGCTGACACCTGTAATCCAGCACTTTGGGAGGCTGAGGTGTGTGGATCACCTGAGGTCAGGAGTTCGAGACCAGCCCAGCCAACATGGTGAAACCCCGTCTCTACTAAAAGTACAAAAATTAACCGGGCATGGTGCTGCGTGCCTGTAATCCCAGCTACCTGGGGGGCTGAGGCAAGAGAATCACTGGAACCCAGGAGGCTGAGGCTGCAGTGAGCCGAGATTGAACCACCGCACTTCAGCTTGGGCGACAGAGCAAGACTCCATCTAAAAATAATAATAATAATAATAATAATAATAATAAAACCAAGGTTCTGACTGGGCATGGTGGCTCATGCCTGTAATCCCAGCACTTTGGGAGGCTGAGGCAGGCAGATCACCTAAGGCCAGGAGTTCAAGACCAGCCTGGCCAACATGGTAAAACCTCATCTCTACAAAAATACAAAAATTAGCCAGGCATGGTGGCAGGTGCCTGTAATCCCAGCTACAAGGAAGGCTGAGGCAGGAGAATCACTTGAACCTGGGAGGTGGAGGTTGCAGTGAGTTGAGATCACGCCACTGCACTCCAGCCTGAGCGACAGAGCAAGACTCTGTTTCAAAATACATAAATAAATAAAATAAAGCCCAGGTTCTCTGGCTCAACATTTGGAGAGTCTAAGTGAGTAGTTCTGGAGTGAGCCCAGATGGGAATTTTGAAAAAGCTCCTGGTGGTTCTGATGTGCAGATCCCATCCTGTCTTGCTGCACTCATTATCTCTTTTCAATCCCCTTCAGTCCCCCTCCCTCCCAGCTGGCCCACGCCCATAAGCCTGTGAACATGCTTAGTCTCCGTGTCTTAGAATAAACCTCCCCAAACCCCTCCAGGTCCTGGCATCGCCTTTTTCTCCCATTAATAGCCATACTTTTAAGGGTTGACCACACCTGTGCTTTCATATTTTTATACTCCTTATAAAACCATGCAGCCCTTCACACAGTTTAAAATTGACATCTAATTCAAACCATCCTTACCCACACCTACTCCCCCCTCTGGTCTACCAGGCAGTCTCTCTTCTTCTACCAGCTTATACCCCTCCAGCCTCTGCAAAACAGTTGTGTGTGTGTGTGCGTGTGTGTGTGTCTTTTGTTTTGTTTTTAGAGATAAGGTTTTGTTCTGTCGCCCAGGCTGGAGGACAGAGGTGTGATCATAGCTCGTTGCAGCCTCAATCCCCTGGGATCAAGCGATCCTCCTACCTCAGCCTCTCGAGTAGCTGGGAATACAGGTGTATGCCACCATGCCTGGATAATTTTTAATTTTTTAATTTTAGATTTTTTTGTAGAGAAGGGGTCTAGCTATGTTGCCCAGGCTGGCCTCAAACTCCTGGCCTCAAGCAATCCTCCCACCTCCACCTTCCAAAGTGCTAGGATTATAGGCGTGAGCCACCATTCCTGGCCTGAATGATCTATTTCCATCCCTGGATTATTTCTCTTTTTCTTATTGGTGTGTAGGAGCTCTTTGTAATAATATAGATATTAACTTATCTGTCACATGGATTTCAAATGTCTTCCCATTTTATTATTCCCTTTGACTTTGATGAAGGTATCTTTTGCTATATACAGTTTTAAATGTTTATGTAATTTTATATGTGTATCTCTTCTCCTATAGCTCTGGTTTTCTGGTCTTAGTTTGAAATATTTTATATACTCTGGCCGGGCACAGTGGCTCACCCCTGTAATCCCAGCACTTTGAAAGGCTGAGGTGGGTGGATCACCTCAGGTCAGGAGTTTGAGACCAGCCTGACCAACATGGCGAAACCCTGTCTCTACTAAAAATACAGAAATTAGCTGGGCATGGTGGTGGGCGCCTGTAATCCCAGCTACTCGGGAGCCTGAGACAGGTGGATCGCTTGAACCCGGGAGGCGGAGGTTGCAGTAAGCTGAGATGTGCCATTGCACTCCAGCCTGGGCAACAGAGAGAGGCTCTATCTCAAAAAATTATATATATTTTATATACTCTGAATATTGTTTACATTTATATGTTTAAAGCATTTGAAATTTATTTTCACGATTTTGGTGAGAAGTAGGGATTCCACCTCATTTTCCTCCTAGTGGGACAGCAAGTTGGGTCAACATCACTTATTAAAGAAAGTATCGGGCTGAGTGTGATGGCCCACCCCTGTAGTCCCAGCACTTTGGGATGCTGAGGTGGACAAACTGCTTGAGCCCAGGAGTTTGAGACCAGCCTGGCGATATAGTGAGACCTCGTTTCTACAAACAATATAAGCATTAGCAGGGTGTAGTGGCACACACCTGTAGTCCCAGCTACTTGGAAGCTGACGATCGCTTGAGCTGAGAAGGCCAAGGGTAGAGTGAGCCATGATTGTGCCACTGCACTCCAGCCTTGGCAACAGAGGATGATGCCCTGTCTGAAAGAAAAGAAAATCGCAAATAAATAAAGTATCATCCTTCCTCACAGAATTAAAATTCAACCATTGTTTTTTGTTGTTATTTAGACACACGGTCTCGCTCTGCCACTCAGGCTGCTGGAGTACAGTGGCCTGACCATAGCTCACTGCAAACTTGAACTTCTGCCTCAAGCGATCCACCCGCCTCAACCTCCCAAAGCACTGGGATTACAGGCGTGAGCCACTGTGCCTGGCTTCCACCATTGTTATATATTACATCAACTGTCTGTTGGGATCTGTTCCTCTTCTGTTTCACTGACATTTTCATCATTTTCTTGACCATTCTTAGAAAGGTGTTGGCAGGGATCAGAGTCTGAAAACTTTGTCTCTCCTCGTACCCTTGGCCAGACAGGAATCTGTGCTGAAGGTGGTAGCCAAGATTAGAGTGTGCTCCTGGCAAGACCCCCTCCTCCTGCCTGTATGGGGTTGTTTTTGCATTGCATGATCACATGCACGCCTCTGCACTCTGCTTTTCTCCCTCACAACCTTGGCAGCCCCTCAGCCCCACCACCACTCTGCTGCAGACACGGGACTAATCTCATTACTGTCTTTATCCCTGTTCACATCGCCCATCACAAGAAGCCCAGATCCCTGCTCAGCCCTCCTCCCTGCATCTAATCCCCATCTGGCTCTGCTTCCCTTCTCCCCACCCCCAGCTACTGAAACTCTCTGCCAAGTCCCCGGAACTCAGGCACGGGAGGTCTTCTTTGAACTCTTCCTTCGCCTTCTGGCTCTTCTGACACTGCTTCCCCTACTGTGAGCCCAGGTGGTGACTGTTTTCCCTCCCTCCCTCCCTCCCCTGCCACTGGGCCGGCAGATGGGGGCCCTCCTTGCTCCACTTGCAGAACATGAGCTTCCCCCTCTTCCCCCAAACCCCCAGCTTTCAATCTCATGTTATTTGACAGTACCATTGCTGCAGACATTCCACGACTAAATTCTTCAAGGAATGAGATGACTCCTCATTCCTTGAAGAGTTTAGGCCAAGGGAGGTGGCACACGCCTGTAATCCCAGCACTTTGGGAGGCTGACCCCAGGAGGTCATGACCCGCCTGGGGAAAATAGTGAGATTCCATTCTACAGAAAACAATAAAAATGAAAAAAATAACCAGGCATGGTGGCATGTGCCTGTGGTCTCAGCTACTCAGGAGGCTAAGGTGGGAGGATCGCTTGAGCCCAGGAGGTCAAGGTTGCAGTAAGCCATGATTGCACCACTGCACTCCAGCCTGGGAGACAGAGTGGATCCCATCTCAAGAAAAAGAAAAGAAAAAGAGTTTAGCAGCAAATTCACTGTCCTCTCTAACACTGCTCTTGAGGTTCAGTTCATTCGGTGTCCATGCAGGTGAGCCTTCCTACCCCAGCCTCTCAGTCCCTCCACGCATGGCCTCACCTTGCCCTGACCTCAGCACTGTCCCTCAGGATCAGACCTGGACAGGCCTCTCACCCTTGGGACTGCTAGGTGCTGCTTCCACCTGCGATCCAAGCTGCAGGTGCCCTTCCCTCTTCCCTCCCCACGATTTCTTCCTCTCCATTACTTTGGGCACCCCCTTTCAGCCATTTTATAGTTTGGGGTTTTGGCGATCTCCTACTTTTATTAAAGATAGGCTTTTTGTTACTGTACAGGATTCACCAATATGAGATCACTTGACGGGGACTTGAGCTGACATGAGCATCTATCTATTTCTGTAAAACTCAGCGGCATAAAACAGCCACCGTTTTATTTGCTCGTGATTCTGTGGGTCAGCTGTTTGGCATGGCTCTGTGGGCAAGTCTTCCGCTGGTCTCCTCTGCAGTCACTCATGCAGTGGCAGTCATCTTGTGGCTTGACTGGGGCTGGATGCATGACCCAAGATAGTTAGCCTGATTGTCTCTCCATGGGGCCTTTTGTCCTTCAGGAGTTCACCCCAGACTCCTTCCCTGGTAGTCTCAGGGCAGAGAGAGGGAAGTTGCAAGGCTCTGGAGAGCTGGCTCAGAACACCCACAGAGTGGCTGGGTGTGGTGGCTCACGCCTCTAATCCCAGAACTTTGGGAGGCCGAGGCAGGTGGATCATCTCAGGTCAAGTGTTCAACACCAGCCGGACTGATTGGTGAAACCCTGACTCTACTAAAAATACAAAAAAACTAGCTGGGCGTGGTGGGCTATTACAGCCGAGCATGTTTATGTAATCCTAGCTACTTAGGAGGCTGAGGCAGGAGAATCACTTGAGCCCAGGAGGCAGAGGTTGCAGTGAGCCGAGATTGTGCTATTGCACTCCAGCCTGGGCGACAAGAGTGAAAATCCGTCTCAAAAAAACAAAAACAAAAACAAAAACAAAAAGCAAAAACACCCACAAAGTCACTGCTGCCACATTCTGTTGGTCCCAGCTGTCCAGCCCAAGGCCAACCCTGATTTAAGTGGGTGGAGAAGTAGACCCCGCCTCTTGAGGGGAGTTGCAGTCAAGTCACGTCGCACAGGTGCATGCATACAGAGAGGAGAGGGATTTGTGGCCATTTTATTTTACAATCTATCAGTTTGTTAGCTTGTGCAGTTGAGGAGTTAGAAGTTTGCTTCATTGATTGACTATAATTTAGACTTAATAATGGCCTCCATTCAGTGAACTTGAGGTACTAGCAGTTCCCTGAATTAATGTAGAAAAAGGACTCCAAAAATGCAGGAAGAGAGAAATATGTTGTGGATTTATCACATGTGACCTGCATGTCACCTCCCCATTGCATCCCCTGGGATGCCTCAGAGGGACACCCAACCTTATAGCATTAGAAATATGTTAGTAAGGGGCGTACTGATATCCACATGAAGCTCTGTGCTGGCTGCAGCCGGGCATGGTAGCTCATGCCTATAATCCCAGCACTTTGGGACACCAACGCAGCCGGATCATCTGAGGTTAGGAGTTCGAAACCAGCCTGGACAACATGATGAAACCCCGTCTCTACTAAAAACATACAAAAATTAGCTGGGTGTGGTGGAGGGCACCTGTAATCCCAGCTACTTGGGAGGCTGAGGCAGGAGAATCACTTGAACCTAGGAGGTGGAGGTTGCAGTGAGCCAAGATCGAGCCACTACACTCCAGCCTGGGCAACAGAGTGAGACCCTGTCTCAAAGAAAAAAAAAAGAAAAAGCCCTGTGCTGGCCAGGTGTAATCTGGGGAGACCCACTATTGAGATGGGTTCCCACATTTCTTTCTTTTTTTTTTTTTTTTGAGACGGAGTTTTGCTCTTGCTGCCTAGGCTGGAGTGCAATGGCACAATCTCGGCTCACCGCAACCTCCGCCTCCCGGATTCAAGTAATTCTCCTGCCTCAGCCTCCCAAGTAGCTGGGATTATAGGCATGCGCCACCACGCCTGGCTAATTTTGTATTTTTAATAGAGACGGGATTTCTCCATGTTGGTCAGGCTGGTCTCAAACTCCCAACCTCAGGTGATCCGCCCACCTCAGCCTCCCAAAGTGCTGGGAATACAGGCTGAGCCACCGCTCCCGGCCAGGGCTCCCACATTTCTATAGGAAAGCTGGAGTTCTGAAGTAGCAAAGGCCAAGTGTCCACATTTAGTCCCCAAAGACAGACATGTTGGACATTGGAGGATGGTAATCAGGATGGTTTGACCTGTACAGATTTGATGGTGGCTAATTAATCCTAGTGTCCCTAGGAATAAAATAGATGGGCAACCTACTAAAATATCACTTGATCTATAGAACAGAAAAATCCCAGGTCTGGTGGCCAGCAATCTGACTTTGTTTCAGAATAATAGTCACAGCCTCTCACCCAGGTTTTGGACCTAAGGCAGTTCATGGGCCCAGAGCCCCTGAACTGAATCATGGCCAGGGTCCCTTTGAGATAAAATCTTGCAAAATTTCATGTGCATGTACTATAAATCTTCTCCAAAGCCTTCCTCAAAGGACCCCGCAGCCACTTACTAAGGTAACTGTATCCTGGGAAAAGGAACATTCTCAGACTTTTTGGAGATGACTAGATTCTGGCTTTGAGTTGTCATTGATTTCTGGAAACCATACAAAATAGTAGGGGCATATAGGGCTCAGATGATAAATGCGATTTTGGCTAAAGTCAAAAGCACAGGGAGTCAAGTAGGAACACAGACCCATTCTGTGGTTATTTCCTTAGTTCTCGAATGGGTACTTGGCAAGTGGCAATTGAATCCTCACACTGGGCTGGGTGCAGTGGCTCACACCATAATCCCAGCACTTTGGGAGGCTGAGGCAGGAGGATCACCTGAGGTTAGGAGTTCAAGACCAGCCTGGCCAACATTGCAAAATCCTGTCTCTACTAAAAATACAAAGAAAAAAAAATTAGCTGGGTGTGGTGGTGGGCCCTTGGAATCCCAGCTACTTGGGAGACTGAGGCAGGAGAATCACTTGAACCTGAGAGGTAGAAGTTGCAGTGAGCCGAGATGACACCACTGCACTTTAGCGTAGGTGACAGAGTAAGACTCCATCTCAGAAAACAAACAAACAGCCGGGTGCAGTGGCTTATGCCTGCAATCCTAGCACTTTGGGAAGCCGAGGCGTGTGGATTACCTGAGGTCGGGAGTTCAAGACCAGCCTGGCCAACATGGTGAAACCCCGTCTCTGCTAAAAATACAAAAAATTAGCCGGGTGCAGTGGTGCGCACCTGTAATCCCAGCTACTCTGGAGGCTGAGGCAGGAGAATCGCTTGAACCCGGGAAGTGGAGGTTGCGGTGAGCCGAGATCATGCCACTGCACTCCAGCCTGGGCTACAGAGCAAAACTTCGTCTCAAAAAAAAAGAAAAAAAAAAAAAAGAAGAAGAAGAAAAGAAAAGAAAAGAAATAAAAAAACAAACCTGAATCCCTGAATCCTCATGTTGGCTCTCAGAACCGTTGAATAAAGGCTGTTGTGGTATGAAGGATCACAAGAAAGGAGCCAAGAGCTTTCTCTCTCTCTCTGGATGGTAAACTAAAAGTAATGCTGCATGCTGGGGAAACTTCAGGGACGAGGCTACCTGTCAGACCCTCATTTTTGTTTTTTGTTTTTTGAGACGGGGTCTCACCCTGCTGCCCAAGCTGGAGTGCAGTGGCATGATCATAGCTCACTGAAGCCTTGAACTTGTAGGTTCAAGCCACCCTCCCACCTCAGCCTCTTGAGTACTGGGACTACAAGCGCATGCCACCATGCTCAGCTAATTTTTGTACGTGTGTACAAACAGGGTTCTTGCTATGTTGCCCAGGCTGGTCTCGAACTCCTGGACTTGTGATTCTCCCATCTTGGCCTCCCGAAGTGCTGGGATAAAGACCTGCCACACCTGGCCTCACACCCGGCCTCATGCCCTCATTTATCTCATTTGTTTGGCTTGTGCAGAAGGCAGAAGGCTTTTAGAGAATTTCTGTTATTTATTGTAAACATAATCAGATAGTGACTCCAGCTGTAGCTGCTGTACCAGATGTGATATCTTTTTGGAGCAAATCAGCATATTCCCTGGTCCCCTGATACACCACTCTTGATCTGGCAAATGATTTTTTTCTCAATAACAATTTGCAAAAACTAACAAAAGCCTTCTAATTTCATCTGATAGGCCCAACAGTATACCTTTGCAGTCTTGCCTCAAGGTTGATAACCCTCTTGTTCGCCCATAATCTAGTCTGCAGAGGTTTTAATCATTTTACTGTCTCACAGAACATCATTGCATGAATGATACTGTTTTCTTTGGACCTGATGAGCAGGTAGTGGCAAGGACTTTAGATTCCTTAGTAAGGCCTAAGCAAGTCAGAGGGTGGAGATAAAGCTGGCCTGTCCTAATTAACACAACATTCTAGAACCACACATTCATCATGATTGGGGGTAGAGTGTTCTGCTGATTTCAGTGGTGGGCCAGAGGAGCCACTTTGGCTTAGAGCAGGACTCAGCAAAGTATAGCCCTGGGGCCAAATTTGGCCTGCCATCTCTTTCTTTCTTTCTCTTAATTTAAATTGTATTTTTTGAATCGGTATTATATGCAAATGGTACAACATGCAAAAGATAAAAATGAATATACAGTTGAAAGTAACTCTCCCTCTTCCTAACTTCCAACTATCCAGTTTCCTTCCTCAGCTGCATCCACTCTTGCTGGATTCCTATGCTGCAGGAGATGGTGAGATTCTAATCATAGAATTTTGTTTATTGCCTACTCCAACGTCATGAAGATTTACTCCTGTGTTTTCTTCTAATAGGTTCATAGTTTTGGTTCTCACGTCTAGGTCTTTGACTTATTTTGACCTAACTTTTGTATGAGGTAGGGGCCCAACTTCATTCTTTTGGCACACAGATATCCAGTTATCCTAGCACTGTTAGTTGAAGACTGTTTTCCTCATTGAATGGTCTTGGCGCCCTTGTCAAAAATCAGTTGACCATAGATATATGGGTTTATTTCTGGATTCAGTTCTATTTGATCTATATGTTTATCCTTATGTCAGTACCACACAGTTTTGATTATTGGAGCTTTGTAGTAAGTTTTGAAAGCAGAAGTATGAGTCTTCCAACTTTGTTCTTTTTCATGAAGACTTTGGCTGTTCAGGGTCTCTTGGATTTCCATATGAATTTAATTTTATTCTTTTTGTGTGTGTGTGACAGAGTCTTGTTCTGTTGTCTAGGCTGGAGTGCAGTGGCATGTTCTCAGCTCACTACAACCTCTGCCTCCAGGGCTTAAGGAATTCTCGTGCCTCAGCCTCCCGAGTAGCTGAGATTATAGGCATGTACCACCACGCCCAGCTAATTTTTGTATTTTTAGTAGAGACAGAGTTTCATCATGTTGGCCAGGCTGGTCTCAAACTCCTAACTGCAAGTGATCTGCCTGCCTCGGCCTCCCAAAGTGCTGGGATTACAGGCATGAGCCACCGTGCCTGGCCTCCATATGAATTTTAGAATCAGCTTGTCCATTTTCACACATATAAAAAAGCAGGTGGAATTCTGATAATGATTATATTGAGTTGTAGAGTGATTTGGGGAGTATTGAAGTCTTAACAATATTAAGTCTTCCAATTCATGAACACAAAATTTTTCCATTTATTTAGGTCTTTTTATTCATTTATTTGTCTTTCTATTTATTTAGATCTGTAATTTTTTGGATAATGCTTTGTAATTTTCAGTGTACCTGTCTTGCACTTCTTTTGTTAAACTTACTCCTAAGTATTTTATCTTTTTTGATGCTATAGTGAATGAAACTGTTCTTAAAATTTTATTTTCATTCATATTGTCCATTGCTAATGTGTAAACATACAACCTTTTTTTCTTTTTAAGAGACAGAATCTTGCTATGTTGCCCAGGCTGGCCTCAAACTCCTGGGCTCAAGCAATTCTCTTGCCTCAGCCTCCCTGGTAGCTGGGACTACTCACATAAACCATGCCCAGGTAAAATACAGCCAATTTTTGTATATTTATCTTGTATCCTGCAACTTTGCTGAACTCTTTTATTAGCTTTAATTTTTTTGTGTGACAGATGCCTGATTTTTATAGACACATGGCTCCTCATAGTATAGACCATACTTCCAGTTTCCCTTGCAGCTTGATATTGCCAAAGGGTTAAGTTCTGGCCGATGATTATGAATGAAAGTAATGTGTGCAACTTTTTTTTTTTTTTTTTGAGACCAAGTCTCACTCTATCACCCAGGCTGGAGTGCAGTGGCGCAATCTCGGCTCGCTGCAACCTCCACCTTTTGGGTTCAAGCGATTCTCCTGCCTCAGCCTCCCGAGTAGCTGGGATTACAGGTGCCTGCCACCATGCCTGGCTAATTTTTTGTGTTTTTAGTAGAGACGGGGTTTCACCATGTTGTCCAGGCTGGTCTCGAACTCCTGACCTCAGGTGATCCACCAGCCTCAGCCTCCCAAAGTGTTAGGATTACAGGCATGAGCCACCACGCCTGGCCTAATGTGTGCAGCTTTAAGTTGTGCTGGCCCATCTCTTCTTTCCTGTTCCTTTTGACTGGAATGCTGTCAGCCATCTTGGCCTGTCTTGCAAAAATCTGCCATCTGTTTTTGTAGAGTTTTCCTGAAATATAGTAGGATTTCATAATCTTGTCTTTCTGGAATTGGTTTTACAGTCGCTGGTGTTAGAAGCATTGCCATCTTTGGTTTTACTTACATTAATTTCTGTCCCAGGCTGGCAGCTTGCTGCTTCTGTCCAACAAGTGTTCTTTTGGTAGCAACAGCAACACACATATTGTCATGGACTCACTGATCATGAAGAACAATCAGTTTCATTAGACTTATCTCTCTCTCTCTGTCCCTTCTGTAATTTTCCTTCCTGTTCTGGAACACTTTGCTTAGTTTTTTGCTTCCTCTGCAGCTAAGAGCTCCTGCCTGCTCCACTCTGTCCTCTTATTCATTCTCTCTTGAGTCGGTGCCTCGTGCAGAGCCCCTCCTCTGCTGATGCAGTATTTAAGGGTCTCTGTGGCAAGGTTCTACACTCCTTCTCCACTGCCATGGTGGCCAAATGCTTTGTGTGTGATGTCTGCTCTTGTCCAGCTCACACCTCACCACTCAGTTTGCATTCGAAATGGCCTCTTTTTCAAGTACAGTGTTTCTTTTTTTATTTTTATTTTTTAATTATTTATTTATTTTTTTTGAGACAGAGTCTCACACTGGCTCCCAGGCTGGAGTGCAGTGGCGCGATCTCAGCTCACTGCAACTTCTGCCTTTTGGGTTCAAGCGATTCTCCTGCCTCAGCCTCCCGAGTAGCTGGGATTATAGGCACCTGCCACCATGCCTGGCTAATTTTTGTATTCTTAGTAGAGATGGGGTTTCACCATGTTGGCCAGGCTGGTCTATGAACTCCCGACCTCAGGTGATCTGCCTGCCTCGGCCTCCCAAAGTGCTGGGATTACAGGCGTGAGCCACCGCGCCCGGCCAGCATAATGTTTTTAAAGATTTATCCTTGTTGTCTATATAGGAGCATTTTGTATTGCTGAGTGGTATTCCACTGGGGGGATATGCCTCAGTTTGGTTATCCATTCTCCTGTTGATGGACATTTGAGTTTTTTTCAAGTACAACTTTATTATTATTTTTATTTTTATTTGAGACAGAGTCTTGCCCTGTTGCCCAGGCTGGAGTGCAGTGGCATGATCTCGGCTCACTGCAACCTCTGCCTCCCGGGTTCAAGTGATTCTCCTGCCTCAGCCTCCCCAGTAGCTAGGATGACAGGTGCCCACCACCACACCCAGCTAATTTTTATATTTTTAGTAGAGATGGGGGTTTCACCATGTTGGCCAGGCTGGTCTTGAACCCCCGATCTCAAGTGATCCACCCGCCTTGGCCTCCCAAAGTGCTGGGATTACAGGCATGAGCCAGTGTGCCAGGCCATTTTTAATTTTTGTGTAGAGATGGGGTCTTGTTATGTTGACCAGGCTGGTCTGGAACACCTGGCCTCAAGCAATCCTCCCATCTCAGCCTCCCAAAGCGCTAGGATTACAGGTGTCTGCCACTACATCTGGCCAGCTTAAGTACAACATTTATTAACCAGTATTGTGTTCTTGAGTGATTGTTTTTTTCCTCCCTCTCCACTTTATTTCTTCCAGCTTCATCCTGGTTGCCTGTTAGAATCACCTGGGGAGCTTTTAAAATCCCAGTGATCAAGTGCCCCTCAGACCTCTTAGCCGAGGAATTCTGGGGGCGGGGCCCAGCATCAGTGTTTTTTCAAGCCCTTCCAGGTGACTTCAATGCACAGGCAGCGAGAACTCCTGCATGAAGGCTTCTGGAGAAGTAGGAAGGCTTAGAATGTCGCTCACTCATCTTTCACTTCCTGTAGCAACTGTTTCGTGCTCTTAAGTCTGGTATGTTTTGTTTTCTTGAATTTTAAGGTGT
Organism: Homo sapiens; assembly: GCF_000001405.40. Taxonomy (NCBI): domain Eukaryota; kingdom Metazoa; phylum Chordata; class Mammalia; order Primates; family Hominidae; genus Homo; species Homo sapiens. The sequence goes on from NC_000006.12 coordinate 35,543,790, forward strand.
TCAGACTTAATCTTCTCTCGGCTTGGTTTTGGGGTTCATTAAGCGTTTCTCTTTTCCTTCCTAAAGCTTTACTAAATTTCTTATTATAATCTTTTCATGAAGTACTGGCTTTCCATGTCTTCTTTTTTTTTTTTTTTGGAGACAGGGTCTCACTCTGTCGCCCAGGCTGGAATGCAGTGGCGTGATCTTGGCTCACTGCAGCTTCCGCCTCCCGGGTTGGTTCAAGTGATTCTCGTGCCTCAGCCTCCGAGTAGCTGGGATTACAGGTGTGCGCCAGAAGACCCAGCTAATTTTTGTATTTTTAGTAGAGATGGGATTTTGCCATGTTGGCCAGGCTGGTCTCAAACTCCTGACCTCAAGTGATCCACCCACCTCGGCCTCCCAAAGTTCTGGGATTACAGGCGTGAGCCACTGAGCCATGCCTTCTTTACATTCTTTTCTTCCTCGGTTCCCCCAAATCAGGGGCAGATTTTCTCTCATGTTTGCTTCATATCCTTCTGATTGTAGGTAAAACAACCTCTTTGATAAATTCTCCCTCTGTAGCTTGATTTCTTCAAAATATATCATAACTTTTGCTCTTCTGCTAATAAAATGACATCTTTTACATAATTTATTTTTTAAAACATTTCTGCAGAGCCTGATGTTGAATCACTTCAGATCTTTTACTCTTTGTGGAAAAGAATGGTCCCCAAGAAGAAAATGGCAAATGCACCAATTCTCATTAGAGGCTCCCAAGGTGCCCCAGGAAAACCAGGGATTCCGAATCCAAAACAACTGCACTCTGGTTGGCTGGCAGATGGGCACCTCTTCTGTGTTGTTTCCCAGCCCTGTTCTCAAACACTGATGCCTTTCAGCTCGTGTGCAAACCACAAGCTTCTCCTGACAGGTGGAATTTCCTCAGGACTGTCCGTCTCAGGTCTTGTTCCGCCTTCTCTGGTGGCGTCCTGTCATTTCTCTTCTGGGCCCTGACCCTTGTGCTCTTATTCATGGTTGTTCAGTTCCAGTGTCCTCCGGATGTTGTTGCTTGCTCCTGCGTGGGTCTCAGGGCTGGCCAGTGACAACCTTTTCTCCCCTGCAGGTGCGTCCATGTCTGTCTGCACCTGGATGGCATCGCCTCTCCATCTCGAGGACGCCATCTGGAGGGGTGAGTTCCAGGGTCAGGGAAGGAGGGCAGGAGGGTGGAGGAGGACTGGGTAGCCTGGAGCAGGGGCCCAGGACCATGTTTAAGAGCTGGGGAGGAGGAGAGTGTGAAGCAAGAGGAGGAGGAGGGGACAGGGACGGGGACGGGGGAGGGGGAGCGGGAGGAGAGGATCTACTTGTGTCTCCAAGACTGTGTGCTGTTATTATCTGGTTCTAGCCGTCAGGCAAGTCTTTACTGGATTACCTCCTGCCTGAACTATTCCCTCCCTCTTTTTTCACCCGCAGGGCAGGGCAGGGTGGCTGATCCCCTGCAGGCCCCAGCCCTGTGACTCAGCCACCAAAGCCCAATCTCCAGCCCAAGGGAACCAAGGGTATCTTCTTCATCATCCTTCCAGTCCTCTTCCCCTTCGCCGGGCTCCAGCCTCAGCTTGGCCCTCACCTCCACTCCTCTCCCCTCTCACCCCTGCCCCCATTCCACTTCATCTCCCTCCCTCACCTTAGGGCACCTCTGCCTGCTCCTTATGCTGGAGTTGATTTTCTACAATCTCAACTCAGCCAAGAGATCTCATCACCTAAAAAAGTGATGTGAACCTTAAGATCACATATGTCATATGGGGGTGAAGGTGGGGGTGGGAGGCACTAAGGGCAGGGCAGCAGGTGGGTCAGCCCCAGGTGCTGGCAATAGATGGGGGTCCAGGTCAGCAGAGAACCTAAAAACAATAAAGCAACTGATTAGCCCGTCTCTTTATTGTAAAACCCTGTGCTGGCAATCCTAAACAATGTTGGTGATAAAATGTTCCTCTCTCAAAATCTTTTAGTTAGGATCTAAGTTTTATATAATTGCTTAGGTCATTGTTGAGAGTTTCTTTCTTTCTTTCTTTCTTTCTTTCTTTCTTCCTTCTCTCTTTCTCTCTTTTCTTTTCTTTCTTTTTTGAAATGTAGTCTCGCTCTGTCGCCAGGCTGGAGTGCAATGAAGCAATCTCAGCTCACAGCAACCTCCACCGCCTAGGTTCAAGCGATTCCCCTGCCTCAGCCTCCAAAGTAGCTGGGATTAGAGGCATGCGCCACCATGCCCAGCTAATTTTTGTAGTTTTAATAGAGGCGGGGTTTCACCATGTTGACTAGGCTGGCCTGGAACTCCTGACCTCATGTGATTCGCCCGCCTCAGCCTCCTGAAGTGCTGGGTTTATAGGCGTGAGCCGCTGTGCCCAGCCTTGAGTTTCAATTAAAAAAAAACTAAAAAACCCCTCTATCTGTGGGGAGGGAGAGCATCAGGATAAATAGCTAATTCATGCTGGGCTTAATGCCTAGGTGATAGGTTGATAGGTGCAGCAAACCATCATGGCACATGTTTACCTATGTAACAAAACTGTATATCCTGCACATGTACCCAAGAACTTAAATGAAATTATTAACCCTCTATATCCTTCAAATTAGCACATTTTAATTAGTTATCCTTTATATTCTACATGGAAGCTAATTCGGAAAATTACTCCCCCCTCAACAAACACAGCTACTTATTTGGAGAGTAGGTCCCTAAAGATTTGAAATGCTTTCTGCTCTCTTCAGTGTGGTTTGTGTCTTTAGCCCCACCGTACAACATACTTCTGCATTTAGTGAATATGAAATAAATGATGGTACACAGAGTGTATAGAAGTGATTGTATGCTGTGCTTGTAAAAATGATTAAACAACTTGAATCATTTCAATTCAGTTATATGATTGCTTGGAGTTTTAATTTGTTTTTAATTCTTTTTTTTTTTTTTTTTTATAGTTGAGATGGGGTCTTGCGATGTTGCCCAGACTGGACTGGAACTCCTGGGCTCAAGCCATCCTCCCGCCCTAGTTTCTTTTTTTTTTTTCTTTTTTTCTTTTTAGACAGAGTCTCGCTCTGTTGTCCAGGTTGGAGTGCAGTGGCACAATCTCAGCTCACTGCAACTTCCACCTCCCGGATTCAAGTGATTGTTGTGCCTAGACCTCCCAAGTAGCTGGGATTACAGGTGTCCACCACCACGCCCAGCTGATTTTTGTATTTTTAATAGAGACAGGGTTTCGCCATGTTGGCCAGGCTAGTCTCGAACTCCTGACCTCAAACGATCCACCCACCTTGGCCTCCCAAATGTTGGGATTACAGGTGTGAGCCACCACACCTGGCCTGCCCTAGCCTCTTAAATAGATGGGATTACAGGTGCCTGTTGCCATACCTGTAATCCCATCCCAAATCCATAAATTTGCTGTTTTTTGAATTTAAAACAGCAAAATAGAATGTCAGCTTAAGGTGTAGTTTTTTTTAATCAGTATAACTTTTAATTGGTACATGAAATATTTCATTTGATTGAATAATATTTTTAAAATTTGAAGTTAATTTTTTGTTTTAAAATTAAGTAATGAAGAAAATAATTATTAATGAGAACATGGTTATTAACTGAAAATCATTTCTTGTATAGAGAAGGGGGCATTGGAATGGTCCCCCAGGGTATGAAAGGCGTGAGTTCTACACTGAGCGCAGGCGTGGGAGCCCTTGCTCAGCCATCCCGGGAGCTCTGCTGTGCCAGACTATTAGCTTGGGCTCCCATCCTGGATGGCTGAGCTTCACCTTTGAGTATTTTCCTTAGGAGGAGCTCACAAGAGCAACATTCCTTGAGTTTTGCCTGTTCAGAAATGTGTGGGCTGGGTATAAACGTCTTGGGTTACATTTGCATCTTTCAGGATTTCTAGGTGTTGTTTGCTCCGCTGTCCTATAACATTGGGTCGCAGTTGCAGAGATGGGTGAGCCCCGCACATTCTTTTCTTCTTACTGGTGATTTGGTCCGTTAGCCTGTCAGTTCAAAGAATTGTATCCTTATCTGTGAACGTCAGTTCATTTGGAAATGTTGACTGTTTATATCCACTTTTATTGGGACATGGCCTTTGAAGATGCATAATCCTGTTTTCTTAGTGCTGGAAACAGTTTCAGGATTCTGTCTTCATGTTTGTTCTTTTGTTTCCTTAGGAACTACAACTGCGTATCTATTAGCTCTCTTGTCCGTTTGCCATATGTCATTTCCTTTTAGCTATCTAGGAAGAAGAGCTTACAGGGTAAACTTCCCATTTAACTATCCCCTTTCCATTTTCTCACTCACTTTGTTACAGTCCTCTCTGTGTTTTTGGTGGCATCTGCTTTTCCTGTGATACTTTCCATTTTCTCTTCTCCTCTGTGCTGCTTTAATTTTTCTCTTCCACGTATTTCCTGGGTTTTGCCAGCTCTTTCTCTCTCTCTTTTTTGAGACAGAGTCTCACTCTGTCACCCAGGCTGGAATGCAGTGACACAATCCTAGTTCACTACAGCCTTGCACTCCTGGGCTCGAGAGATCCTCCTGTCTCAGACTCCAAGTAGCCAGGACTACAGGCCTGCACCACCATGCCTGGCTTTTTTTTAATTAAAAAAAAATTTTTTTTCAAGATGGAGTCTTACTCTTTTGCCCAGACTGGAGTGCAGTGGCGCTTTCTTGGCTCACTGCAATCTCTGCCTCCTGGGTTTATGTGATTCTCCTGCATCAGCCTCCAAAGTAGCTGGGATTACAGGTGCCCACCACCAGAGCCGGCTAATTTTTGTATTTTTTTTTAGTAGAGATGGGGTTTCACCATGTTGGCCAGGCTGGACTTGAACTCCTGACCTCGTGATCCACCTGCCTCAGCCTCCCAAAGTGCTGGGATTACAGGCATGAGCCACCGCACCTGGCCATTTAAAAATACATATGTATTAATTTTTTTTTAAGAGATGGGGTCCCTCTTTGTCACCCAGGCTGAAATGCAGTGGCATGATCATAGCTCACTGCTGCCTCAAATTCCTAGGCTCAATAAATCTTCCTCACTCAGCCTCCTGAGTAGCTGGGACCACAGGTGCATGCCATGCCCAGCTAATTTTTAAATTTTTTGTAGAGATGGGATCTTGCCATCTTGCCCAGTCTGGTGTAGAACTCCTGGCCTCAAGCAATCCTCCCATCTTAGCCTCCCAAAGTGCTAGAATTACAGGCAAGAATCTACTAGGCCTGGCCTATTCTTAATTTTTTGTAGGGATGGGGTCTCACTATGTTGCCCAGGGTGGTCTTGAACTCCTGGCCTCAGGTGATCCTCCTCACTCAGACTCCCAAAGCACTGGAATTACAGGCATGAGCCACCATGCCTGGCCTCAGTTTCTTTCTTTCTTTCTTTTTTTTTTTTTTTTTTCTGAGACGGAGTCTCGCTCTGTCACCCAGGCTGGAGTGCAGTGGCATGATCTTGGCTCACTATAACCTCCGCCTCCTGGGTTCAAGTGATTCTCCTGCTTCAGCCTCCCAAGTAGCTGGGATTACAGGCACTTGCCACCATGCCTGGCTAATTTTTTTTTTTTTTTAGTAGAGACAGGGTTTTACCATGTTGGTCAGGCTGGTCTCGATCTCCTGACCTCAAGCAATCCACCCGCCTCAGCCTCCCAAAGTGCTGCAATTACAGTCGTGAACCAACGTGCCTGGCAACCTTAGTTTCTTATTTGTGCTTTGGCTTTACGGAAGAGTTTTTTTTTTTTTTAAATTTTTAAATGAAATACTTATTTGAATTTTTCACCTGCTCAGTGGTAAAAATTTTCTAATAAGTGTTCTTCAGTTTTTGTATATTTATCTTGTTCCTTTCTTCCTTTTTTCTTTTTTTTAAATTTATTTTTTATGTTGTAGAAACAATGTTTCCCTGTGTTGGCCAGACTGGTCTTGAATTACTGGGCTCAAGTGATCCTTCCCTCTTAGCCCCCCAAAGTTCTGGGATGATAGGCATAAGCCACCACACCTGGCCCCTTTCCTCCTTTTTTCTTCTAGTGTCTTTGCATAGATCCCCTACTGATTCATCTTTAATTTATTTGAGAGGGTGAGCTTTTCAGGTGGAATAAGAGCCAGGGCCTTTTCCAAGGAGTAGGTCAATGCTGGGGCAGAGTTGTCAACTGCCAGGCTGACTGTGGAAGGCACACCCCAACATGCACCCAGAGCCCCTGGGCAAAGGCTGTGAGGCTTGCTGGTTCCAGGCAGTGACAGAAATCTGTGTCATCATTGGCTGACCACTAAGCTAACCAAGAAAAGACTTCAGTAGCCATATACAACACAGAATATAGACTTCACAGAATTAAGTCAGAAAAGTCACTAAGCAAACAACAGTAATTACAACAAATCCTGGGGAGGGAGAAGAATCTATTTCTAGAGCTGCCACATCTTGTTATTCAAAATGTCCATTTTTCAAAAAAATTATGAGACATGAAAAGGAAAAAGAAAGTATGGACCCATACACAGGAAAAAAAGCAACCAGTAAAAACTGTTCCTGAGGAAATCCAAACAATGAACCCACTTGAAAAAAATACTTAATCAGCTATTTCAAATATGTTTAGCCAGGCACTGTGGTGGGCACTTGTAGTCCCAGCTACTCAGGAGGCTGAAGTGGGAGGATTGCAGGAGTTTGAGACCAACCTGGGCAAAATAGTGAGACCTCCATTTCAAAAAAAGTTTAAAAAACTTAAGAAAACCGTGTCTAAAGAATTAAATGAAAGTATAAGAATAACTTACCAAACAGAATATCAACAAAGATAGGAATTATAATAAAGAACCAAGTAGAAATTCTGGAGTTGAAAAGCACAATAACTGAAATGAAAAATTCACTAGAGGGGCTCAACAACAGATTTGAGCAGGCAAAGAATGAGTGACCTTGAAGATAGGTTAGCTGAGATGATCTAGTTTGAGGAAGGGGGAAAGGAGAGAATGAAGAAAAAGGAACAGACTAAGATCTGTAGGACATCATCAAACATACCAGCATACACAAAATGGGAGTCCCCAAAGGAGAGAGACAGAGAAAGGTGAGGAAAAAATTTGAAGAAGAAAGTGGCCAAAAGTGTCTCACATTTTATTAAAAACATTAATAGTTTACTTCAAGCAGAATAAACTCAAAGACATTCACACCTAGACACATTATAATCAAATGATTGAAAGTCAAAGCCAAAGAGACTTTTGATGGCTGGTTGCTGTGGCTGATGCCTGTAATCCCAGCACTTTGGGAGCCCAAGTCCAGTGGATCACCTGAGGTCAGGAGTTCTAGACCAGCCTGGGCAATATAGTGAGATCCCATCTCTATTAAAAATACAAAAATTGGCTGGGTGTGGTGGCTCACACCTGTAAATCCAGCACTTTGGGAGGCCAAGGTGGGTGGATCACAAGGTCAGGAGTTCAAGACCAGCCTGGCCAAGATGGTGAAACCCTGTCTCTACTAAAAATACAAAAATTAGCCGGGCGTGGTGGTGGGTACCTGTAACCCCAGCTGCTTGGGAGGCTGAGGCAGGGAATTGCTTGAACCCAGGAGGTGGAGGTTGTAGTGAGCCGAGATCGTGCCACTGCACTCCAGCCTGGGTGACAGAGTGAGACTCCATCTCCAAAAAAAAAAAAAAAAATTATCCATCTCAAAAAAAAAAATTATCCGGGTATGATAGTGGGCGCCTGTAGTCCCAGCTACTTGGGAGGCTGAGGCAGGAGAATTGCTTGAACCTATGAGGTGGAGGTTGCAGTGAGCTAAGATTGCGCCACTGCACTCCAGACTGGACGACAGAGTGAGACTGTCTTAAAAAAAAATCAAAATTTTGAAAGTAGCAAGAAGTAGCAAGAGAGAAACTACTCATTGCAGACAGCCATCCTCAGTAAGATTCACAGGTAATTCCCCATCAGAATCTATGGCAGCCAGAGGGCAGAGGGAAGATGGAGAAATTAAGACATTCCCAGATAAACATATATCGTCTCTACAAAAAAAAAAAAAAAAAAAAAAAAAAAAGCCAGGCATGGTGGTGTACACCTCTAATCCCAGCTACCCAGGAGTCTGAGGCAGGAGGATCACTTGATCCTGGGAGTCTGAGGCTGCAGGATGCTATGATCATGCTGCTGTACCTCAGTCCAGGTGATGGAGTGAGACCCTGCCTCTAAAAAATTTTTTTAAAATAAAGATCTGAGCAGGGGTAGTAGTGTGCACCTGTAGACCCAGCTGCTCCGGACCCTGAGGCAGGAGGATCACTTAGCCCAGGAGTCTGAGGCTGTATGTGCGATGATCATGCCTGTGAATAACCACTGTACTCCAGCCTTAGCGACATAGTGAGACCGTGTCTCTGAGAGAAAAAAAAAAAAAGGAAAAAAAAGAAAAGAAATACTTCAGATCAATAACTTAAGCTTCCATCTTAAGAAACTAGAAAAAGAAGATCAAACTAAACCAGAAGCAAGTAGAGGGAATAAGATCATAAAAATTAGAGTACAGATAAATAAAATAGAGAATAGAAAAACAATAGAGTAAATCAGTGAAACCAAGAATTGGGTTTTTAAAAGATTAACAAAATTGACAATGCAAAGCTACTCTTCTCCCATCACACAGTCTGATTTCTGCAAATACGGTATTTCAGTTATCTGTTGCTGTATGACAAATCACCCCAAAACGTAGTGGCTTAAGACAGCAGCAACCATTTAAATAAAAATTCTGTATTTTAGGCAGGCTCTGTGGGTATGACTCAACTCTGCCTCCACATGGTGGTGGCTGGAATTGCATGCATCCAGAAGCTCAACTGGGCTGTAACTTCCAAGATGTTCCACTCACAGCTGGTAGCTGGTGCTGTTAGCTGAGGCTACAGTTCTGGGCTTTTCCTTGTTCTATCTTGGGCTTCCTTACAGCATGGCAACTGCATTCCAAGAAGGAGTGTTTCAAGTATTGAGAGTGGAAGCTGCCGATGTCCTGGAGACCAACCTTGAAAGTCACACAACATCACTTCTGACACCTTCTATTGGTCAAAGCGTGACACAGCCTGTCCAAATTCAAGGGGAGGGGAAACAGACTCCACTTCTTCATGGGAGGAGTGGCAAAGAAATTGCAGCCATCTTTATTCCATCACATATGGCTTGCCTGCATGATTCCTCAATTGGCCGCTTTTGCTTTGTTCCTTGGGAGCAAAGCAGACCCAGGGGTGTTCTTGCAGCTGCTGTTGATCTGCTCCAGTTGCTGCAAAAAGATTTTATTTATTTACTTATTTATTTGAGATGGAGTTTCGCTCTTGTTGCCCAAGCTGGAGTGCAATGGCGCAATCTTAGCTCACTGCAATCTCTGCCTTCTGGGTTCAAGCAATTCTCCTGCCTCAGCCTCCCGAGTAGCTGAGGTTACAGGCATGCGCCACCATGCCTGGCTAGTTTTGTATTTTTAATACAGACGGGGTTTCTCCATGTTGGTCAGGCTGGTCTCGAACTCCCAACCTCAGGTGATCCACCCACCTGGGCCTCCCAAAGTGTTGGGATTACAGGCGTGAGCCAACGTGCCCAGCCAAGATTTTATTTTTATACACTAGGGTGTGCCCCTCGCCCTCAAGGCATGCACTTTGCTGCTTCTCACATTTGGGTGTGTGTAGGGGGATGGGAAACCAGGCAGAGAGGTCATGGGCACAGACTCTGGGGCCAGATGGCCCGGGTTTGAATTCTGCCCGTGTCACCTGCTTACTGTGTGACTGTGCGCAGTCACGTCATCTTTCTGAGCCTCAGCGTCATTGCAAATGCTGTGCAAGTGTTTGCTTCTGCAGTTGCTACTGCTCTATCTGCAGCCACAGGCACCCTCTGTGATCTTCCTCCTGTCCCTCTGCTGGATCCCTGCTGCCTTCAGCACTCTGGCCTATTTTAGTACTCAGGATCTCGGGTAGCTCCTAGGTTTACTGGAAATGGATTTTATGTTTCTGTATCTCATTCTCCATGTTGCTTCTCATGATTTTTGAGAGGAGGGAGGAAAATGCTAATTTTATTCTACCATACACAAACCAGAAGTCCAAAAAAAACAATTTTTTTCTTTTTTTGAGACAGGGTCTTGCTCTGTCGCCCAAGCTGGAGTGCAGTGGTATGCTCTGGGCTCACTGTAACCTCTGCCTCCCAAGTTCAAGCGATTCTTGTGCCTCAGCCTCCGAAGTAGCTGGGATTACAAGCACAGGCCACCATACCGGGCTATTTTTGTATTTTTAGCAGAGACGGGGTTTCATCATGTTGGCCAGGCTGGTCTTGAACTCCTGACCTCAGGTGATCCACCCACCTCAGCCTCCCAAGGTGTTGGGATTACAGGCGTGAGCCACTGTGCCTGACCCAACAAAAACAATTTTGAAGAGGAACAAGAATAAGCTTTCACCACCAGCTATCATGATTAAAACTATGGTCTTGGCACATGGATAGCTGTGTGTCTTTGTCCCTCTTTATCCATCCTAATGGAACAGAATTGGCAGCCTAGAAAGAAATCCAACGGGTGCAGGAGTTTGGCTCTGACAGAGGTGGCATAACAAACCATGAAGGAAAGAATGGACTAAGCGGTACGTGGTGCTGAAAAAGCTAATATTAGATCCTTACCTTCCACCATACAAAGTACATTCTAGACTAAATACCTACACAGTGTCCGTTTAAATATAGAGGCCCTGGCCGGGTGCAGTGGCTCACACCTATAATCCCAGCACTTTGGGAAGCCGAGGCGGGCGAATCACTTGAGGTCAGGAGTTTGAGACCAGCCTGGTCAACATGGTGAAACCCTGTCTCTACTACAGATACAAAAATTAGCCAGGTGTGGTGGCACACACCTGTAATCCCAGCTACTTGGGAGGCTGAGGCAGAAGAATTGCTTGAACCCAGGAAGCAGAGGTTGCAGTAAGCTGAGATCACACCATTGCACTCCAGCCTGGGCAACAGGCTCCATCTCAAAATAAATAAGTAAAAATAAATAAAAAATAAAAATGGTGGGCCTAACATACACTCTTCTCCCCATGGAAGCCCCTTTCCTCTGAAAAGACAGTAAAGGAATTTAAGAAGTATCAAGCCAAAAGGACAAAGGGAATGAACAGGACAGGAGAGAGCAGCACACAGCGCTGGCAGAATTTTAGAAGCTGGAAAGGGGATGGCTGGAGGGTGACAGAGTCAGCAGCAGGGAGAAGGTGGCACCAAGTATGCAGAGGACCTGGCCAGCCAAAAGGAAGTGGGTTTGTAACGCAGAGCCTGCGCAAGGCAGTAGGTGCTTCTGAAGGGGGGTGTTCAGCATGGGGCTGAAAGAGAGGAGAAGCTGAAAGTCTTCCAGAGACCACTCCCATTACATGCAGCCAGGCAGCTGCCCCTCCCTGCTCCAAGCGGAACACTGGCCTCTTCTCTGGCAAGGCTGTGCCATATACATGTTCAACTTGGTGACCTTGGCAACCCCAGACTCAGCTGAGGATGGAGGGAGGTAACAGCCTGGAAAGAGCATGGGTGAGTGGATGCTGACTTCCAGGAAAATTCCTCTCTGGGGAAATGGACCAGCTCAAGAGGAAAAAGCCACAGAGACTTCCATTCTGGGGCTTCCCAATAACCTTTCTTTTCTTTTTTCTTTTTTTATTAATAGAGACAGGTTCTCGCTGTGTTGCCTAGACTGGCCTTGAACTCCTGGGCTCAAGCGATCCCCCTGCCTTTGCCTCCTAAAGTGCTGGGATCACAGGTGTGAGCCACCTTGCCCAGCCCCCAATAACCTTTCATATGACAAGTTGCTAAGCCTCACCTAGAATCAAGGACATAGAAATCAAAGCAACAGTGAGATATAATGTCCCATAAAATTGGAAAAAGTTAATGGATTTTCTAAAACCAAATGGTGGTAAATATGTGGGAAACCTGAACTCATACTCACGCTGATGGTTTTTGGTAAACTAGTACAACTACTTGGGAGTTTGTCAATACCTAGTGAAGTTGCAGATGCTTAGACCCTATGTCGACTTTCATACATGGACACAAGGAGACAGGTGTACAAGGATATGTGTCGTAGCACTGTTCACAATAGTAAAAATGTGGGAACAACCTAACTGTGCCCCAAGAATGGAATGAATATAGTTGATAAGTTGTCTCTTAAAAAAAAAAAGCTTTTCCGCCATCTTCCCACGACGCCACCATGGTGTGCGTGAACGTCCTGGCCGATGCTCTCAAGAGCATCAACAATGCCGAAAAGAGAGGCAAACGCCCAGTGCTTATTAGGCCGTGCTCCAAACTCATCGTCCGGTTTCTCACTGTGATGATGAAGCATGGTTACATTGGCGAATTTGAAATCATTGATGATCGCAGAGCTGGGAAAATTGTTGCGAACCTCACAGGCAGGCTAAACAAGTGTGGAGTGATCAGCCCCAGATTCGGTGTGCAACTCAAAGATCTAGAAAATGGCAGAATAATCTGCTTCCATCCCACCAGTTTGGTTTCATTGTACTGACAACCTCAGCTGGCATCATGGACCATGAAGAAGCAAGACGAAAACACACAGGAGGGAAAATCCTGGGATTCTTTTTCTAGGGATGTAATACATATATTTACAAATAAAATGTCTCATGGAAAAAAAAGAAAAAAGACAGGGTCTTGCTCTGTCACCCAGGCTGGAGTGCAGTGGCACAATCATGGCTCACTGCAGCCTAGAACTCCTGGGCTCAAGCGATCCTCCCACCTCAACCTCCCCAGTAGCTGGGACTACAGAGGCATGCCACCCTAACCGCCTAATTTTTAAATTTTTTGTAGAGATGAGGTTTCACTATGTTTCCCAAGCTGGTCTCAAACTCCTGGACTCAAGTGATCCTCCCACCTCAGCTCTCTAGTAGCTGGTACTATAGGCATATGCCACCACACGGGCTAATTTTATTTTATTTTATTTTATTTATTTATTTACTGTTTATTTATTGAGACAGAGTCTCGCTCTGCCACCCAGGCTGGAGTGCAGTGGTGCAATCTCGGTTCACCGCAAGCTCTGCCTTCTGGGTTGATGCCATTCTCCTGCCTCAGCCTCCCGAGTAACTGGGACTATAGGCGCCCGCCACCACACCTGGCTAATGTTTTTTTTTCTTTTTTGTATTTTTAGTAGAGACGGGGTTTCACTGTATTAACCAGGATGGTCTCGATCTCCTGACCTCGTGATCCGCCCACCTCGGACTCCCAAAGTGCTGGGATTACAGGCGTGAGCCACCGTGGCTGGCCTTATTTATTTATGTTTTTAAAGAGACGAGGGTCTCACTGTGCTGCCCAGGCTGGTCGTGAATTCCTGGCTTCAAAGGATCCTTCCACTTCAGCCTTCCAAAGTGTTGGGATTACAGGCATAAGCTATGATACCTGGCTGATCCTGTCTCTAAAATAAAAAGAAATTTTAAAAAGTGAGTTGCAAAAGCATCACCCTTTTTAACCAGATCCTTAACTGTAAGCAACAGAAAATCCTTCTGACTTTAAGCAGGAAAAGGATTCATTGGAAGGATATTGGGTAGTTCACAAAATCACTGAGAGGGCTGAGGAACCAAGATCCAAGACTAAACCATTTCTGCAGTTAAGCCCCAGCCCTTCGGCTGGCACAGCCATCGCCTGCCAGCTCTGGGCAGGTACAAGGGAAGCTGCCTCTGATACTACTGCCTCTGCTACCCTGGAAATTTTCCACAATTGCTTCTGCCTCGTGCAGCCTCTGCAACTCTAGTGCTGAATGCCAAGTTAGGGGAAGTGGGTCTGGCCGGCAGAGCCTAGGTCACATGCCTACCCCTATTGCAAGGGCAGGCGGGCAGCTGGCCTTTCAGCCTTTATGGTGGAAGTGGGCTCAGCCTCCTACATAGGAGGGGGTCTCAAACACTGAGCAGCTAAAAGAATGATAAATGGGGCTGGGCTCGGTGGCTCACATCTGTAATCCCAGCACTTTGGGAGGCCGAGATGGGTGGATCACCTGAGGTCAGGAGTTCGAGACGAGCCTGGCCAACATGGTGAAACCCCATCTCTACCAAAAATACAAAAATTAGCTGGATGTGGTGGCAGGTGCTTATAATCCCAGTTACTTGGGAGGCTTAGGCAGGAGAATCGCTTGAACCCAGGAGGTGGAGGTTGCAGTGAGCCAAGATCACGCCATTGCACTCCAGCGTGAGTGACAAGAGTGAAACTCTGTCTCAAAAAAATAAATAAAAATAAAAATTAAAAAAAATAATAAGTGGGTACATTGCTATCATTTATGTAAAACTGATGAACACCCAAAGCAATGGACTGGATTGTGAATACAGAGATGGGTAGTTAAAGTATAAATCACTAATAGGAATGATATACACTAACTCCAGGAGTGTAGGTACCTCTGAGAAGGGACGGTAAAAGGAAGGATGTGGGACTCTAGTTGTATCTGTAACATTTCTTTTCTTAAAAATAAAACCTCTGGGCTGGGCGTGGTGGCTCACGCCTGTAATCCCAGCACTTTGGGAGGCCAAGATGGGAGGATTGCTTGAGGCCAGGAGTTCGAGACTAGCCCGGGCAACATAGTGAGACCCCCATCTCTCCAAAAAAACCTAAAAAGTAGCCAGGGATGGTGGTACATACCTGTAGTCCCAGCTACTAGGGAAGCTGAGGCGGGAGGATCACTTGAGCCAGGAGGTGAAGGCTGCAGTGAGCCATGATCAAGCCACTGCACTCCAGCCTGGGTGACAGAGTGAGACCCTGTCTCAAAAAAATAAAAGAATAAAACCTCTCAAAGATGGCAAAAATGTTCATATCTGTTTATGCTGGTGGCGGGTACATGGGTATCACTATATTCTATACTTAACTGTAGGAAATATTTCCTAATTTCAAATGGAAAAAAATTACTTCAATGAATCAGAAATATGTGCCAAGCAGCTCGGGTCCCTTCAGGTGTTTCCTTATGTAACCATTTACTTGTGAATTAGCCCTGTGCCCACCAAAGGAAGTAGAAAGCTTTGCTTGCTCACACCTGCCTGTCTTTCCACGTGTCGCATTCTCCGTGAGAATGGCAGGGCACTCGGCTGAAACTGTGAGGCTGATGAATACGTGACCTAGTGCTGGTTACTGGAAAGGAGTGATTTATTTCATTACTGAAATTCTAAGTCCCTAGGCTGGGCGCGGTGGCTCACACCTGTAATTCCAGCACTTTCGGAGGCTGAGGCAGGTGGATCGATCACTTGAGGTCAGGAGTTCGAGACCAGCCTGGTCAACATGCTGAAACCCCGTCTCTACTAAAACTACAAAAATTATCTGGGTGTGGTGGCACATGCCTGTAATCCCAGCTATTCGGGAAGCTGATGCAAGAGAATTGCTTGAACCTAGGAGGTGGAAGTTGCAGTGAGCCGAGATCATACCACTGCACTCCAGCCTGGGCAACAGAGTGACTCTGTCTTAAAAAAAAAAAAAAAAAAAAAAAAATCTAAGCCCCTTAACAAGCCTTCTGAGAAGTTATCGAGTTTGGAAAATCAGAGACAAGAAGAGAAGAGAGAATAAGAATCTCAGAAAAGTGGGAAAGATTTTGTCAAAAAAAGCTTTTGTTTAGACATTGACTCTACTGCATCCAGTAGAAATGAATTAGTGTGTTTCTATATGATCTTTTCTTTTCTTTTCGTTTGAGTCAGGGTCTTGCTCTGTCACCCAGGCTGGAGTGAGTGACACCACCATAGCTCACTGCACCCTCTAACTCCTGGGCTCAAGTGATCCTCCCACTTTAGCCTTCCAAGTAGCTGGAACTACAGGCGTGCACCACCACTCTCGGCTAATTTTAAAATTTTTTGTAGAGACGAGGTCTCAGTATGTTGCCCAGGGTGGTCTCAAACTCCTGGGCTCAAGCAATCTTCCCACCTCAGCCTCCCAAAGTGCTGGGATTACAGACGTGAGCCACTGTGCCCAGCCTATATATGATTTTTAATAACAGGATATCAGTTTCTCCCTGTCCAGCTTCCAACCCCTACCCCATAAATGTTTAGCAAATATTTAAAGACTATAGCTTTGAAAGGTTACCTGCAGGGTCCAGCCCCACAGGCTCAGTGGGTCTCTCCCCGTGTGCGGAGACGAGAGAGTGTGGAAATAAAGACACAAGACAAAGAGATAAAAGAAAAGACAGCTGGGCCCGGGGGACCACTACCACCAATGCGCGGAGACCGGTAGTGGCCCCAAATGTCTGGCTGTTATTTATTGGATACAAAGCAAACGGGGCAGGGTAAAGAGTGTGAGTCATCTTCATTGATAGGTAAGGTCACGTGGGTCACGTGTCCACTGGACAGGGGGCCCTTCCCTGCCTGGCAGCTGAGGCAGAGAGAGGAGACAAAGAGAAAGACAGCTTACGCCATTATTTCTGCATATCAGAGACTTTTAGTACTTTCGCTAATTTACTACTGCTATCTAGAAGGCAGAGCCAGGTGTACAGGATGGAACATGAAGGCGGACTAGGAGCGTGACCACTGAAGCACAGCATCACAGGGAGATGGTTAGGCCTCCGGATAACTGCGGGCAAGCCTGACTGATGTCAGGCCCTCCACAAGAGGTGGAGGAGCAGAGTCTTCTCTAAACTCCCCCGGGGAAAGGGAGACTCCCTTTCCCGGTCTGCTAAGTAGCAGGTGTTTTCCCCTGACACTTACGCTACCGCTAGACTTCGGTCTGCCTGGCAACGGGTATCTTCCCAGAAGCTGGCGTTACCGCTAGACCAAGGAGCCCTTCTGCTGGCTCTGTCTGGGCATAACAGAAGGCTCGCACTCTTGTCTTCTGGTCACACCTCACTATGTCCCCTCAGCTCCTATCTCTGTATGGCCTGGTTTTTCCTAGGTTATGATTGTAGAGCGAGGATTATTATAATATTGGAATAAAGAGTAATTGCTACAAACTAATGATTAATGATATTCATATACAATCATATCTAAGATCTACATCTAGTATAACTATTCTTGTTTTATATTTTATTATACTGGAACAGCTCGTGTCCTCGGTCTCTTGCCTCGGCGCCTGGGTGGCTTGCTGCCCACAGTTACCAAATTGTGACTGTCAGGGTTGCCACATCTCAGCTTGGCCCTGAGTATACTTTCTGGAACATAATGTGAGCATAATATATGTTAGCTATTATTACTCAATGACCAAAAAAAAAGGAAAAACAACAACAACAACAAACAAATAAAAAATGGGCAAATGCCCAGTGTGGTGGCTCATGCCTGTATTCCCAGCACTTTGGGAGGCCAAGGTGGGAGCATCACATGAATCCAGGAATTCAAGACCAGTCTGGGCAACAGTGAGACTCGGTTGCTAAAAACAAAAAGCTAGGTGTGGTGGTACATGCCTGTAACCCTAGCTACTCAGGAGGCTGAAGTGTAGAGATCACTTGAGCCCAGGAGTTCGAGGCTACAGTGAGCTATGATCGCATCACTGTATTCAAGCCTGGGTGCCGCAGCAAGACCTTGTCTCTAAAAAACAGAAGGAAAAAAGGGGGGAAAGACTTGAATAGACATTTCTCTGGAGGTGATACACAAATGGTCAATAAGCATATGAAGAGATGCTCCACGTCGCTAACTTCCAGGCAAATGCAAATCAGAACCACAAAGGGATAACACCTCACACTCACCAGAATGGCTGCTCTAAAAACAAAACAGAAAATAACAAGTGTTGGTGAGGACGTGGGCAATTGGGACCTTTGTGCACTGTTAGTGGGAGTGTAAAATGGTGCATCTGCTGTGGAAACTGTATGACAATTCCTCAAAAAATTAAAAATAGAGTTACCCTTTGATCCAGCAATTCTACTTGTGGGCGCAGAACCAAAAGAATTAAAAGCAAGGTCTCCAGGAGATATTTGTATAGCCATGTTCATGAGAGCTATTTTAATAAGCCTTTGCATTAATCCTCGGGCACAGGGTATGATACAGCATCCTACAAGAATAAGGAACCCTATTTTGATGGTAGGAGAGGTGAGGATTGAGGACATAAGTCCCTTCCGTTTGCCGAACCAATTTCCCATTAAATTTGTGAAAGGGCCGTTTAGTCTAGAATTTTTGCTAACTTGTTGGATAAGGAGGTTAGGCCTTGCAAAGCCTTTGTTATTGTTTTGTCGGGGGCTGTGTTATTAGGGATAAAAGTATAACATTGGACTTTAATCATGACACAGACTCCGGCCTCTTTCGCTAGTATTATGTTTAATGCTATTCTGTTTTCCCAGGCCATTTGACTGGTGGGTCCTGATTGTCCAGCTATCCCTTTAATAGTGTCTCTAGTATACTTAACAAATCGTTGTTGGTTGTAATAAACGTAATTTGTCTAATCTACATTTTTGTTTATAGTTGACCACCAAAACAGCACAGATTAAAACCCTGCAGCTATTTGATTCTGGGCTTTAAAGTTATCTGGTACTCTTTGTGGAATTCTAATAGCGTCTATATAAATGTGAGGGTTAGAAGATCCAGTGGAGTGCTTTTTATTTTTTTTTTTAACTCGGTTCTGACTTTCTTGCTTACTGTGTTGGCGGAATGCCAGGGTGACAGGGATGGCCAATTGAACGAGAGCACAAGTGCCACTCCAGTGACTCGGCAGAGAACTTCATAGTAGTTTCCCGCAATACCACCATACGTCTGCTCGGGAGTGAGTAAGGGCAGCTTGACTGGTAAGTTCTTGGAAAGGCTTAGTCTCACTGCACCATTTTAGGTCTTTGAGAGACATTAATTTCTCCCCCTGCCGTGAGAGACCCGAGGTAAAATTAACATCTGAGGCTGGAGGCCGGGTGGCCCCTGGGGGCTGATCCACAGAGCCTTTGACTTTGGGGAATAGCAATGAGAGTCTTGTGTGGCTTGCTGCCCCAGGTTGTGGAGTTTTGGAAGAAACTTACCATGCAGCTTATGCCCAGTTCGTTAGAAGACCATCCAAGAGGGAAAGGGACTATTTGAGCCTCTGGCCTGTCTGTTGCACCAGTGTAACAGTTGTTTTTATTTAGTGTGCAAACAGAATATTTAACCCATTCCAACCAGGCATTTGCATTTTGGTATCCTGTCTCGACTGCTAAAGTTTGTTTTAAATCTCTAATATTTGTAATGTCGACTATGGCTTTGTTATTGGAAAAAATAACAGTCTGAATGAAAGAAGGCTCTGGAGAAGGAGAAAGGGAAGGGGGTGGGGGATCAATGAAGCACATTTCAAAAGATCCTATTGGGTCTGTCCCAGAATGAAAATTAGCTTCTAGGCCACAGAAATGGCTTAGAGTGGGGTTAGCATCAGTGGAGGTGGGGACAGTGATGAAGATTTGTATAGGGTTACACTGCTGAGGCTGACAATTAGGGGGAGTTATGCCTTTGGTAAGGTGGATATCGGGCTTTAGATTAATGCAGCTTCCTCCTGGGGAGGTCTAGCCTTGATATTTCGTGGTCCAGAGTTCATCTCCCTAACCATAACAGAACCTCCACCCCGCGCTTTGTGCACATCTGGTACAAGTTTTATTATTATAGGCAGTTTTGTTTATTTTGGAGGGGCAAAGGTACTTATTGATAGAGGCTAACTTTCTTTGGTTTTGGAGATCCTTCAGGGTCTCCTCTTCATGAGGAGGGTTGGGTTTTTCTTAGCTTTAGTTAGGTAGCACTTTCCCCTGGAACAGTAGCCCGTGACTCCGGAGGTGGTGATGTTTTTTCACTCGAGTATGATGAGTTCATCCTTTTTTTGCTGTTCGGATGCAGTTTCAGTGGCCAGGAGCACTAGATAAGGTCCTTCCCAAGCTGGTTCAAGCTTTCCTTTTTTCCACCCTTTGATGAGGACGGGAGCTGATGTTGATGTTCTGGGAATTCCAGGGGCAGCACCTGTGCTAAGAGACCTTTGGTTTTAAGAGAAGAGAAAGTGGAAGATAGACCAAGTATATCATTTTTGAGGAACTGACATTTTGTTTTAAATGTAGGAATGTCAGTAGTGGAATGTACATAAGGTAGCCCATATAGCGTTTTATAAGGGGATAAGCTGATATCTTTCCAAGGGATGGTTCTGATTCTTAATAAGGCAATGGGGAGACATTTAGTCCAGGGTAGCTGGGTTTCTAGGATTAATTTGGTGAGGTGGTTTTTTAAGAGTCTGGTTCATTCTTTTTACCCTTCCTGCCAAGGGATATGGCATTCCTGTTTTATGTCTAGCACCTGGGCTAGCTTTTTAATGACACGTGCAGTGAAATGGGTTCCATTGTCTGAATCCATGTTTTCTATTAGTCCAAACCTGGGTATAATGTTTTTAACTAATGCTTTAACTACATTACTGGTGGTTGCACTTGAGAAGGGGGTGGCTCCTACCCAGCGAGTAAAGTGGTCTGCTATTACCAACAAGTACTTCAGGCAAACGACTGGGGGCATCTCAGTGTAATTAATTTGAGCACTTTGGAATGGTCTTAGCCCTGGATTTCTGCCCCCAGTAGGTTGCCTTTTTAGGATTTGTTTATTAGTTTTTCTGCACACTCTGTAACTGCTTGCTTAGCAAGAGTGTATATGCTTATACACCTGTAAACTCTAAGGACTGCACCACACATGGCTTGGGGTCCCCAGTGAGATCCTTGATGGAGCTGCGACAATATTTCCCTCATGAGAGGTTTAGACAACATTTTCTCCCATCTGGTAGTACCCACCTTCCCTCTGAGCTTTTCTTGGCTCCTATTTCTTTTAACATTTTTTTGGTCTTTATGGGAGAAGATGGGGACCGCAGCTGGAGGGGAAGGCAAGGGGCTGAATGGAAAATGGGTACTGCTTGGGAAAAGGCAGCTTGCTTGGCTATTTGGTCAGCTAGATTATTTGCCCGGCTTTCAAAGGAAGGGTTTTCTTTTTACTATTTTCCTGGGAGTTTTTAATTTGACCTCGATTGGAGGAACTGGTAATTTCTCTCGATGTCCTTTTTTTGACCATGTATCAGGATGGATACACTTTTCATAATCTGTGGTGGTAAGTTCAGGGAGGTGAGAAGTTTTCCCTGATTAATGTAGAGGCTTAAGCCAAATTTTAACATTAGATCTCTCCCTAATAGGTTTGTTCTTGCCTCTGGAATTAACAGAAATTTAATATTAGCTGATCTGCTTTTATATATGACTTTTGTTTCTTTTTCCCATTTGGGACATTCTCTTTTGAAGTGACCTATTCTTTTACATTTGAAACATTTGTTTTGTCTTCTTTCTCTCTCTCTCTGCCTCTCTTTCTCTCCCTCTCCCTCTGGCTCTCTGTCTTTTCCTCCCTCTCTCTCTCTGTCTTTCTCTTTCTGCCTCTCTTTGTCTCTCTGTCTCTCCTTGCCTCTCCATCTTCTCTCTTTGCCTCTCTTTCTCTCTCTCCCTGACTCCCTCCATTCCCTCTATAGGCTGATCTTTCCAGTTCTCTGTTTTTGTAATTTCTTTGTGATATTTGGCTACTAGTAACAAAATGGAGCTTTAACATCCCCTGTCCAAGGGGATCCTTTATGTTTAAGCCTGTATATTTTCTTACCTGTTCCTTGAGTCTGTTTAAAAACTCCGTGGGCCCTTTGTTTTTTCCTTGCTGCATATTAAATGCTCGGGAAATATTTTGGGTTTGAGGCACTGATTCCCGAATCCCTTTAACTATCATTTTCCTAAGGCCTTTCATGTTTTCTTGGTGGGCTGCATTGTTATTATCCCATTGGGGGTTTTGGGCCGGCGATTTTTGTTCTGCTGCAGGGATATTTTGACTGGGAAGGTGTTTGCGCTCTCAGACTATCATAGCAGCCCTGCGGATCATGGTTCTTTCCTCTCCCGAAAAGAGAATACTTAAGATGGACATTAGCTCAGCCCAAGTGTATACTTGTGGTCCTAAAAATCGGTTAATTTGATCCACAACCCTAAAAAGATCATCTAATAGTGGTTTAAGTTTCTTCCTTAGGTTTCTGACCTCTGAACTAGTTAAGGGGCATTTACAAAGCCAATTTCCCCTCCTCCTAGAGGCACTTCCCTTAAGGGAAAAAGGGTTGGGGTAGACTTTTTTGAGGAGGAGGGGAAAGGGAAATTTTGAATCCCATGTGCTAGTGGACTGTTTGGGGTTAGGGATTTTACTTTCTTTAGGGGAGGTATTTTCTGGCTTTTTTTCCTGCAGTTTTTAGGGGGTAGAGGACAGGCCCCTGCCGCCAGTGCAGGGCATAGTCTATTTCTTCCTGGGAGACAGGACTTTTGTTATTTACATACTTTATTAAAAGTTGACAAATCTAATCCTTATTTGACCCAAAACTTGGCCAGAAAACTAAAGGTTTAAGAATAGTTTCTTTGGTTCAAAAAAAACAACAATATTTTATCATCTGTTGCTTTTTCTTATGTTTGGTCCTTTGTAGTTCTTGTTTTACTAGGGGTATTTCCCATCCTGGAAGTTAATGGGGGCTCAGTCTCTCCTATTAGAGATTTCTTGCACCCTTTTCCCTGAAGGCTCAACCTGAGTGTGTGTGGGGCTCAACCTCTTTTTTTTTTTTTTTTTTTTTGACACAGAGTCTCGCTTTGTCACCCAGGCTGGAGTGCAGTGGCACGATCTTGGCTCACTGCAAGCTCCACCTCCCAGGTTCACGCCATTCCCTGGCGTCAGCCTCCCGAGTAGCTGGGACTACAGGCGCCCGCCATCACGCCCGGCTAATTTTTTTTTTTTTTTTGTATTTTTAGTAGAGATGGGGTTTCGCTGTGTTAGCCAGGACGGTCTCGATCTCCTGACCTCGTGATTCACCCGCCTCGGCCTCCTGGCTCAACCTCTTTTACTAGAGATTGTTTTTTTTTTGCTCCCTTTCCCTGGAGGCTCAGCTCCCCCACTGGAGATTTCTTGCACTCCTTTACTTTACTCCACACTCGCTTTGCACTTAATTGTGCATCTTATTTACACACTTTTAACCTCCAAACTGTCCCTACCACCAAGGAAGTACTTCACCACCCCCACAGTTTTTCTTACCTTGGTCTGTGCATAGCGTTACCTGCTCACCACAGTAACTGTAGGCCTTTTCTTCCTGTGTTGCTAAGAGTCTGGGTTTATTGGTTGCACTGGGTGGGTCCCGATTCTTTACCCTTGAGGCCACTGCAATGAGTTAGCGGGATGCGTCTCCTCATGAGAAGTGATCAGAGACCCTTTCCCGGAGGAGAATGAGGTCCCCATATGGGCCACCAAATTTGTTGGAAACAAATGCTCAGTGCTGCAAAGAAGAACCAGCACTGAGACAAAGGATCTCTCAGCAAGGCAAATTTGCTTCTGCAGAAGGGTGCTTCTTGTAGGTCTGGTCGCCACGAGAGCACCCCAAACAAAGGAGGGAAGGGGTTTTTATTCCTAACACAGCTTGTGCCCGCTACTGTGTCCTGTCTCCATTGGCTGGAGCTGGACCAATCCAAGCTGAACCCGGTTGGCTAACTTGAAAAGTGCAAGAATGCGGTTACACTGGTGGGGGGTGGGAGGAACAGTTTCTGCGGGGAGGGTCGTTGTGACGGGAGGGGTAATTCACAGAGTGGGTAGCAGATGTGGAATGTGGGCTGTATAGATAAGGACTGGTGGGAAGGTTGTTTACCAGGGCAGGGGGACACAGAGAGTAAGGAAGTCTGGCCTTGAAAGGAGGGAACAGAGGACAAGGAAACTTAAACAAGCTAAACCTTTGAAGAAGAACTTCTTACTGTATTTAACACTAGCCTGGCCAACATGGTGAAACCCCGTCTCTACTAAAAATACAAAAAAGCCGGGCATGATGGCCCATGCCCAGTTACTTGGGAGGCTGAGGAACAAGAATTACTTGAACCCGGGAGGTGGAGGTTGCAGTGAGCCAAGATTGTGCCACTGCACTCCAGCCTGGGCAACAGAACGAGAGACTCTGTCTCAAAAAAGAAAAAAAAAACCTGAAAAATTGTTAAGATGATAAATTTCATGGTATGTGTTTTCTACTATAATTAAAACAGTTGTATAAATATTAGCCATTGTTATTTCACAGGTGAGGAAACAAGAGATCCCAACACAGAGCTGGACCCAAACCAGTGCTCTTGCCAAACATTGGAGGCCTCTGTGTTCCTCAGATTGAGGAGGTCCTGATGAGGACATTATGAGGGGCCCTGTTTTGCAGTTATCACCGCAGAAGTGGGCAGCACTCTCTGTAGGAAGTCTGGTCTCGGCAATCATCCAGCCAACTGGGGTTATCTCAGGTTATAACTTGGTTCTGAGGCCCCGACTTGCAGCCTGAAGGTGGCTTGGTTTACTTACCTACTGTCACATTTGGTAACGGCTGAAGGGTAGAAGGGTGCAAACCTCACTGTATTGTCTTATTACAATCTGCTCCTTGTCAACCAGACAGCTGGGTTCAGAGAAAGCTTAGAAGCCCATATAGAAAGCCTTGCGTGCCCTTGCGAGAGACAGAGTGGAGAGAGAGAGGAGCATTTACCAACTCACTCAAGCAGTGTAGCTTTCTCTGCAGGGAAAGTGTGTTGGTGACAAAGGGGTGAGGGTTCCCAGAACAGTCAGGAAGTTTATTTACTTAGTTATTATTATTTTTTGAGACGGAGTCTCACTCTATCGCCCAGGCTGGAGTGCAATGGCACAATCTCAGCTCACTGCAAGTTCTGCCTCCCAGGTTCATGCCATTCTCCTGCCTCAGCCTCCCGAGTGTCTGGGACTACAGGCAGCCACCACCACGCCCGGCTAATTTTTTGTATTTTTAGTAGAGACGGGGTTTCACCGTGTTAGCCAGGATGGTCTCAATCTCCTGACCTCATGATCCGCCCCCCTCAGCCTCCCAAAGTGTTGGGATTACAGGTGAGAGCCACCGAGCCCAGCCTATTTATTTATTTATTTTGAGACAGGGTCTCACTCTGTCACCCAGGCTGGAGTGCAGTGGCATGATCACAGCTCACTGCAGCTTCGACCTCCTGAGCTCAAGCAGTCGTCCCACCTCATCCATCTGAGTAGCAGGGACTACAGGCATGCGCCATCACGCCCGGCTGATTTTAAAATTTTTTCGTAGAGACAGGGTCTTGCTTTGTTTCCTAGGCTGGTCTCAAACTCCTGGCTTCAAGTGATCCTCCTGCCTTGGCCTCCCAAAGTGCTACGATGACAGGTGTGAGCCACTGCACCTGGCCCAAATTTCACCTAAGGGGGGTAGTGCTAATTAAAATGTAGCAAAAACATATTTCCTTGAAACTCAGTACATCCTAGTGACCATGCAGTAAGCAAAGTTAGGCATGCTGTATCTGTACAGTTGTCTCGTAAATAAAGGACACAGTTTTCTTGCAGCTGTATTCCAGTAGGCAGGTAACTGAAAAACAGACCTAAGGACATAGCTCTCTGCTCCTAGACTTCTGCCTGGTGTGCCAAAGAGATTAACATCCTGCCACCAGGAGAAACCATCCTGGCTGGGCCCAGGGCAAGAGGGCTGGTATAGCTCAGGGTAGGGCTGGGCACTTTTTGCAGCCCGGATGCTTGGAGAGAAGCACAGGGGTGGAACAGTGGCCAGCTGGGGGCAGTGCTGAGGAAGGGCTTGCCCAGTAGCACTGGGCTGGATGTCAGCAGTGGGGTGGGCCCTGGCTTGACTCGGTCTCCAGTGTGGCTCTGAATGAGTGGGGAGAGCTGGAGAGGCAGGCTTGAGTTTCCTGCTGTTCCCTATTTTGTAGATGTCAGTAGCAGATGGCAGATGCTCTGTGATGATGCAGCCATCTGCATGCCTCATTTTTCACTTGTCTGCGAGTCGCTCAGCCCAGGGGGCCCCATCCTTCACCTCAGTGGAACAGTACCCAGTTCACAACAGATGGGCCGTAAATGTTTGGGGGCTGGCTGACCAGGGCACCAGACTGGGCGGGGTGGTCTTAGAATACTTTTAAGGAAAATATTTTATATTTGATCTTCGTATTTGGTGAACTCTGAGTTATCAATTGTGACTAAAAATAGATATAAGATCAATGTAGCCTGAAGACGATGGACCCATTTTACAGTTATGGGCTCTCAAAATTCAAGTTGCTGCTGGTTCACCACTTGGAAAAGAATTCAAGACACAAAATCAGGCTGCAGGGACAACCACAGTATCATGGGGCTTTGGCCTCCACATCTCAGGTAACAGGAGTGAAGGGCCACTGGGATACAGACAAGAGGCTGCCTTCAGAGGAGGGACAAAGCCAGCTTACCGAGTATCTACTATGTTCTAGTTTGGGGATGATGGACTGGGTGCTGAGGATGGTGATGAGTAAGGCAGTGTTCCTGATCCCTCAGTGGGAGAAGGGGAATCACATTTTGTTAACTACAGGTAAAGGCTGGTGTCATGTTAGGAAGACTCTGGTAGCCACAGAGGGCAATAGGATACACATGGGTTTAAGTTTTTTATTTTTATTTTTTGAGACAGAGTCTCGCTCTGTCGCCCAGGCTGGAGTGCAGTGGCGCGATCTCAGCTCACTGCAAGCTCCGCCTCCTGGGTTCGCGTCATTCTCTTGCCTCAGCCTCCTGAGTAGCTGGGATTATGGGCGCCCACCACCAAGCCTGGCGAATTTTTCATATTTTCAGTAGAGACGGGGTTTCACCATGTTAGTCAGGATGGTCTTGATCTCCTGACCTCGTGATCCGCCCTCCTCGGCCTCCCAAAGTGCTGGGATTACAGGTGTGAGCCAGGACACCCAGCGGGTTTAAGTTTTTAAGACAAAAAAATTCAGGAGTCCTTAGTGTGGAAACACGGTTGTGAGCAGATACAATACAAACTCATCAAGTCATTCACTAGAACTAGAGTAACTAGAATTAGTCATTGCATCCCCAAATACTCATCAACTGTTTATTCTTACCACTTATTTCCCTAGTCAGAAGCTTTAAGGAGATAACTTTAAGCCAAGAACAATGCCTACAATAAGGAGTTATCTTATGAAAACACATTATCCCAGAGCAGACCCAGGCTGGAAATATTTAATACCTCAAGAAAGGCTTAGATACAGACCGGACCCGGTGGCTCACGCCTGTAATCCCAGCATTTTGGGAGGCTGACGCAAGTTGATCACCTGAGGTCAGGAGCTCGAGACCAGCCTGGCCAACATGGTGAAACCCCATCTCTACTAAAAATACAAAAAATTAGCTGGGTGTGGTGGCAGACACCTGTAATCCCAGCTACTCAGGAGGCTGAGGCAGGAGAATCACTTGAATACTGGAGGCAGAGGTTGCAGTGAGCCGAGATTGTGCCACTGCACTCCAGCCTGGGCAACAAGAACAAAACTCCCTCTCAAAAACAAAAACAAAAAAGAAAGCCTTAGCCACATGTTGTATTTGCAATGTGTCAACTAAGCCAAGTTGGAAACACATGTCCCAGAATTCCTTCCCTGCTTAGTTCTGGGTTAGCAAGGACCAATGACCTTGTGGAGATTTGAGAGGTGGAAACAATGTAGCAGCCACATTTTTTTTTCTAATTTTAGAGACAAGGTCTCACTCTGTTGCCCAGGCTGGAGTGCAGTGGCGTGATCATAGCTCACTGAAGCCTACGACTCATGGCTTCAAGTATCCTCTCACCTCAGCCTCTCAAGTAGCTGGGACTATAGGCATGCACCACCATGTGTAGCTAATTAATTTGTGTGTGTGTGTGTGGTAGTGATGGGGTCTCACTATGTTGCCCAGGCTGGTCTTGAACTCCTGGCCTCAAGCAATCCTCCTGCCTCAGCCTCTCAAAGTGCTGGGATTACAGGTGTGAGCCACCATCCCTGGCCCCTAAAGTGTATTTTAAAAAGATGCCTCTGCTTAACACGTTGGCAAGCTTCCCACCATAGATTTATTCCAAAGTAGACTATGAGGCCCATGGCTCTGCTGCCATTTCAGTTCCACCGAATGTGGGAATTCTAAGGAAGTACCAACATCTCCTTCCATACACCAAGAGCATCACTCATCATACTAGAAAAAGACCTATTTTAAAATGGTGCAAGGGCATCAGGTGACCTGACGGCCATGGGCAGGCTGCATCACCATTCTGGGTCCTCCCCATATTCTTGATTCTCCAAGGTTCCCTCATCTTTAGAAGACAAAGAATCCCTGCCTTATAAACTGTGCTTTAATTTTTCTAACTATAGGCTGCAGTTACCCAAACAAGATGCTGTCAAAAATCTTAAGAGTTGTATTTAACGCTGTCTCTTTCTTGCCGTGTATTATTAAGGTCACACGTGGAGATTCTGGGCAATTACAGATAGTGCCTTCTCCTCCCACAGAAATCTCCATGTCAGACATGTAGTAGAGAAAAATCTGAAGGGAAGTACTGAAGGTCTACCAAAACTTTTCAAGCCATCAGAGAATGTCCTTTTATGTACTTTCGTCAGTCACTGTCATTCAGATGCATAAGTAGCCAGCTGATGGAAAAAATACACAGCTGGGTTGGGGAATTCTGAGTTTCAGGATTTTGACTAACTGGCTCAAATTCAATGCGTTTTGTCACCAATACTGGAGATAGTCTCCAGCCCCAGAGAATACAGGCTTCACATGTACCATACTAAAAGTGGAGTTCAGTGTGCTGCTAAGGCCAAGTAAGTATAGACAAAGCCCTTCACTGGCAGTCCTCGTTTTGGAGGTTGTGCAAGCTGCCTCTGAATTTCTGAGATCACACATTTACAGCCAGGAATCTTCTCTGGCTCATCCTCAAGATCCCTAGGGTGATCATTATTTTCTTACAAAAAAAAAGCACGCAAATAAAGGGAATTTATTATGGTTGAGATAGGGTCTTGCTCTGTCACCCAGGCTGGAGTGCAGTGGCATGATCATGGCTCACTGCAGCCTCAACCTCCCAGGGCTCAAGTGATCCTCCCACCTCAGCCTGTAACTGGGCCTAAAGGTGCATACCATCATGTCTGTCTAATTTTTGTACTTTTTGTAGAGACAGGGTCTTGCCATGTTGCCCAGGCTGGTCTCGAACTCCTGGGCTCAAGCAACCTGCCCACCTCGGCCTCCCAAAGTGCTGGGGTTATAAGCATAAGCAACCGCACCTAGCTAGGAATTTATTTCATTACCAAATAATTTAACAGGGAGGAGGGAGAAATATAATTCAAATCCAGAGATGAAGCCAAGAATTCAGAGGGAATAAAGGGTGCCTAGAACCTGCATCAACCTGTCTGTAGACCTCAGAGGTCCTACTAAGTACCTTCCAGCACTGTGCCACCTTCTTTTGCAGTGTGAAAATGAGGATTTGCAGTATATGTGACATCTCCTTAGGCCTTGAGAGTCTGTGATGATGAGTATTGATGATATATGCTACTTAAGAAAGAAAATGCATGCTCAATATGGACCACCACCTTAGATAGCCTTACTTATGTTTCATATATTTATTAAAGGGCACAATTAAATTTTATTTTGCAAGTCGAGCCTACCTTAAAATCAGCTTAAAAAGGTGAAATATCCGCTGGCTAATGAAAAAACAAAACCTTTTTATTTTTCCCATTACTTGGTTCTTTTTAGCAACGATGCATTGTTCTGCCACTTTCACCCCAATGTTGGTTTCAGGTTCACCTTAGAGCAAAGTGTAGGATGATACTGTCCATTGCCGATTTTCTGATTTTTTTTTTTTTTTTTTTTTTTTGAGACCAAGTCTCACTGTCACCCAGGCCAGAGTGCAGTGGCACAATCTTGGCTCACTGCAACTTCCACTTCCCAGGTTCAAGTGATTCTCCTGCCTCAGCCTCCTGAGTAGCTGGGATTACAGGTGTGCACCACCACACCTGGCTAATTTTTGTATTTTTAGTAGAGACAGGGTTTTACCACATTGGCCAGGCTGGTCTCAAACTCCTGACCTCAGGTGATGCACCTGCCTTGGCCTCCCAAAGTGCTGGGATTACAGGCATGAGCCACTACGCCTGACCTCTCTGATGTCTAATTTCTTCAAGTTGGCCCCCACCATGGTTTTTTAACCAATATAGCTTTCCCTGAAAATCACTTAAGCAAAACCAAAAACAATGGGAAGTCACATTTTTTTTGGATTTATTTAAAGAACACACAAAAAAGTGCATCTAAATGATTTTTTTTTTTTAAAAACAATGTCTTTAATTCCTCATATGCTGACTTGGCAATCCATATGCAGCCTAAAAGGTGGTTGAAAGATGTCTGTGGACTTCTACACAAATTGTTTAAGATTATTGAATTTGATACAAGAATACGTGAAGTGTCTTCTTGAGTGGTAATGGGCACCCTGTAGTTATTTGCTCAGAACCACTCACACACCCTTCCCCTCCCCACACACACTTTTGCCAGTTCCCCCTGGTGAACCATAATACACACGTGGGAGACAGCTGGCATCATCTGAGTCTTGGAATAGCTTTCTTGTTTGTTATCTGCAAAAAGCTAGGTGGCCTTTTTAGTATCAAATTTCAATCTTGGCCTCACTGGAACCATGCTCTACAGAGCTTTCCCAACAGTTTAGCAAGTAAGCAAAATCAGCTTTTGCTCTTCATATTTCGTAGGTGAGACTGGGGCTTTTAAAAGAAATATTTCATAAAAAAGACAAAAGCATAAATGAGAAATTAGAGGGATTTTAGTTATCATTAAAGGAAAAAACTCACAAATTGATCCCATTTGTTCCATGGGGAAGAAAAGTATTATAAAAGGAAATAACTTGATTTTTAGGTTTGAAGGGGGTCCCAATCTAATAATAAAAGTCTTTTGATAAAACCATCATAAAAATAAAAACTAATTTAAAATATAACTGCCAGTGTTTTTTAGGATTTAAAAAGGTGAGATGTTCCAGGTTTAAGCAAATGGTTCCTTGGGTTGCCAAATGCATTCCCATGAGTGTTTCTTAGGCTGAGGGAATAGAGAGCCATGCTCAATCTGTTTACCCGTAAGGACTGAAATTCAACTACATGTACACATTTAAGACTTGCCCTAGTTCAATGGTCAGCTCAAGTACTGGAGATTTAGGCTACTGGCTGTGTACCGGCATGGGAAGCTGTCTTCAACTCTTTCACAACTCACGCCAGAACAGAGAAGCTTGACAGGGCAGGAAAAGCGAGCAACTGCGTGTCAAACCTGCAGGTGAAACCCCTAGTGTAGAAGAGCAACTATTTATTTGTCAACCCTACAGATTTTGTTTTTAAAAATTAAGCTTAGTACTAAAAAGTCAAAATTTTTTTGCATGATAGAGGAGTGTAAATAAAGTTCCATAAACCAGTATACATATGCTTATGAGCCAATAATCTTAAAAAGACAAAAAAAGCTGCATGGATCCTAAATGACTATGTAAATAGATCCACTCCAGGTCAAAAATATTGTAAGCACAAGTCTTAAATTCTTAATAGCAAGGATTAGAATGAAAGAAGAAGCTGAGCAGTAGCAATGCTGGGAGGAAGTACTGTGTATTGAATATTATTCCCTAAAAGGAATAGAGGAGGGGAGAAAAAGCACAATTCTGATTGCTCTTTTCACATTTCAGTATCTCAGAACTTCATCGAAAATAGGAAAAGCTAATCCAGAAACTCTCATCTGCTCATTATCATTGCTGAAGGGTGTTTTAGGAATGACAGAATTACTCCCCCAGGGACAGGCTGTGTGTGGTAGAAAGCCACTCTCACAAGGAGGCTGGCTGAGGAGGGGGACTTTGGGAGGAGGCTAAGTCAGCAAGCAAGTGGCCTCTGAGGTTCTGGCTTTCACGTCTGTGACACTGCTGTGGAACTGGGGAGACATGAGACCCCTCTACTGTGGGTTCTGTTGGTTAAAAATGCAACAGACTACATTTATAGCACTTCAGTCATTTAAAAAACAAAAGCTTATCCTCCTTCCCCTACCCTACCCAACTGTAGGAAAGGAGAAATTCATGAAGCATTTTTTTTTTAAAGGTTTCTGCAGTGCTATGAAAGTTCAAAGGTAAAACCTAACAGCCCCACATTGTTAGGATGATCTCCAGGGACCCTGAATTGGATACTTGAAGGTTGATAGAAACTGAAATGAGCTGGACTTAAGCTGCTGGCTCACTCCCTCCACACCACAGTCATTTCTGTTTGTTCCACCTGGAGTGGTCCCGTGCCACCCCTCAGTGAACCCTCCGGGCAGCAGCAGGGGGGCTGTTTTTGGGAAGCTACTGGTTTTGCCATTTGCTTCCAGAATCACATAGACTATAACAAACTTTACATTAAACACTGTTCTGTCCTGAGTTGGGGGAAAGCCCATTGAGGAGGGGCCGAGTTCACTGGGACTCTTCCCTCCTTGGCGTGGCGTCATACGTGGCCCTCAGGTTTCTCTTCTTCCATTGCTTGACTGTCTGTTCCTTTTTCATTAGTGACCCCTTCTGAAGTCTTCTTGCCCATTGCTTTATTGGCCTCTTCCTAAGGAAGAAATAAGCAATCAAGAAGGTTAGAGAATAAAGAAGTGAAATAATTCCTGGCTCCTCCAGACTGTGTATCAGGTCCCAAACACGAGGTATTGCAATGATTTTCTCTAGGATATCTAGCTGGGTAGGTCAGGGCTGTGCTACCAATAGTTAGAGTGGGAGCTTCACCTTTCTTTGGTTGACACATGGGACAGCTGTGGGATAATGAAGTCTGGGCATTCCTGGAGACTGGGGACAGGACCAGAATGCCAACTATGCTGTAGGGAGGCCGCCCTCTCTGCAGACAGACCTCTCCTGCCACATTTTTCAGGCTGGCTGCCGACCCTCAAGATAACAGGTGTGATGATGGGGCTCCTATAACATCCCATTTCCTGGGAAAATCGTAAGTCTTACTTGAAAAAAAAATCCTGATGGGTTTACAATTTTTCAAAAATGACAAAAGGGCTGGGCATGGTGGCTCATGTCTATAATCCCAGCACTTTGGGAGACCAAAGCAGGAGGAACCCTTGAAGCCAGGGGTTCGAGACCAGCCTA
The DNA here is from genome assembly GCF_000001405.40 of Homo sapiens. Taxonomy (NCBI): domain Eukaryota; kingdom Metazoa; phylum Chordata; class Mammalia; order Primates; family Hominidae; genus Homo; species Homo sapiens. The sequence continues at coordinate 35,576,482 of NC_000006.12, forward strand.
GACAACAAAGTGAAACCCTATCTTTACAAAAAATTTTAAAAAATTAGCCCAGTGTGGTAGTGTGCTTGTCCTAGCTACTCAGGAGGCTGAGGTGGGAGGATCACTTGATCCAGAGAAGTCAAGGCTGCAGTGAGCCATGTTAGCACGACTGCATTACAGTCTGGGTGACAGAGTGAGACTCTGACTCGGGCAGGGGCCCGGGGGGCGGGCGGGGGGAGTTGGTGCAAAATTGCTGTTTTTGCCATTGAAAGTAATGGTAAAAACCACAATTACTTTTGAACCAATCTAATACATCTGAAGGGAATTTAGTTTTCTCATCTCTCATGACGTGTGCCTTTGGTGACTGGAACTGCCCTACTCGACCTTTGGATCCAAAGCAGCCTCAGATTAGATTGGAAATCGTTTTCCCTGCTCTTGAGCCTCTTGGGTTGTTTAGCTGTTCCTGTCCCCTAAAATCAAAGGGGCATGGTCAGGCTCTTGATCCACCTGCAGTCATCAGGCTCTGCACACACCTTGGCATCCTGCTCTGCAAACTTCTTGAACATGTTGGCGTATATCCTGCGGTCCCGCTCGTTGTGCTCCTTGGCCTTTTTCTGGCACATGGAGATCTGCAGTCTTGCAGCCTTATTCTGGGGGTTTACTTCCAGCACTTTCTCAAAGTCACCCTTGGCTGACTCAAACTCGTTCATGAGCAGCTGGGCTTCACCCCTCCTATACAAGCCTTTCTCATTGGCACTGTCCAGTCCAAGGGCCTAGGAATAGATGGTCTATATTTTAGAAAGGACGAATTTTAATAAATTCAGTAAACAGCTTACCAAAGTTCTCTTGCCAAAGGAGATGGAAAAAGTGTATTTAAAAAAATGGGGCTCAAGATAATTACATACTACTGATCAAAATTTACTACCCAAATTATTTTCTGCATTTAATGCAATTTCTAGAAAGATCCCAAGGAGATTTGAGAGGGGGCTCTTGAGAAGTTCATTTTAAAGTTCATTGGAACAAATAAGTGCCCAAGAATGGCTGAAAAAATTTGGGAAAAAAGAAAAAAATAAGAGGCACTTGTCTTACCAGAGAAAAAGACAAACTTTAAAACTACTGAAATTAAGACAGTTTGGTTACTAGCATGTGGACAAACAGCTCAGTGGAACAGAACGAATCATTCAGAAACAGTCATGTGTCTGCATATAAAAACATTTGAAAATGACAAAGGTGGTAATGTGAATCAGTGGAGAGTTAACTTTAAAATAAACGGGGCCAGGATGGCAGCTATCCACATAGAAAATAAGAGTTAAGGCCGGGTGCAGTGGTTCACACCCTAATCCCAGCACTTTGGGAGGCTGAGGCAGGTGATCACCTGAGGTGAGGAGTTCGAGACCAGCCTGGCCAACATGGCGAAATCCTGTCTCTACTGAAAATACAAAAATTAGCTGGGCATGGTGGCAGGCGCCTGTAATCCCAGCTACTTGGGAGGCTGAGGCAGGAGAATTGCTTGAACCAGGGAGGTGGAGGTTGGAGTGGGCTGAGATCGTGCCACTGCACTCCAGGCTGGGTGACAGAGTGAGACTCTTGTCTCCAAAAAAAAAAAAAAAAAAAAGTTCTTACCTCATATTGTAAGCACAAAAGTAAATTCTAGATCAACCATATTTACATATTAAAAAAAACCATAAAATGTTTCAATTATTTTTTATTTTAAAATATGTAAAATATAATCATTATTTTTTTGAGGCAGGGTCTCACTCTGTCGCCCAGGCTGGAGGGCAGTGGCTCAATCACAGCTCACTGCAGCCTCTATCTCCTGGGCTCAGGCAATCCTCTCGCCTCAGCCTCCGAAAGTCCTGGGGTTACAGGTCACAGGTGTAAACCACTGTGCCTGGCTTCAGTTATTTTTATAATCTTGGTGTGGGGAAGTCTTTTCTAACTAGAAAGGAGACGACAAATCTGACTACATAAACATTAAAACCTTCTTTAAAGAGAAAGATATAATCAACAAAGCTAAAAGAAAATTGCTGGGTTGTGGTGGCTCACACCTGTAATCCCAGCACTTTGGGAAGCTGAGGTGGCAAATCACCTGAGGTCAGGAATTGGAAACCAGCCGGGCCAACATGGTGAAACCCTGTCTCTACTAAAAATACAAAAATTAGCCTGGTGTGGTGGTCGGCACCTGTGGTCTAAGCTACTTGGGAGGCTGAGGCAGGAGAATCGCTTGAACTCGGGAGGTGGAGGTTAGAGTGAGCCAAGATTGTGCCATTGCACTCCAGACTGGGTAACAGAGAAAGACTCCATCTCCAAAAAAAAAAAAAAGAGGAAAATAAGGAGAACAGGCTTCCTATTGCCAAAGATAGGGTTAATAGTGATGCTATATGACTGCTTCTGTCAATAGAAGACAGAAAAATAATGTAGTCAAGGCTGTGCTGGGTGTGGTACCTCACAACTTTAATCCCAGCTCTTTGGAAGACCCCCATCTCTACAAAAGTAAATTTAAAAATTAGCAGGGTGTGGTGGCATGCACTTGTAGTCCCAGCTACTCAGGAGGCTGAGGTGGGAGGATAGCTTGGGCCCCAGAGTTTGAGGCTGTAGTACATTATGTTCATGTGTATTAATAGCCACCGCACCCCAGCCTGGGCAAAATAGCAACAACTTGTCTCTAAAACAAACAAAACACACACACGCGCGCGCGCACACACTCTCTCTCTCTCTCTCTCCGCTCTGTATGAAAAAAACGAAAAAATACATATAAAATTAATAACTGGTCTTGGGAGAGAGGATGCGATAGGAAACACTGATCCACAAAATTCAAAAATAATCTCACAAAGAATGTACAAAATAGTTGCCTTGCTTTTCTTATCCTTTTATGTCTACCTTTAAGATACATCCAATGATTAGTTTTTACTTTTACCCACAGTATAATATATACTGTTCACTCTGAGACCAGATACCTAAAATAGTATCGGCTGGTGTATAAATATATCAGAACGATACATAACGATACAGATGATAAACCACTGTTATAGAGTACTGTGTGTAAGCACTCAAAAGACCAAAGATAGTATTAATAAGACAAATGTAAAAATAAAAAGGCTGCTGATGCTCTGTGGACCTTTCATATTATTTATGCATATCAGTGAATAAATGATTATAATAAAAATTGACCTATATATATGCTTTATATGAACAGTTGCAGTCTGTTAAAGTCCAGAAAAGCTTAAGTTAAATCTTCTCTTATTAAACTGAACCTGAGGAGTTATACGTCTACTCTGATATAAATACTACAGTTATAAGGAAGGTCGTGGATAAAAATTATTTAATTTTAATCAAAACTTTTCTTCAGAATGCATTATGATAAACAGTCTAGGTATCATAAAAGTCTGACTGTAATAAAAATCTTGCTGAATTTCCCAATTCATACTGAGAAACAAATAATCCCAAACATTCAAATAAATAAAAAAAAGCAAAATGAAAAATCCTGCAACCTTTGGCTGAGAGGAAGCAAAAGACAGAGATGGAGAAAAGATCTGGAGTATCTAAAGTCCATCTCACAGGAGACACGATGTTACCTTGTCACAGCATTCAACAGCTTTGGTGTATTCTCTAAGCTTCAGGTAGCACATGGCCAGGTTCAGAAAGGCAGCAAGGAGAAATGATTCAGAAGCTTTCGATTCCTTTTCTGATAAACCATATTCCATCTCTAACCAGGACACTATCTTCCCATACTGAATCACCGCCTGCATGTATTTGCCTCCCTAGGATAAAAAAGCGTCATTACTTGTACTCAGCTCTTGAGGGGGTACAAAAGAAAAGCAAATCCTCAAAGTGAAGCAACCCCTCCAGCAAACCCTGGTACAGCTGGTTTCTTTCTTTCCTTCTGGAGATGGCTCTCCAGGTACCTTTCCCACTCCCTTGGAGGCCTCGATGGCCTGTGGGCTGGTTTGGGGCAGTGCCTGAGCACTGCCTAGTGCTGCTCTGCAGCATTTCCATCCGTCCCTTCAGCAGGTGTAGTACAGCAAGGCTTCTGGGCTATGTTCTTTGGTGCTAATATTCTTTAGTCTTTTTTTTTTTTTTTTTTTTTTTTTTTTTTGAGACACAGTCTCGCACTGTCTCCAGGGCTGGAGTGCAATGGCGCCATCTCAGCTCACTGCAACCTCCGCCTCCCGGGTTCCAGCGATTCTCCTGCCTCAGCCTCCCGAGTAGCTGGGGACTACAGGTGGCCGCCACCAAGCCCAGCTATTTTTTTTTGTATTTTTAGTAGAGACAGCGTTTCACTATGTTGGCCAGGCTGGTCTTGAACTCCTGACCTTGTGATCCGCCTGCCTTGGCCTCCCAAAGTGCTGGGATTACAGGCATGAGCCACCACACCTGGCCTATTCTTTAGTCTTTCAAAAGGATTGTGAGCAGTTTTAGACTATGCCACTAAAAAAATGAAAAGGAAGTTACTTTTCTTTTCAGCACTTCACAGCAAATATTACATTCTGGCAAGTGCTAGTTCCAAACACAGCCAATCCTATTTGAACCAGTCTCTGTTGCAACTACTAAATTCTTATCATTTGTAGTGCAAAAGCTGCTCTAGACAGTATGTAAATCAATGGGTGCAGCTGTGTTTCAGTTAAACTGTACTTACAAAAACAGGCAGGGACCAGATTTGGCCAGCAAACTGTAGTTTGCTGACCCCTGATCTATAGGCAATGGGAATATGAATAGTTGGATAGTAGCATACAACATAAATAACAACTATAAAACAATATACATCAGAAAGGTCTGTCAGTTATATATAATATATATAAATATAAACATATATAATATATATATAATATATATATATATACATGCTCATATGAGAAACGCTGGGGGCTGAGCACAGTGGCTCATACCTGTAATCCCAGCACTTTGGAGGCCGAGACAGGTGGATCACCTGAGGTCAGGAGTTCGAGACCAGCCTGGCCGTCTCTACTAAAAATACAAAAATGAGCCAGGCATGGTGGCATATGCCTGTAATCCCGGCTACTTAGGAGGCTGAGGCAGGAGAACTGCTTGAACCTAAGAGGCAGAGGTTGCAGTGAGCCAAGATCATGCCACTGCACTCCAGCCTGGGTGACAGAGCGAGACTCCTCAAAAACAAAACAAAACAAAACAAAACAAAACAAAACCCCTCCAGGGCTGAGACAATGTGTCCACTGTGATTTTAAGGTAAATGAAAGCACTGGGGAATCGCTGGTAAATACGCAAATAGAAACAGGAGTACAAGTGGGGATTCTCCTTTGAGGAGGTGATAAGCTCAAAACCACAGATGATACATCCTGCCAGATGGCAGAGGAGCAGCCAGACCTATTAGGACATTAAATTCAATGCCTGACCAACAGTGTTAAGACCATGTTACTAGGATTTACCACAGCCCAAGCAGCGCGTACATCTCACTGCCGAGTTGTCTCTCCCCACAAATACTCCAACCCTCACCCAAGGAGTCTGAGTAAGAGAAAAACCATAGAGCAGGTCTAAGAGGACATGCCTGTGATACAGGACTTCAAGTGGGTGATGTAAGAAACGAGCTCTGCCTGTAGAAAGGAAGCCCTGGTGTGGATTTTCTGGTGATGAAGATGGGGCAGACCTGTTCCAGCTGGAGGGCCTGGGTGTGAATGAGGGCCAGGCTACATCCCTCGAACATCCTTCTTCCCAAGTCACTCACTTAGGAGAGGGAAGACTGGCACTAAAATCAAAGTCTGTCACCCTCTCTGCCTCAGAAGTGTGTGATACAGGTCATTCATAAGAACACGAAACCAGGGCATTTTATTTTAAATGCTGAAATTCTTGAGGAAATTAGATTTGCTATGGACTGAATTGTGTCCCCCATCCTAAATTCCTATGTTGAAGCCCTCACCCCGAATGTGATATTTGCAGATGGAGCATTTGGGGAGGGAATTAGGTTAGATGTGGTCATGAGGGTGGGGCCTCATGATGGGATTAGAGCCTTTATAAGAAGAAACTCGGGTGCTTGCTGCCCTCTGCCCTCTCTCCACTCACATGCATGTGGAAAGGCCATGTGAGAACACAGCAAGAAGGGAGCTACAAGGAACCAGAGGAGAGGCCCTCCCCAGACACTGATCCTGCTAACACCTTGATCTGGGACTTACAGTCTCCAGAAGTAAATTCCTGTTGTTGAAGCCACCCAGTGTATGGTATTTTACTGTGGCAGCCCAAGCTAAGACAATACTTAAATTTTGTCATAGTCTTAGGCCTACCACTCCTTTTTTGGATGCTACAAAAAAAAAAGAATAAAGTCCTCACCAGTTTCAGGTCGGCATTTTCTTTCTGTCACTGCCTTTTCTCTTGCTGGTCTTTGAGGACAGGCAGCATTGTCCTCTCCCTTTTGGAATATTCAGGGTTTAGCACCAAGAGGTCTTTAATAAAGGTTTGTTGAGTAAATATTGAAATCAAAGGAATGTAAATATGGAATCAAGACTTTTTCTAAAGTGGTGTGGTGGCTCACGCCTATAGTCCCAGCACTTTGGGAAGCTGAGGCAGGAGGATCTCTTAAGTCCAGGAGTTCGAAGCTGCAGTTAGCTATGCTTGTGCCACTGCACTCCAGCCTGGGTGACAGAGTAAGACCCTCTCTCTCTAAAAACAATACCAACAACAAAACCTTTTGCTATCATTGGGAGCAAAAAATGTGTGGGTGGAAATGAAAAGTGTTGTTTCACTGAGATGAGATAGGAAGGACAGGCATTTCCCCTGTCATGCCTCATTTCTTCATCCTCTCTCCTCCTCCCTCTCTAATGCATTGATTAACTTAACTTTTCTGATTATCTCCTAATATATTGTATAGGGAAAGAAAAGAAGAGCCAGGGAGGACAAAAACCTAGATCTTAACATTTCAATAAGTTCTGAATAATCAGAATGGTAGAAGGCCATGGTAAAACAAAACAAAACACAAAAAACAGGTATTAGACTTCTTAATAGTTCCTTCACATAGGGCATTTTAATTTTTTGAAAGCTCTTGCATATATATCATGTAACTTTATTTAGACTTCAACTTCCAATTAGCGAAAAGTCTGTCTTGTACTCCCTGCTTCTGAGGTACTAAAGCAGTTCTCAACTGGGGGGTGATTTTGCCCCCCAGGGAACACCTGGCAGGTCTGGAGGCATTTTTAGTTGTCATAACTGGGTAGGATGCTACTGGCATCTAATGGGCAGAGGCCAGGAATGCTGCTAAATATTCTACAATGCACAAGACAGCCCCACACAATCAAGAATTATCCCACTCCAAATGTTGATAGTACTGAGGTTGAAAAATTCTGCACTAAAGGAAAGAGATGAAAGACAGGGTGGACTCTTCTTAGGAATTTTTTTTAAAACATCAAATCCTAGAGTCATAAACGGCTTGTTTCTAAATCACATTACTGGTATCTTGGAACAGCAAGGGTGGTGAAAATATAGCAAAGCCCGATTTATCTGAAGAGTTTAGAGGTTGAACAATTCTCCTCAACTAGTTTGTTTTAGAAATGCTTTCTTCCCAGGAGAAGCACAAGGGGGCGCAAGAATCCCACATCACTTCAGTGTTCTTAGCCTTCTTGCCACTCTGCTGCCAAGTCAGAAAAAAGAAAAACACTGACCAGGTGTGAGTTAATGCTCCTGTCCTGCAGAACACTGTCAGCTATGAGGGCAAAAATCGTGTCTGTTTAACTCGCTTGCACAATGCCTGGCTTAATATTATGCTGTTACCTGTACTTAATAATTATTTTCAGAGCCAAATAGAGTTCTCTATTTTTCTTCTCTTTAGTATTCAGAGGTTGAAATGAGGACTTTACATCTTCAATGGCAAAATCATTCCCACTTAAAAGCTGAGTACAATTCAATCCTACTCAGGAGAGAGGCTTTACCCATTTAGGTATAAACCAAACCAACAGATCAATGGAAACAGAATTCCAATATGCAGATGGCATGAAATACAGATCTTTAGTTCAGCCCATCTCTGCTCTCACCTACACATCTGGACTCTGTGCAAATGCATAACATGCCAAGTCAGACACCCTGGAAAGACAAGGCCCGGGAGGGCAGTATGGCAGATTGAAACCTGCCCTGAGTTGGGAAGGGAATATGTACAGGAAACTATCTACTAACCATTTTGAAGTTTTACAGCTAACGCTAGGACTACTGCTGGGATCTTTTACCTATAATTATAAAGGTGCCTCCAGGGAAGTTTTTAGTGGTACAAAATGTTCAGAGACATTCTGGGAGAAAAGTCTCAGGTCAGTGGTTTTGAACCTTTCATTAATTTTTCCCCAATGGACTAATGTTTTGAAAAATTTTGCCTATCAAATTCCATGTTAAAAATAATTTTTTCCATGTGTGTGACTGCTGATCCAGATTTTATCCAAAGATTGGTAATTTTAAGTAGGTTCATAATAGTATCACTCTTGCAGTTGTGATGCTGATAAGCAACAAAGTTAAGTAACTGTACAGACACTCATTGCTTTCTGCTACTGATCACTAATTCTGGCCATCTCTCTGTATATATTCAGAACACAGCTATATGACAGATGGCTTCATAACATTATTTCATTACCAATAATGTTCTCCAAAATTCTGTATCATAGCACCGATTAGAGCCTCTGAATAGCTGAGCTGTTTTACTACACTGAATCGATATAATTCTAGTCAAAGGCCAAAAGCCTCAAATCTTCCCAAACTGTTAATATTCTATTTGGAAGTATTGAGGAAATATATAAAATATAGTTAAGGATTTTTATGGACTTCGGAAATATAGAAAATACTGTTAAGGACTCACGATCTTAAGAAATTTTGTAGAAACATTTTTCCCTCTAGTGTATTATGTATTTGGATATACAAATAACCCACTTGGAATCTTACTTGAATAGTTTAGAAGTATCCAATATACCTCAATTAGAATTAAAAACAAAACAAAACCAAAAAAATAACACTTGTTCTTGAGAGTTTAGAAACTCACAGAAATTCAGGCTGGAAAGAAACTTGGGGAACATCTAACTCCCCTATTTTTCACTTGAAAATATAACCTCTTTGGACCTTAAATGACTAAATCATTTGAAGAGCAATAAAGCCCATTTTTCCCAATTCTGAGCTTATTCTATCATACCCCCATGCTTTCTGGTGATCCATAAGAGTTTAGTATACATAGTAAATAATGATAAATAACATATTTATATATTTATACTTATCTAAACCCATGATTTAAAATTTGTTTGAATACCACCCACAGTAAGAAATATGCAATCCAGTACTTACTCATACACAAGCAAAGTTTTATGCAACAAAACTGATCCTTATAACATATTGCAATACACTTCCACAAAACTGATTTCATGACCCAATATTGTCTCAGCTCAAATTCTGAAAACACATGGTGCCCTCTGGCTGTGTTAATTTTGGGTTGATTATATATTCTTACATAATTCTCTAGTTGTTTCATTTGGATTAACATTGCCACTCCTCCCTCCTGACAAGGTTGTAACTTAATAATAGCATGTCTTATAGCAGATGCCCCATAAAGACTTGTTAAAGTACACTTATGCCTCACTGCTTTATACTGCTGAAAAACATCTAATTTCTGTATTGCAGTGGCAGAAAACGAAAGAAACCTTGACAGAACTCCCATTCTCCCTCTAATTCTCATCACTAAGCCCTTTCTGCTTGACATGGAGAAGGCATATATTTGGGGTGGGGAAGCAATGGGTAGAACACTGATTAAAACAGAATGAAGGGCGGTTTCTTTTTTTCTTACATCTAGAGGTTTAAGATCTAAGTGAGAAAATATCACACTCCTAGTTGCTCCAAGAAGGGTTTCTGAGAAGCAATTTATGATGAATATCATTCAGGAATATCCGGAGATTCCTCATAAAAGCAAGTGTGCAGGAATCATCTTGGCCATTAGAAGCAATCAATACTCTCCTGTCAGTTTGTTTTGAAATTTGTGCATGTCCTCTCTCCTTTTATCATATGCTCTAGTGACTTCATCAAGACAGTCTAAAGGAAGATGGGCCCGGTGCAGTGGCTCACGCCTGTAATCTCAGCACTTTGGGAAGCTGAGGTGGGAGGATTGCTTGAGGCTAGAAGTTTGAGACCAGCCTGGGAAAGAAAGGGAGACCCTGTCTCTCATACAAAAAAAAAAAAAGGAAGAAAGAAAAATGATGTGAAACTTACCCTTATGAATTCCATTCTTTGCTAACAATTATTCTATTCATTCTTTTTTCATTCCAAAAACACTTGTTGAGTGCCAACTATGTACCAAGCAAGATGCTTTAGGAGTGAGTGATACTGTGGTGGGTGGGGATGCCAGACCTGGTCTGCCTGTATGGAAGGTTACAATCTAGAGCAGAATGTGTAAAAGAGGAATCTGTACTTTTTTTTTTTTCCACATGATTGTTTTCTCACCATTTTTCATATTGAAAATGACAGATTTATAAAAATTGCAGCTTATTCTTACCAAGCAGTGTTGACAAAATTCAGAGTAGGGAATATCAGCACAATTCACCAACACTTGAATAAATTCTTTGAGATGGAAAGGATTGCATAGGGACTCACACACCTTGAAGTATACGGTTCCCTTCTCTTTGACAATGGCAGCCTGCTCCAATTTTTCTTTGGTATCCATCTCCCAGGATTCTTTGGCCTGTGTGTAAATTTGTGACAATGGTTAGATGAACAGAGAGAAAAGCATCAGTTGAGGCCTATTGGAACAAAGAGCAGCTAATTCTAGAAGATACTCCAAACTGAAAACACTCTGGCTGTTGAAATTGTGTGTCAGTGCCAATTTACTGCTAGGCCAGTGCTTCTTCATACTGTTTGAAGAACTCACTTTCCATCATGACCAAGCTGTAGCTTGAACAATGTTGCTCAAGAGAGAGGAGCCGCAAAAACACAGTAAGGAACGTACTCTGGTAAGCACTGCTACAAAGTGCATCTTTAGAAATACAAGGTGAACCCACACAAAGTTAAGGCCATGCCTTATCTCCCTCTGCAAACCTCTCCACTAGGCTGTTTCTCTCAAGCCTGTTTTTCAACTCTAAAATGGGAACATGACTGTAGTCAAGTTGTAGTTTGTATATTCATACAGAATTTTCAAAATTCTGGGTCAGGTTGTCTTGCCACTCTAAAACAACCAGATATACTAATAATACTGCTAAATTGTATCAACTTGCAGATGTATACTGGGGGGGACTTCAAGCAAAACATAATTGGGAGTAAAGCTCATGCAAAAATATCACTTTAGAGCCATAAATAAATGACTTCATTATCATCTGCTAGCTTGTATTGTGTGTATTATTACTTCCACCATTACAGATACAAATCCAGAAATAACTGCACTTGCCATTTACAAGCTGGATTTAGAAGGACCAGAGTCAAGAGAACAATCTGGGAGCCTTTAGGAAAAGTGACAGTGGGTGTGGTCAGTGCTATTTACTGCATATAAATTATGAAGTTTAAATGGGTAACTAAAATTCTCTCTATTCAAAAGATAACGAGTGTGTGTTCCTGGTGTCACAGCCCCTGCTATCCTCTACTTTTATTATTATTATTATTATTATTTTTTTTTTGAGACGGAGTTTCGCTCTTGTTGTCCAGGCTGGAGTGCAATGGTGTGATCTTGGCTCACCACAACCTCTGCCTCCCGGGTTCAAGTGATTCTCCTGCCTCAGCCTCCGGAGTAGCTGGGATTACAGGCATGCACCACCATGCCCGGCTAATTTTTTGTATTTTTAGTAGAGACGGGGTTTCTCCATATTGGTCAGGCTGGTCTCAAACTCCCAACCTCAGGTGATCCACCCACCTCAGCTGGGATTACAGGCGTGAGCTACCGCGCCCAGTGACTATCCTCTACTTTTTAAAAGTGAATAATAAAAGGGTTACTCATCTTTCTGGCAACTCATGTAATTCTGCTTCCTAATAATGTAGCTCAAATTACTCAAAAACCTAGTTATGGTTCAATTCCAGGTTTTAGCACCCAAAAAACAAAAACAAAGAACACCTAGTTAATAAGTCTCTTTGTATTTCTTAGGTTGGCTTCAGTCTTTATGGAATTTTTTTTTATTTTTTCTTTTTCTAAGACAGGATCTTGCTCTGTTGTCTTTTCTTTTTTTGAGACAGGATACTCTTTTATTTTTTCTTTTTTTGAGACAGGATCTTGCTCTGTCGTCCAGGCTGGAGTGCAGTGGCACGATCGCGGCTCACTGTAGCCTCGATTTCCCAGGCTCAAGCAATCCTCCTGCCTCAGCCTCCCGAGTAGTTGGGACCACAAGCATGTGCCACCATGTCCAGCTAATTTTTTTTTTTTTTTTTTGGTAGAGACGGGGTCTCACTATGTTGCTCAGGCTGGTCTCAAACTCTTGGGCTCAAGCCATCCTCCTATCTTGGCCTCCTGAGTAGCTGGAAATATAGGAATGTGCTACCACACCCAGGAAAATTTTAAATTTTTTTGCAGAGAGGGGGGTCTCACTATGTTGCCCAAGCTGGTTTTGAACTCCTCGGCTCAAGTAATCCTGCCTTGGCCTCCCAAAGTGCTGGGATTTATAGGTGTGAGCCACCATGCCTGGAATATAAGTATGTGTGTGTATGTGTGTGTGTGTATATATTTATATATATATTTTTATATATATATATATTTTTATATATATATATATATATTTTTTTTTTTTTCCTCTGAGACGGAGTCTTGCTCTGTCTCTCAGGCTGGAGTGCAGTGGCATGATCTCGGCTCACGGCAACCTCCACCTCCTGGGTTCAAGCGATTCACCTGTCTCAGCTTCCCGAATAGCTGAGATTACAGGCACCTGCCACCACGTCCAGCTAATTTTTCTATTTTTAGCATAGATGGGTTTTCACCATGTTGGCCAGGCTGGTCTCAAACTCCTGACCTCAGGTGATCCACCTACCTCGGCATCCCAAAGTGCTAGGATTACAGGCGTGAGCCACAGCGCCCAGCCTGGCCTAGTCTATTCTTAACAAGGCAGAGGATTAAATCACATTGCCCCAAACAACATCATATACCTTCATGTGATTTCAAATATACCAAGCAGCAGTGCATGAATATACTCTTGGAGTGATGACAGAGCACAGGCTTGCTGTGGCACACCACTGGGAGAGTGCTCCTAAATAAGCAATGTCCACTGGGCCACGAGAAGGAAGGGGCAAGAGGCTGCTTTACAAAAATGGAAATAGTAAAGCCATAGGTCTAAATAACCACATGCTAAAGATTATCTTCTCTCTCTTTAACAATAAAAAAACACCATATGCTATGACAACAGCATTGGGGGATCAGTGCTGAGCTAGCAGGCCTTCAGAAGAGGTTACATGACAACAATCAGTGGTCATAACCAGACATATGTTTGTTTGGGGGAACATGAAGTAGAAGAGGTATGATTAGGAATGTCACTACTGGGGGTGAATCCCAAAGCAGGCCTCCCCTCACTTTCTTAGCCCAAAGGTACAGGCCCACAGGACAATGATTTCTTTTCTGAATCTAACAAAATATAAATGGTCATGTTTCCATTTATATTAATGTGCTTAATGTGGTCAGGCACAGTGGCTCACCCCTACAATCCCAGCACTTTGGGAGGCCAAGGCAGGAGGATGGCTCAAGCCCAGGAGTTTGAGACCAGCTGGGGCAACACAGTGAGACCCCATGTCTACAAAAAATAAACAAAATTAGCTGGGTGTGGTAGCGTGTGCCTGTAGTCCCAGCTACTTGGAAGGCTGAGGTGAGAGGACTGCTTGAGCCCAGGAAGTTGAGGCTGGAGTGAGCTATGATCGCGCTCACTGTATTCCAGCCTGGGTGACAAGAGTGAGACCCTATCTCAAAAAAAAAAAAGTTGAATGTACAGAACGTGGAGGTAGCACTGTGCAGGAATAAAAAAGGAACACAAATGCAGTCCTTGAGCTCCACAAAGGGTGGGGCTTTGGAAATGCCAGGGGCACGTGGCCGAAGACAACAGCATACCTAGCTCAGGTATATGCTGTGTGTGTCCAGGTCGGCTGCTGCTGGGAGCCTCCAGAGTGAAACTGAGATGGAAATATGTTCAAGGAGGCATGCTGTTTCTGGAATCCAAGGCAACTGACAAATTCTCTCTCTTCTCTACTTGGAGAAGTATAAAAAAAAAATGGCTTCGGGTTAGCTGCTTTCTTTCTTGTATCTCTGGTCACAGAGCCTAGTGGCCCTCGAGGACTTGCAGTTGGGATAACAACTTGGAGCCACAGTGCAGGCCTCTTCGTGACTCCTGTGAAGGGTACAATCCGTTCAGCTCTGAAAAGCTGCACCCCACTCCCCCAAGGAGCCACTTGGCAGAACGTGAACCTTTCTGTCCTCAACCCAGGAAAAAAAAAGTACAAAAAGAACAAGTCTAGGAACAAATAAGGGAACAAGTCTTGGATTCTACCCAAAAAAGTTAAAAAAAAAAAAAAAAGCTGACACATAGGAACAAAATAAGAACACGGAGCTCCTTCGTTGTATATCAGCTGTGCTATGTCAGTTGTTCTATTCTTCAGCAGCAGTGTTGGAGGCAAGAGACAAACTTGATAATGAATAAACACCATCTATCTATACCACCTACTAAGATAAGATACTGATTTATAGGAAGTGGATGGAGAAGAAACCTACCATAATTTTAAGGAAGTTGGTATTTTCTCACCTTTTCGAAGCTCTTAAGTGTAACTTCATATATAAGCTCAGCATTAGGTTCAATGCCAAATTTAGGCTTCCCTGCCTCTCCAAAACCATATCTGAAATGGAGAGTAAAAAATAAAACTTTAAAAGGATTGGTGTATTTCCAGGCACTTCCTTCAGTATTTTGAGGCATCAACAGAGCTATCATTTGCAAGCTACATGTGTCAGAGACCCTGAAGACAAACCAGATGTTGACCAGAAGATACAGTGTGAAGTATCTTCACTGCTACAGTTTTCTTAGAAACCAGGCTAGGTTTAGTTTTCTTTTCTCCTTCACATTCACATGTAATGCAACACCTGTACTCCTTGGGGCAGCTTGATTCATGGGATTTTAAATGTCACTGTCTTTTTCTCTACTTGATTTCATATCTAGTTTTTTTTTTTTAATAAAATGGCCATGATTTAGCTGCCAGGAATTTTCCCCTAAGTTTTATCAGCAAAAAGGACAGAGAAGACACAGCCACTGTAATTGTTAGAGTGGTACTCACGGGAGGTATGTTTTAATAAGCTTTTAACTTTAAAGTGCTGTCACTTCTAGTAGTACCACTTCCAGTCACATAAGTGAAGGGGAAAGGCTCACACATCAGGAGAGAAAAGTTTTCACACTATTTAAGTTTTTTTAAAAGCACATGAAGAAACACAAATAACATAATGATATACTCAAAAATAGCTGCCCTAGCAAGTTCTGACACCTCCTCTAGAGAAATATTCTTATGGCTTATAGCTATCAGAGTGTAGGATTCTATACCTTTTAGCCAAAACTTACTGAAAAAAATAACTGAGGACATATACATTTGTTTTCTTGGGATCATGTAAGATCTCCAGCAAATTAAATGTATTCGGGAAGCAGATATTTACTAGAATGGGAGCTGTAGCAGAGCTCTGTCTGGTTCACCTGTTTCCCAGTGTTTGTTTAGAACAAGGCCCAGCATATTAGTCAAGTGTTCACTGAAATATATTATGTTCCCATTTGTTGCAAGCAAAGCTGTTCTTTAATATATGAAATGGTATTACAAAAAACTTAGTAAACTCAAGCTTTCAAGGTACAGGTTGAAAGATGTCAAAACCGACTTAATCTAATACCTCCAGTTTTCTCTGGGGCAAAGGGACTAGAGTGGGAACACTCAAATTTTGTTGCTTGCACCACTTTCTTTACCCTTTGCCTGGATTTTCCAGGAATAAAAATGCTTACTCACTCACCTCCACTGTTACACAGAAAATGGAAGCTGGAGCCAAAAAGAGGAATAGAGATACGAGAGCTGGTAGGAATGAGGAGCGGGGCAAAGGGTATCTTCCACAAAGACATAATTACCAGTGACCAATTTTAAGAAGTGATGCCTAATTTTCTACTTTGAGCTCTTAGATGTATATACCTACTACCTTGTTTCTGCCATCTAATAAATTTTAAAAAAATTCCTTAACTACCCAGGTAGGTAGGTGAGTCCTTGCTAAGCACATATTTTCTGAGAGCATGTTATATTTGGAGTCCTGTGCTAAGCAGTTGCAAATGCAACAAATGATCTGGCATTTGCCTTAGACCAGCAGATCTCAACCAGGTTGATTTTAACTCCTCTTCCCTCCAGGAAACCTTTGGCAATGTCTAGAAATATTATGGGTTGTCACAACTATGGGGGTGCTACTGGTATCTGGTGGGAAGAGGCCAGGAATACTGCTGGATATTCTACAATGCACGTGACAGCCCCCTATGACCAAGGATTAGCAAGCCCAAAGTGTCAACAGTGCTGAGGATGAGAAAATCTGCCTGTGGGGAATGTGGGGCTGTATCAAGGGAGGCACCAAGTGTCCTATTATTGATGGGATTAAAGAAGACTAAAGAAAAATATTATTTCTACAATCTCTCCCAGGTTAAAATGAAGCGATTCAGTCAAGATACGTGTGGCGCACATGATCCTGCAGAGGTGGAAGCCCACGCCAAGATATTCTGGCAGCACCTACCCTGACTTCCATATTACACAGAAAGTTGTCAGCCTGGGTGAAGAAGGAACCAGGGCACCCAACTCATCTGACTGAAAAACAAAACACCACAAGAGGAATCCCAAGACCTAACCAAAAGATAATCTAGACTATGGTAACAGAAGGAATTCAGCGTTAATGCCCTTGAATTAAGAGTTTCCTCCAGAGAATAGAGATACAAATAATGACTATGAATGACCATTAAGCCTTAATGTGCATATAAGAAGCACTTGGACTACAAGCTCTTACCAATTGCTCCCTTTTTGCAGATAAAGACACAGAGTGCTTCCTGAGAAGTCACACACAGGCAGTGGTAGAGCCAGGTTTAAATTCAGACCCTGTGTGTCCCCAGAAAATCAGGTTTTTTGGACTCATACTGCCTCATAACTAGACATTATGGCTCTTGGTAGTCTGTTTTTTTATTTTTATTTTTGAGACAAGAGTTTCACTCTGTCACCCCAGGCATCGTGCAGTGGCATGATCTCAGCTCACTGCAACCTCCGCCTCCTGGGTTCAAGCGATTCTCCTGCCTCAGCCTCCCGAGTAGCCGGAATTACAGGCATGCACCACCACGCCCAGCTAATTTTTATATTTTTAGTAGAGACGGGGTTTCACCATGTTGGCCAGGCTGGTCGCGAACTCCTGACCTCAAGTGATCCTCCCGCCTCGGCCTCCCAAAGTGCTGGGATTACAGGTGTGAGCCACCTTGCCTGACCAATAGCCTGTGTTTTTGTTTGGGGTTCATGCGTGACAGAAACATAAGGAAAGGACGGAAAAAAAAGTTAAAACTATATACACTTGACCTAAAACAAAAAAGATTTATTAGTCTCAGTATTTAAAACAATACAAAGGGAAGATATTGTCCCAATGAGGAGAAAGAAAAATGGATTGTCTGGAAATGTTTTATGACTTTCTTATTATGAAGACATTCTAGGCCAGGTGTGGTGGCTCACACCTGTAATCCCAAGCACTTTGGGAGGCTGAGGCTGGAGGACTGCTTGAGCCCAAGAGTTTGAGACCAGCCTGGACAACATAGTAAGACCCTGTTTCTACAAAATGAAAAAAATCAGCCAGGCAGGATGGAGCACACCTGTAGTCCCAGCTACCCAGGAGCTTGAGGTGGGAGGATCCCTTGAGCCCAGGAGTTCGAGGCTACAGATTATGCCACCCTACTCCAGCCTAGGTGAAAGTGAGACCCTGTCTCGGGGGGTGGGGGAGGGACAGAAAGAAAACATTCTTCCCGAGAGTCTATCAGAGTATCAGAGTCACAGAGAAGGTCTGCCTTGGAAATTTTCTGGAGAATGAAATACAGATGACACTAAGAGCTATTTGCAGATATTTTCTGCAACAGCCATACTTATAGCAACATTTAGATGCAATGTTTTATGAAAGTGGGAAGCTGAATAAAACAAGTAAATTCACTGCCTGCACTGAAAACATGCTTAGCATGTAGGGGTTTTCTATACACACACACAGCATGCATACACACACACATATATAGCATGTAGGGGGTTTTCTATACACACAGTATGCATACGCACACACATATATAGCATGTAGGGGTTTTCTACATATATATGTAGTACTACGCAATGCATATGCAGCAGTCTCATATTACAGAGAATGCACTTCACATAATTCTCCAACATACCAACACCTTGAACAAAAATAATGTTCCTTTCTAAATATGCTAAATTATTTCCATAAAACTCATAAACTTTTATACCTAGAAATTTATGAAAACCTATTGACAACTTTTATGCCTGAAAAGATCTGAAAGATTGATCTCATGTTAAACAGGATTTCCTTTTTCTTGTGGTCCGAGGGTAAAATGGAAGAGAAGGTGAGCCGTCACAATAGCAACAAAAGCTCACACACTGCGGGCTCATGTGTGCCCTATATGTGCAGGATTTTATTTAGCTCTCCATAACTTTATGAGATGGATACTGTCATCCCCATTTACAGAGGGGAAACTGAAGCTTAGGAGGGTTAAGTGCCTTGGCCAAGCGCACAGAGCAAAGTGTAACCACTAATGATACAACAAACAGTTTAAATCTGTAAAGAACTGTTTGCGTTAAAAAATTTAAAGACAATTTCTATTTTTCTTTGTCACTAAACTTGAGACATCTGTCCCCACAATTGCCTTGTCAGCCAGGCTAAAATGTAATGTATATAAACTGGTTCCTATAACATTATGTTGTCATAATACATACAGAATTTATCCTAAGGGAGCTTAAATTTTGAAAATATACATTACACATAAATCCACCTCTCTGAGTTTAGAACTACTGTAATTTTGAAATGCTGATTAAAAGTAATCAGAGATGGCCTGGCGCAGTGGCTCATGCCTGTAATCAATCCCAGCACTTTGGGAGGGTGAGACAGGCGGATCACTTGAGTCCAGGAGTTGGAGACCAGCCTGGGCAACATGGCAAAACCCTGTCTCCACAAAAAATACAAAAAGTAGCCGGGTGTGGTGGCACACACCTGTAGTCCCAGCTACTCTAGAGACTGAAGTGGGAGGATCACCTGAGCCCTGGAGGTTGAGGCTACAGTGAGCGTGACTGTGCCACTGCACTCTAGCCTGGGCGACAGAGTGAGATCCTGTTACCAAAAAAAAAAAAGTAATTAGAGATTATTTGGATATGGAAGAGATAGCTTTTTCTATGCTCTATCTGAATTTTAAGGAGTATCTCCTAGAAACAGAATTAGTTTCACCTAAGAATAAACTACAAATATAGAGTAAATATTAATATAAATAAGACACATTGAAGTGGGGGCTATAGTTAGTGGAAAGAGGAACCAGGTAGAGAAAAAGAAGCCATTATACAAAGGGTGCCTCAGTGACGGCTATGAAGAGTTCAAGGTAGAGCACTTTGGAAGGATTTTCAAGTGGTAGTTGCATGGCTAGATCACCTCAAAAATATGATTATGGGCTGGGCGTGGTGGCTCACACCTGTAATCCCAGCACTTTGGGAGGCTGAGGCGGGAGGATCACTTGAAGTCAGGCGTTTGAGACCAGCCTGGCCAAAATGGTGAAACCTCGTCTCTACTAGAAATACAAAAATTAGACAGGCATGGTGGCGGGTGCCTGTAATGCCAGCTACTCGGGAGGCTGAGGCAGGAAAATTGCTTGAACCCAGAGGTAGAGGTTGCAGTGAGCCAAGATCATGCCACTGCACTCTAGCCTGGGTGGCAGAGCAAGACTCCATCTCAAAATATATATATATATGATTATGGATCAAGTGCTGGGGCAAAGGTAAACTGCCATTGGATTACTACAGAGTCTATAAAATGACACCACAAAAGGCTTAACATCACCTACTGGCAAGTGCAGGTCATCAAGATTCTCAGTAACTCAGAATCCCACTGTCTGAAATCCATGGAGCCGGAGGGAGGATACACTAGATAAGCAGATGCACTCTCATGCAGACAAAATCAAAACACCCCGGGTTCTCTCAGGGGTCTGTTTCTCAAGACAGAAGAGTTGGATTCATGGTATAATTTTAGATCTAAAAATACTACTAAACATGTTTTCACAAGAGAGACTGTCAGTGTCTGATGGTTCTAAGCTTGAAAGTGCTAATGGATATCCTTATGATGGGAAAAACTTAGACAAAAAATGAGTCATCTCTGTTGCCTTTAGATCCAGGAAGAATGTGCTTTTTTTTTCAGGGACTCTGTATAAGAACAAGTGGCACAAGTTCAAGTGGTAGTAAATCATCCAAATGCTTCTTTGACTCCCAACCCCCATGTTTTCCTGCCTCCTGCCTAACTTAGAGAAAAGGGAAGAGGGGGTAAGAGAACCACATATGAGAGGGGTCCATAGCTGCCTGTCTTGGCAATACTGCAGGCAAAACAAATCATCACAAAAGCAAAAAGTGGCTGTAAGACCTGTTCTGAACATATATCAATCAAGTAAACATGCTCACAAACCTCTATGATATTGTAAGGCCCATTAATTTACGTGATGACTAACTGCAGCCTGATTTAATTGTTTCCGTTGTTGGATTAACTTCACTGAAAATGCCAAAACACTGAATGAAAAAGCAAGCATATCCCTGTCCTTTAGGTGACTTCACTGTGTTCCAAACTGGTATGCTGCTTACCTTGGTCCAAGATATAAAATACATTGTTCTTCCCGCTGCATTTTCTCCAGAGCTTTGTCAATTCCAATTGGAATGTCGTGGTCTTCTCCTTCGCCCACAGTGAATGCCACATCTCTGCAGTCAAACATCCTTCCACCACAGCGGCCTTCCAGGTGGACTGAGGGCAAGGAGACAGGAGAGTCAACAGAGCTGCTTCTTAGGACTGGCTAATTCAGTGAAGTGATAAATGAGTGGTCGACAATGTAGCAAATACCATTTCCCCTTTCTCATTTCATCAAGAGACACACACAGTGTGTCTTGGTGAAGCTTAGTCTACCCAGTCTGAAAGTTTAGGAGCAACCATATTTCTAAATTAAACTTGTAATTACTGATATTTGTATCAATAAGACAGTTTAGTGGGTAACAAACCAGAAACACAGGTTTATTCTAAGCCTACTATGTGACAGAAGTTTCCTCACCTATAATACAAAGTCAAGAGATGCTGAATTATTTAATAAAGTTATCAAATGCCACAAATTTAATATCAAATATATAAACATCTGTAACTGCATCTTGGCTTCAGATGCTTGGGCCAAAAAGCCAACTAAATGGCTATTTCTCCAATGATATACAAAGATTAAATGAATACAGATGCTCCTTCTTCTTTAAGAGTCCTAATCTCATTCACAAATATATCTGAATAAAAATGGTAAATCCAAAGACAACAACATCAATAACTATCTTAGCTATATCCCTTACTGGAAATAATAAATGTAAAGTGTGAAAGAATCAATAGTCTACTATAACTTCACAAATCAAATTACTTAATAACCTCCCCTGAAATATTAGGAGGTCAATTTTGGGAGGCCTAATTCCCCGTTCCACCCCAATTTACCAAGCTCTTTCCCAGAGTAATTTCATATTAAAATAAGAGGCTTTTTCTCATATTTTAAGACAAAATAGAAAAAATGCATACAGATATCTATTTTTTCTTGATGAGTTAGACTTTTTTGAGACGCAGTCTTGCTCTGTCTCACCCAGGCTGGAGTGCAGTGGCGTGATATCTGCTCACTGCAGCCTCCACTTCCTGGGTTCAAACAATTCTCCTGTCTCAGCCTCCGAAGTAGCTGGGATTACAGGTGTGTGCCACCACACCCAGCTAATTTTGTTATTTTTAGTAGAGACAGGGTTTCACCATGTTGCCCAGGCTGGTCTCGAACTCCTGACCTCAGGTGATCCACCCGCCTCAGCCTCCCAAAGCGCTGGGATTACAGGTATGCGCCACCAGGTCTGGCCTAGACTCTTTATTTCTAGGAAAAACAATTCTCTGAAACTTTACAACTACTTTTAATATTAAGGGTATTCTATTTTAAGTTTTTGATGTAATAAGAAAAATGGATGGCTGGTATGACAGCATAACAGTCACCAAGCAATATGATAATTTGGATTTCATAAGAAAATCCTGACTGGGCGCGGTGCTCACGCCTGTAATCCCACACTTTGGGAGGCCGAGGCGGGTGGATCACCTGAGGTCAGGAGTTTGAGACTAGCCTGGCCAACATGGCAAAACCCCATCTTTACTAAAAATACAAAAAATAGCCAGGTGTGGTGGCACGTGCCTGTAATCCCAGCTACTTGGGCTGAGGCACAAGAATCACTTGAGCCTGGGAGGCGGAGGTTGCAGTGAACTGAGATTGCGCTACTGCACTCCAGCCTCCAGCCTGGGCAACAGAGGGAGACTCCATCTCAAAATAAATAAAAAAATAAATAAATAAAAATAAAAAAGAAAGAAAATCCTTTATTCCTACTTCTGTAACATAATAGCCTATATTCAAATCTAGAGATTTCCTAAAATGCTTCTTTTCTAACACTGGCTGATCTACTTTACTTTAGATCAACAACTTGTAGAGAGACTAAAAATCACTCGTTCTGTTATACTCATTCCATGCCCAATAAAACAACTATTACCTTCCAAATAAAAATTCAAATCTAACTTATTCTACTTTTGAACTACATGATCTCAATGAAGCTCTAAAATTCTATGATTCTATGACCTGGTAATATCACTCTCAATATCAATATAGTCCAGAAACCAGCTTCAAATCTAATTCCTGCAGTTAATAATTTAATTGAATTACCCCTAGCCCAGGCCTGAGAAATGAGAAAAACTGAAGAATGAACAGAAATGGTGTAGACACTAGGGGCCGAAATGTCCCCTGGACATTTATGCTCTAAAGCGTTCTACCCTTTTCTTCTCTTTTTTCGATTTGCTAAATCTTCTCTGTATTGTTCCAATTTTAGTATATGTGCTGCCGAAGTGAGTACTCACTACTCTTTTTTAACTCACCAGTATTAATACCATCTTGATGTGTTCCCCTTGCAGACACAGAATGGGGTCTAAGAAACTTGGGCCAAACTAGAAAGGGCCTAACTCTTGAGTCAGCTCCTCCAAACAAGGGCTAGAGTTGGAGTGGCTTGGTAGAGCTCGCATATGGCATTTTAGTTTATGTCCCACACTCATAAATGCTGATAATTCCTTCTGTTAGACTTACTTTTAGAATGCTCTAGATAAAATTAACTTGTAGCAAATTGAAAGTTCATTCTGAATTGGAAAACATTTAAAAAATAAATTCAAATTTAAACTTTTTCAAATACAGTCACGCTTCACTTAAGGATGGGGATACATTCTGAGAGATGTGTCATCAGGTATTCTCATCACTGTGGGAACATCTTAGAATGTTCTTACACAAATCTAGATGGAACAGCCTACTATAACCTCGGCTAAGTGGTATAGCATATTGCTCCTAGGCTATAAATCTGTATAGCATGTTATTGTACTGAATATTGTAGGCAACTGTAACACAATGGTAAGTACTTGTGTATCTAAACATTGAGAAGGTAAAGATATGGAATTATAATCTCACGGGACCACTGTCCTATGTGCAATCTGCTGTTAAACAAAATGTTATGCAGCATATGACTGTACATGCATACTAGAGAGGTTCTACAGGGAGTCTGAGGCTTAAGATATTTTTACTGAATTCGCTGAGGGTGGTGACGCACACCTATAAGTCCCAGCTACTCGAGAGGCTGAGGTGGGAGGATTGCTTGAACCTAGGAGTTCCAGGCTGCAGTGAGTTGTTATTGCGGCACTGTAATCTAGCCTGGGTGACAGAGTGAGACCGTCTCAAAAAAAAAAAGATATTTTTACTGGAGTAAAAATTGATATTTCTAAGGAGGTTAAGAGTTCTAAAAAGTTTGCATTTCTAAATATTTAAAACTCTGCCCAAGAAATTTAGACTAATAACACTTTTCATAAAAAAAAAAAAGATTTGCTGAGCAAAGTAAATTTCTCATGTATTGTGGAATGTCTCAAGTATAGAGATTTATTGTCCTAGTAGCTCACAACTTAGTTAACAGATTTTTTTTGTCTGAAGTTTATTGTTGGAAGTATCATCTTCCTCCCTTAAGGAGAGTACATTTAGTGGGGGAGGAAATTATCAGTACATTTGTTGTGGCTTTTGGTTGATCAAGTTTGAATGTTTTCAAAACAGGAAATCCAGAGACTCTGCAAGGATTCCTGCCTGTGCGTTAGTTTCCTAGGCTGTTTTTCAGCTTGATGTATGTACTTGATATTAAAATTAAATGAGTAATTTCAGAAGTTCTCTTTAGATGTGATAACCCATCATTAGTGAGGGAAAAAGATTGGCTACTAATAAACATGTTGGGAAAGATAAATGAAGTAACCATGCCAAAAAAAAGTCAAACTGTAACAAAGGCATAATTAAGAAAGCAAAACATTCATTGTAGCTAGTCTTCTCAGAGAGACAATAAATGACAGAACTAGTGTCTGATGCTGTAATAGGACAGTAAACATTTGTGATAGCTCTTATAAATATTTTCTACTTTACATGTGGACTAATCTTTTTTTTCCTGGTAAATCTAACCCTTCACAATTGGACCCTGCAGTACTATAAAATCTTAAACGGATATACATCCAGACATATACACCCCAGTTTATATAAAAAACCAAAACCATCGCCTTGTAATACTGACAACATTCGGAATGTCAGAGTAAAAGGAGGTATCACAGCCTCATGGTGAATACAGCCCATTGATTCTCTACATCTACAAGTAGCAAAGGGCATTGCTGGGTTAACTGGTTTCTAAACTTGGAACACTGATGTGAAAAGTTCTACGAGACTGCTGACAAGAACTCACACACCACTTGGAGCCACGGAAAGACTGCTGATTGCCACAGTAGGGGCCCTGATTGCAGTAACAGATGCAGATGAGCCTAGCTCCTATAGCTCCACTTATTCTTTTTAATGTTATCTTAAAAATTCCTACCAAAACAAAACAGAACAAAAACCATGGCAGCTCTGGCTGTGGAAGCCCTGTGGTTGCTTTTTGACCTGGCATCTTTTAGTGCAAATACTAACTTAATAAATATTTAATAATAACCATCGTGACTCACTGGGAGTGCAGCCTGTAGGGCTCAGGAGGTCTGTTGCTAATCCCAACCAGCATGATTTACGGGAAGTAAATCATCTATGACATGCCCAAAGAGAATAAAAGTACATACAGGATGCTTCTACTTAGGGCTTTTTTGGTAGAGAAAGAAATAAACAAGTTAAAAAGAGACAACATTTTTTTCTTGACTTAAAGACTATGTAACTTAAAGGGGGAGGGAGGTCCTCCAAATCCCCACAAAGTCAAACCAAACCAAATTACCCAAGCTTAGCTGCGCAATCGGAGTGTAACCACATCAAGCGAGCTGCAAAACATCACTTAAACTGGAGCTCTGACTTATTGTTCTCTTACTGCCCTAGAGCAATTTTGTTTTGAAGAGCACAGAACACCCTGTTCTGAATGTGGCTGGCACATGAACTCGATGTGCTGACAGCAATTTGTACTCCGATTAAAATAGGGGGGAAAAAAGGAAAGAGAGTGCACAGCAGTAACAAAAATGAAATGCAAGAACCCCTAAACCATGCAATTTGTATTTTAGGAAGCAAAACTGAGAAAGAGGCTCCATAACTTAAAAAACAAAAAACAAAAAGCTGTAAATGCTCCAGCCTAAAGACATTAGCTCTGGTAAGTGTCTATTTTTCCCTTTTCTAATTATAGTAGTTGGTGTCTGATAGCTTTGCACTCATTCTCAAAACAATTACTGGGTCATGAGGATCTGAATGGGAATGTTGTAATGGCATTACTACTCGACAAGACTGGTTATCTGGCCAGAGAAAACCAGGTTGTGACAGGTTACTCCCACTGAGCAAGAGTTTTCTCTGTTGCCTAATTCATGCCAAGTGAGCTTCTTTCTGCCTGTGTCTCCTGCCTAATAGAGCACAGTATCCAAGAGAGTAGGATCTTAATAACCCCCTGAAAAAGCAAGCAGAGATGGCTTTCTAAAAGCAGGAGAACAAGAGAAATACTTCCAACACGCATGGTGGTCAGATTTCCCCTAAGCTGTCCGCCTTCCTCCTCTGCACTGTTTTGTACTACTTAGGATGAACACACACCACTGTAAGATTGCTTACAGAACTGACGGACAGATGCTAACAGGCGTGGAACCTGGCTCCTGGAACTGAATAACATTTATGCAAATGATTTCTTTTGGTTGATCAAGTTTGAATGTTTTCAAAACAGGAAATCTAAACAAGAAGTATACACCCAGCAACAAATTCTCCATGAACACCAACCCTTACCAGTCTTCCCTTCACACCACTATAGCACTTGAGTTAGACCTGGATTCCAGTCCCATTCTGCCACTTCAATTATGACTTTGGGCAAGGTAATTAAAGTGATCTGAAGCTCAGTTTCTTCACTGATAGAATGTGGATAATACACTAGCTAAATGATAATTGTTGAGAGGATTAAATTAGATACTGAATTAGAGCTTTTAATCTAGCACCTGATATTCATTCATTCATTCATTCATATGTCAGGGTGTCTATCATGTGAAAATGCTGTTGTTAAGTGTGGATATACAGAGACAAACTAAAGGAATGTTAGCTATAATTATTTTCCTGTGCCTAGTGGTAAATTATACCAGATTAAACATGTTTTAGAGCTCTGTGTAAGAAAACATTTACTGGTTCAACACAGAAAGCTGTCAAAGTATGAATAAAATTCTTAGTAGGCAAAGGCAGTATCTTGTACTTCTTTTGTGCCTCACAGTACCCAGCACAGAGTTCAGGGCCAGCAAGTAAATATTTATTTAATGACTAATCTTAAAATAGGGCATTAAGGACAGGGTGGTAATTTTCACTAATTTATACAAATTTTCCTTTTTGAATCTATTAGTATTCCTATTTTAATAAATTCTAGGAAGCTATACAAATTTTATATTGATATGGAAACTTTGTTTTTTAATACTATTCTAAAATAAATGGCCAATTGGCTGGAATTTTTTTTTTTTTTGTAACAACAACAACAGCAGCAGCAGCAACAAAAGACTGTTTTCTTTCTTTTTTTGAGACAGAGTCTCGTTCTGTTGCCCAGGCTGGAGTGTAGTGGCGTGATCTTGCCTCACTACAACCTTCACTTACTGCAACCATCTGCCTCCCGAGTTCAAGGACTTCTTGTGCCTCAGACTCCCAAGTAGCTGGGACTACAGGCCCGCACCACCATGCCCAGCTAATTTTTGTGTTTTTAGTAGAGATGGGGTTTCGCCATGTTGGCCAGGCTGGTCTTGAACTCCCGACCTCAAGTGATCCTCCAGCCTTGGCCTCCCAGAGTGCTGGGATTACAGGTGTGAGCCACCGTGCCCGGCCTCTTTATTGTTTTTGTTTTGAGTTGGGGGTCTCACTTTGTTGCCCAGCCTGGAGTGCAGTGGTGTGATCATGGCTCACTGCAGCCTCACACTCCTGGACTCAAGCTACTCTCCTTCCTCAGCCTCCCTAGTAGCTGGGACTACAGGCACACACCACCACGCCTGGCTATTTTGTTGTTGTTGTTGTTAAGAATGGGGTCTCACCATGTTGCCAGGCTGGTCTTGTACTCCTGGCCTCAAGCAACCCTCCCACCTTGGCTTCCCGAAGTGTTGGGATTACAAGCGTGAGCCACCATGGCTGGCCAGAAAGACTTATTTTCTACTATGATTTTATTCTACCTGAAGACTTGAAGATAACTTTTTGGAAGAAAGAAATTATATAAATCCAAAATATTTGAAAGAATAAACACTGGCCACTTTAGACCAAGTACCATATTACATTATTTTGTGAAAACATATAATAAAATGGTTTCAAGAATTTGCTCCTATTCCTAGACTTATATCCCAGGACATTCATAAATACTTCAAAAGCATATGAAAAACAAAAATGTAAAGTCTCACAGCTCCATCAGATCTCAATATGGGCAGACGTAATCTTTCCTCTATTTTCAATTTTTGGTACCTTTTTGATTTTAGTGTTTCATTTATAAAGAACACATAGCTAGATACTGTTGTTGTTCTCACTTTATGAGACCTTTTGCCTTTAATAGGTGACTTTATCCCATTCATATTTTTTGTAATCACTGATATGAGTGGTTTTATTCTTGTCTTTGGTTTTCTACACAGTGTTTTCTTTTTTTTTTTGAGATGGAGTCTCGCTCTGTTGCCCAGGCTGGAGTGCAGTGGTGTGATCTCGGCTCACTACAACCTCCACCTCCCGGGTTCACGCCATTCTCCTGCCTCCCAAGTAGCTGGGACTACAGGCGCCCGCCACCATGCCCAGCTAATTTTTTGTATTTTTAGTAGAGATGGGGTTTCACCATGTTAGCCAGGATGGTCTCGATTCCTGACCTCGTGATCCACGTGCCTCGGCCTCCCAAAGTGCTGGGATTACAGGCGTGAGCCACCGTGCCCGGCCCGTGTTTTCTTATTTTTTAAAACAATTTTTGCTCAATTGATGAAGTTTTCCTTGTTCCTCTATTTCCCCACTCCACATGGGGTGATTTGGAAATTCTACATGCTATTCTTACTAGTACTTTCCATTAAAGTCTGAACAAATCATTTAAAGATATATATATATACCTCTTTATCAATGTTCAGAATCAATCAGCATAAAGCATTCAATAAAATCCAACATCCCTTCATTATAAAAAACCCTCAATAAACTAAGCATCAAAGGAACATACTTCAAAATAATAAGAGCCACCTATGACAATATCTTTTTTTTTTTTTTTTTTTTTTTTTTTTTTGAGACAAGGTCTTATTCCATTGCCCAGGCTGGAGTGCAGTGGTGCAACCATAACTCACCGAAGCCTGTATCACCCAGGCTCAAGTGATCCTCCTGCATCAGCCTCCCAAGTAAGCTGGGACTACAGGTGCATGCCACTATGTGTGGCTAATTTTTTTTATTTTTAGTAGAGACAAGGTTTCACTATGCTGCCCAGGCTGGTCTTGAACTCCTAGGCTCATGCAATCCTCCTGCCTCGGCCTTCCAAAGTCTTGGGATTACAGGTGTGAACCACTGCACCCAGCCGTCAATATCATACTGAACGGGCAAAAGTTGGAAGCATTCCGCCTAAGAACTGGAAAAAAACAGGGTGTCCACTCTTAACAACTCCTATTCAGCATGGTACTGAGCCACAGCAATCAGTATGCGGCAAGTCCTAGCCTGAGCAATCAGGCAAGAGAAAGAAATAAAAGGCATCCAAATAGGAAACCAGACGTCTACCTCTCACCATATACAAAAACAAACTCAAGATGGATTAAAGGCTTAAATGTAAGGCCTGAAACTATATAAATCCTAGAAGAAAAGCTAGAAAATACTCTTCTGGACATTGCCTAGGCAAATAATTTATGATTAAGTCCCCAAAATCAAATGCAACAAAAAGAAAAACTGACAGTTGGGACCTAATTAAAGAGCTTCAGCACAGCAAAATAAGCTATCAACGAAGCAGATGGACAAACTACAGAATGGGAGAAAACATTTGCAAATTATGCATCTGACAAAGGACTAATATCCAGAAAAGAACTTAAACAAATCAACAAGAAAAAAGCAAATAGCCCCATTAAAAAGTAGGCAAAGGACACGAAGAAGCAGCCAACGAACATGAAAAAATGCCGAACATCACTAATCATCAGAGAAATGCAAATCAAAACCACAATGAGATACCATCTCACAACTGAGTCAGAATGACTATTAATAAAAAGTCAAGGCCGGGCGCTGTGACTCATGCCTTTAATCCCAGCACTTTGGGAGGCCGAGGCAGGCAGATCATGAGGTCAGGAGATCGAGACCATCCTGTCTAACACGGTGAAACCCCGTCTCCACTAAAAATATTTTAAAAAATTAGCCGGGCGTGGTGGTGGGCGCCTGTAGTCCCAGCTACTCGGGAGGCTGAGGCAGGAGAATGGCGTGAACCTGGGAGGCGGGAGTTGCAGTGAGCCAAGATCGCGCCACTGCACTCCAGCCTGGGCAACAGAATGAGACTCCGTCTCAAAAAAAAAAAAAAAAAAAAAAAAAAAAAAAAAAAAAGTCAAAAAAGAACAGATGTTGGCAAGGTTGTGGAGAAAAGGGAATGCTTAAACAGTGTTGATGAGAATGGAAATTAGTTCAGCTCCTGTGGAAAGCAGTTTTGGAAATTTCTCGAAGAACTAAAAATCAAAGTACCATTTGACCCAGCAATCCCATTACTGGGTATACAACCAAAGGAAAATAAATCGTTCTATCAGAAAGATAGCTGGCATTTACACTGACATGTTTACTGCAGCATTGTTTGTGTGTTTGTTTGTTTTTTGAGACAGAGTCTCACTCTGTTGCCCAGGCTGGACTGCAGTGGCAGAATCTCAGCTGACTACAACCTCCACCTCCCAGGTTCAAGCAATTCTGCCTCAGCCTCCCAAGTAGCTGGGACTACAGGCGCCCACCACCACACCCAGCTAATTTTTGTATTTTTAGTAGAGGCAGGGTTTCACCATGTTGGCCAGGCTGGTCTTGAACTCCTGACCTCAAATGATCCACCCACCTCAGCCTCCCAAAGTGCTAGGATTACAGGCATGTGCCACCACGCCCAGCCTGTTTTGTTTTGAGACAGGGTCTCGCTTTGTTGCCCAGGTTAGACTGCAGTGGTATAAATGTGACTCAAATGATCCTCCCACTACAGCCTCCTGAGTAGCCGGCACTACAGGCATGCACCACCATGCTTGGCCTTTTTTTTTTTTCTGTAGAAATGGGGTCTTACTATGTTGCCCAGTTTGGTCTTAAACTCCTGGGCTCAAGTGACCATCCCACCTTGGCCTCCCAAAGTGCTGGGATTACAGGCATGAGCCACACACAGCACTTACTCTTAAGCACAGTTATATTCTTAATAGCAAAGACACGGAGTCAACCTAGGTGTCCATCAATGGTGGATTGGATAAAAATGTGGGCTTCCTTCTGCCACGGCCACCATTGGAGAGCAGCGGCCATGGCTCTGTGCTGCCCTATGGCCATGGGCCTCAACAAGGGCCACAAGGTGACCGAGAACATGAGGACGCCCAGGCACAGCCGCTGCTGCAGGCACCTGACCAAATATACCAAGTTCGTGCCGGACATGATCTGAGAGCTGTGTGGCTTCACCCCATACGAGCGGTGCACCATGGAGTTACTGAAGGTCTCCAAGGACAAATGGGCCCTCAAGTTCATCAAGACAAGGGTGGGGATGCACCAAGAGGAAGCAGGAGGAGCTGAGCAATGTCCTGGCCACCATGACAAAAGCCGCTGCCAAGGACTGAGCACTCTGCCCTGCCCTCTCTCCGAAATAAAGAATAGCTTGACAGACTTGAAATAAAAAAAAAAAAAGAAAATGTGGTACATATATACCATGAAATACTATGCAGCCATAAAAAAGAATGAAAGGATGTCCCCTACAGCAACACAGATGCAGCTGGAGGCCAGTAACCTAAGTGAATTAACACAGAAACAGAAAACCAAATACTGCGTGTTCTCACTTATAAGTAGGAGCTAAACCCTGAGTATACACAGACATAAAGATGAGGACAAGAGACACTGGGGACTCCAAAAGCAAAAAAGGATGGAGGGGTACAAGGGCTATATTCTATGTTCACTATCTGGATGATGGGTTCAATAGAAGCCCAAACCTCGGCATTACAGACAATATATCCATGTACCAAACTGGCACATGTCCCCCCTGAATCTTAAAATAAAAGAATTAATCAGCATAATCTCCCCTGGAACAAGAAATTAAGGCAGCTGGTTGTGGTAGTACACGAGCCTGTAATCTCAACTACTTGGGAGGCTGAAGCAGGCTGATCGCTTATGCCCTGGAGTTCAAGACCAGCTTGAGCAATATAGCAAGACCCCGTCTCTAAAAGGATAAAAAAAGTTAGCTGGGTGTGCACCTGCAGTTCCAGCTACTCCGGTGGCTGAGGTGGGAGGATGGCTTGAGGGCAGGAATTTGAGGCTGCAGTGAGCCACAACTGTGCCACTGCATGCCAGCCTGGGCAACAGAGCAAGACCTCATCTCCAAAAAATGTTTTAAAAAAGAAAATAATCTTAGACAATTTTGCCTTCCCCTCTTCATTTCCTATCCTCACCACCTTTTGTTAAAATAACCCAGAATCCAGACTGTTATTATTGTTTTATTATTATTATTATTATTTTGACACAGAGTCTCCCTCTGTCACCTAGGCAGTGGTACAATCTTGGCTCACTGCCACCTCTGTCTCCTGGGTTCAAGTGATTCTCCTGCCTCAGCCTCTTGAGTAGCTGGGATTATAGGCATGTGCCATCATGCCTGGCTAAATCTTGTATTTTTACTAGAGATGGGGTTTTGCCATGTTGGCCAGGCTGGTCTTGAACTCCTGGCCTCAAGTGACGCCCTCCCAAAGTGTAGGGATTACAGGTGTGGGCCACTGTGCCCAGGCCAGACTGTTTCATTATTAATATTACTTCTAACATTACAGCTCTACTGCTTCAGAGATCTTTCAGGATAAATGTATCCAATATGGAAATTATTTTTTTTTTCTCGCTACTGTTTCTTATGCCTTGAGTTGTTGCTTCTTGACTTATTTTTTTGTTTTGGTACATCCCACAGTATTTTTTTCGAAAAGAATATGAGTCTGCAAATTCCAAAAAGTTAATTTTGTTCTCATACATAAATGACAGTTGGGCTGAGTACGGAATTCTAGGTTCAAAATACACATAGCTATAGACAATGATCAAAAGCATTGTCTTTAGTGTAATGAATAAGATTCTTATTCCTTTGTACATAGCTTGTTCTTCCCTGGAAGAGTTCAGAATTTTCTTGTAAGCTGCAGAATTCAGAAATTTCACCAGGATATATCTGGGTGAAAAACCACTCCTTCCTCCTGGGTACCACTATCAACTGGCCCTTTCGATCTTAAGAATCTTTTTCTTTTATTCCCTGTAGGAAATTTTCTATTAGATGTTTGATTGGATGCATATTACCTCTCCTGGATTTATTATCCATATCTTCTAATTTCTTTTTCACTTTTCATCCCTCTTTTTTCTTGTGTTCTGAGAAATCCTTGGCTATCTTTCAGATCACCTGATTTCAGGGACTGTCCATTTTGCTCTTCAACCCTTCCTCTGAGTTTCAGTTTTGATTAATCATGCTCTAACTTCCAGAAACTTTCTTGTCCTCCCTTTCCTTTTTCAGGGAAGTTGGCTTTTTGACTTATGAATCTGATGTCCTGTTAACAATTTCTGAAGACAATAATTAGTATTTTTAAGGTTCTCTTCTACTTCTTCTGTTAGTCCATTTTAGTGCTGCTTTTTTCGTGATATTTGCTGATGATTCTTTGCTGTCTGGCCGTATTATAAAGGAAGGATTCTGGATGATCAAATGACTATAGTTAGCTGGCACCATTTTTCTAAGCAGTTGGATATGTTTCCATGGCAGGCCTTTCTGCAAAAGGATGGGCTGATTGCGGGGATCTAAGGGTGAAGATTTCACAAATATTTATTAAGCATTTACTATGAGCTGGGCATGATGGGCACAGGAAAGTTGACTTTAGGAGCAGAACACTTTAGTATTATTTACTGTGAAAAGCTGTCTTTACACTTTTTTCCCCTTTAAATTTGTTTTAAAAGTTCAAAAAAGGCCGGGCGTGGTGGTTCACACCTATAATCTCAGCACTTTGGGAGGCTGAGGCAGGTGGATCACGAGGTCAGGAGATCGAGACCATCCTGGCTAACACGGTGAAACCCCGTCTCTACTAAAAATACAAAAAAAATCAGCTGGGCGTGGTGGCAGGTGCCTGTAGTCCCAGCTACTCAGGAGGCTGAGGCAGGAGAATGGCGTGAACCCGAGAGGCGGAGCTTGCAGTGAGCCAAGACCGCGCCACTGCACTATAGCCTGAGTGACAGAGCAAGACTCCGTCTCAAAAAAAAAAAAAAAAAAAAAAAAGTTTCAAAAAATACATTCATTTTCCCTAGTCGAAGTCCTAACACTTGGAGTCTTTTGAGGCACATTTTGTTTTATTATTTATTTTTAAATTTATTTTATTATTTTTCTATTTTATTTTAGAACCTGGCCTTACTGGTTTTAGCTTGGGAGAAAAAGTCACAGTCAGACCGTAGTCTAGTAGTTTTCAGTCCTTGCCTGCAAACTAGAATAATCTGGGAGTTTAAAAAAAAATACTTGTGCCTGGAGTTCCATCTTCTGAGATGTGAGATTCTTATTTAACTGGTCTGGGTGTCAGAATTTTTAAAAGCTCCCTAGGTAATTCTAAATTCAGGAAAAGTTGAGAACTACTGCACTGGAGGTTTACTGGCCCCGCTGTTCCATCTTGTTTTATAACAACCCTGATGATTGCTGCATAGCCTGCTTGGGCTCCCTCACACCAGATGACCATGAGCTTGGAGTTCCGCCTAAGCCTGTTGAGAAGAACAGTGTGTACCTCTGCTTAAGTCCTCTTTACACCTGTCTCGGGTTGGATTTGCTGAGACTAGTTTCCATTGGTTCAACTTCATCAACTTTACATATTCCAGAAATTCTCCATAATTTCTGATCCACTCTTACATTCCTCTCCTTTCCAGCACTATTATTGATCTCTTCTTCTTCTTTTGAAAATCTTTGTTCCCTCCATCTATCATTTCAGTGAGATTTGGAGAGGGAAAGGAGGTACGCCAACAACTGGAACCTGTAGAACACTCTGTTGAAAATTTCACATTTAAAAATACTGCTGACTGTCTGCATTCTTTGCATTCAAATGTGGCTGAAAGTACTGAGAGGCGAGAGAACCACATACAGCCAGCATTTTGATGGGCCTCTTCCAACCACTAAAGTTGACAAATCAGACGATGTGAGAGACTGGGGGATGGGGGAAGAGTAACTGGTAGCTATTTAGAACCTTATGTAAGTCAGATTTGATTTTCTAAGAAAGCAAAGCTGAAAAGTAGCAATGTAGCCAAGACCTGCAATTAAACTTAAAGACTGAAGTATCAGTCATCATAATCATATCAATTAGAGTACCTTAGAACACAGTAACTTTTTAAATGAAAGAAAAACTTTGAATAAAAATTACAAGATGGTCATCTTAACTGACACAAGAAAAAGCGTAGGGGGACAGATTCTAAAAACTGATTTGTAACCATTAGGATCCTCATATAAAGAGTAAAAATCAAAATTTCCTTGAGAAAGAATAAATCCCATCAAACTAACCTAAGTTTTCTCTTCCACACAGAGACAAATTATGAAAAGGAAGTAAAAGTTTACAATTCAGTAAAAACCTTTTTGAGTCCATAATGTTATTCTTTCCCCGGAACCTTGAGAAATGTGATTTAGATAAGATTACTATTAAGATATATCATTAATTTGAAGACTGTTATTAGAGACAATTTTAGGTCTCTAATAACCATGGTAGGTAGAGCCAAGAGGATTTGCTGATGGATGACATGTAGGAGATAAGAAAAAGAGGAGTCAGCCAGGCACAGTGGCTCACGCCTGTAATCCCAGCACTTAGGGAGGCCAAGGTAGGTGGATCACCTGAGGTCAGGAGTTCAAGACCAGTCTGGCTAACATGACGAAACCCCGTCTTTGCTAAAAATACAAAAATTAGCTGGGTGTGGTGGCACGTGCCTGTAGTCCTAGCTACTTGGGAGGATGAGGTGGGAGAATCACCTGAACCCGGAAGGCAGCAGTTGCAGTGAGCTAAGATGCGCCATTGCACTCCAGCCTGGCCCACTGCACTCCAGCTTGGGCAACAGAAAAAGAAAAAGAGGAGTCAAGGATCTTTTTCCTTAGATCAATTAAAAGGAAGCAAAACAAATTAGTGAAACACAATATATAGGGTAGAAGAAATTAAGTGTCCACTAAATGTCTGACACTCTTCTTTGTAACTGTTTGTATTAGTCCATTCTCACGCTGCCATGAAGAACTGCCTGAGACTGGGTAATTTATAAAGAAAAGAGGTTTAATTGACTTACAGTTTCACATGGCTGGGGAAGCCTCAGGAAACTTACAATCATGGCAGAAGGGGAAGCAAACACACCCTTCTTCACATGGCGGCAGAAGAGGGAAGAGCCAGCAGGGTTTCCCTGCCAGACCCTTATAAAACCATCAGATCTCGTGACAACTCACTCTATCATGAGAACAGCATGGGAGAAAATGCCCCCCCGATTCAGTTACCTCCCAGTGGGTCCTTCCCACGACACGTGGGGATTGTGGGAACTACAATTCAAGACGAGATTTGGGTAGGCACACAGCCAAACCGTTATCACTGTCACACAACCTGTGGGAGTGAAAACTATTCCCATTTGACAGATTAAAAAAACTGAATGCTCCACGTAGTTAAGTAACTTGTCTAAAGTCATAAAAGTATCAGGTAGCAATTCCAAGATTCAAAAATCAAGTCCATCACTTACAAAGTCTATCTGTCCCCTCCTCCATACCACTTCATTGTCTCTTTACACAGAAATGACAGAAATTTAGTAAATCACGTATCTATAACAACATATTGTAATGGGTGATCAGTGTCTATTGTTCTTGTTCACTCTATAGCCGGCTTTAGTTCCAGGTTTTATTTATTTTATTTATTTATTTTTTTGAGACGGAGTTTCCCTCTGTCACCCAGGCTGGAGTGTAGTGGCGTAATCTCTGCTCACTGCAACCTCCACCTCCCAGGATCAAGCAATTCTCCTGCCTCACCCTCCCAAGTAGCTGGGATTACAGGTGCCCACAACCACTCCCAGCTAATTGTTTGTATTTTTAGTAGAGATGGGGTTTTGCCATGTTGGCCAGACTGGTCTCAAATTCCTGACCTCACGTGATCTGCCCACCTCGGCCTCCCAAAGTGCTGGGATTACAGGCGTGAGCCACCGCACCTGGCCTAGTTCCAGGTTTTATATCTGGTTTCACATCTAAGTGTATTTGGTGATGCTATAAAGAAAAGGCAAACCAGTAAAGACTGAGAAGATTTCAAAAAGAACAAGGTGATCTTGGTTTTGAACAGGACCACCTTTAGGGTAATCTTTTTTCTCCTCCCCCAGATAGCTAACTTGTTTAAAGGAGGAAAAACCAGGACATTTTAACCTTGATAAATGAAAGTATAACACAATAAATTTCTATGAAATAGATTTGTTCCAGAAAACCAAGACGGTCTTTTGAGTGAAAAAGTAAAATCAACCATTTAATCTAAAATTTCCCAGGAAAGTACATTCTAACAAGATGAAAGACAAAAGATTAGTCATTGCCCTTTCTTTTGTTCTTTCTCTCTTTTTTTCAAACTGAGACAGAGCCTTGTTCTGTTGCCCAGGCTGGAGTACAGTGGCATGATCACAACTCTCTGCAGCCTTGAACTCCTGGGCTCAAGAGATCCTCCTACCTCAGTCTTCTGGGTAGCTGGGACTAGAGGCATGTGCCATCACATGTGGCTAAATGTTAAACTTTTTGCAGAGACAAGGTCTCTATGTTGCTCAGGATGGTCTCAAATTCCTGAGGTCAAGCCATCCTCCTGCCTCAGCCTCCCAAAGTGCTGGGATTACAGGTGTGAGCCACCACGACTGGCTCCCTTTGTTAACAGAAACAGAAAAAAATAAAATGACATAAAACGTAATAAAATACAGGAAGAAAAACCAGGATCTAATGATATAACTAATGAGACTGGAATAGGGTGGAAATAATGGGGAAGTGGGAACAGGTTAATAAGGATGAGGGGGAAATGACACTTTTGAGTATATCGTTTTTTATATAGTTTAAAATCATGGTAATGTTTCACATATCCAAAATAAAACGAATAATTAAAATTAACCAGAGCATGGCAGGAACCCAAAATGGAATATACAGGGTAACAAATGAATAATTTGTTACAATTGAGTAACATAATCACATTGAAGGGGGTGAGGAAGAAAGAAGTTACCTCAGTTGGAAAGCAAGTGTTTTGAATATACACTATAAGACTGATGACAAAAGGTACTATAAACAAATATTTCCTAAAGTCAGTTTGTCACAGGGGTCTAGGTTAGCAATTCTAAAACCATCTTACATATACACTAGGATGGGAGCAATGAGTATGCTGTGGAGAATGAGAGCATTTTCTCACTTCTGGAGAATGGAGTTTCAAATGAGCAAAGGGCAAATAAACTTGTGGTGTTGGATTGGAACTGGAACTGCAACTGCCAGTGAGTATCCCTGGTTTTTAACATATACATACAGGCTGGCCGGGCACGGTGGCTCATTCCTGTAATTCCAGCACTTTGGGAGGCCAAGGCAGGCAGATCACGAGGTCAGGAGTTCGAGACCAGCCTGGCCAACATGGTGAAATCCCATCTCTACTGAAAATACAAAAAATAGCTGGGCGTGGTGGCAGGCACCTGTAAATCCCAGCTACTCCGGAGACTGAGACAGGAGAACCACTTGAACCTGGGAGGCGGAAGTTGCAGCGAGCTGAGATTGCACCACTGTACTCCAGCCTGGGCGACAGAGTGAGACTCTGTCGCAAACAACAACAACAACAACAACAACAACAACTACACACACACACACACACACACACACACACAGAGGCTGATGTAGAAATACATATAGATGTATACGTATGTATGTTGAGGTCCATATATTCTCTATCTCTCTGTCTGCTAAGTGGGTCTAGGAATGATGATATCCCATAGCAGGAGCAAACCTAGCACTCAGATCTTGGTTTCTAAATGCCTTTCTCCAATAAAAGGAATCAGGGCTCTTTGGAGAAATGGTTGGTTCCAGGTCTAGGGCAGGAAAATTTTAAGATGAGCCATGAGTGTCTTGTGGTACCAGAAAATAAGGAAGCACTTAAAAAAAATGGGGATAATATTGAAAGGACACAAAAACAAACTTAAAGGAGTTTCCAATGGTCAAATCTGGGACAATGTGAACAACAAAATAAATAAGAATAGTAATGAATAATAACTTATGGAATAAATATACACAGATCCATAATGATATAAATAAACTGAATAAATATACAGTAGGATTCAAATTAATGTAGAGAGAATAACAGCAATAGAAAATTTACCATTAGTCAAATGCCACAGTAATAACTGTTGCAAGCAAAAATCAACAAATGTCAAAATGAGTGTGTAAAGTT
The DNA here is from genome assembly GCF_000001405.40 of Homo sapiens. Classification (NCBI taxonomy): domain Eukaryota; kingdom Metazoa; phylum Chordata; class Mammalia; order Primates; family Hominidae; genus Homo; species Homo sapiens. The sequence continues at coordinate 35,615,747 of NC_000006.12, forward strand.
GTGATACAAAACAAGATAGTACTTCACTCCTAATACTTTTTAATTACAAAGGGAAAATAGTAACGTTGCAGTAGTGAAACATGGTTTCCCACCTTAACCCAGTGTTCGAAGGTAACATCACCAGTAATGAGACATCAATATCATATACCTCTTGATAATGATGAAAGGCACATCACTTCAGTGGTATTTTCAAAAAATGCATAACCTCAATCTAAAAACATCCCAGAAACCCAAATTGAGGGATATTCTACAAAACGGTCAGTTGTATTCAAAATAGTAGAGTAGGCTGGGTGCGGTGGCTCATGCCTGTAATCCCAGCATTTTGGGAGGCTGAGGCGGGTGTATCACCCAAGGTCAGGAGCTTGAGGACCAGCCTGACCAACATGTTAGAAACCCTGTCTCTAATAAAAATACAAAAATTAGTCGGGCATGGTGGCGTGCGCCTATAGTCCCAGCTACTTGGGAGGCTGAGACAGGAGAATTGCTTGAACCCAGGAGGTGGAGGTTGCAGTGAGCTGCGATAGCATCACTACACTCTAGCCTGGATGACAGAGCAAGACTCCATCTCAAAAAAAAAAAAAAAAAAAAAAAAAGTAAATACAATGCTGGATCCTGAGTTTGATCTTAGACCAGAAAACGACAGTAGTGTAGTAACTGGTGAAATTCAAATAAGATCTGGAAAACAGTTACTGGTACTACATCAATGTTAACTTCCTGATTTTGATAAATGTACTGTGATTAGGTAAGATGTTAACATTTAGAGGAAGCTGTGTAAAGCATATAAGGGAACGCGCTATACTAGTTTTGCAACTTTTCTGTAATTCTAAAATTATTTCAAAACAAAAAGTTAAAAAAAAATTGACTCCCATCGCAAGTATTACCAAAAGCAAGATCTGATTTAATTTAGTCTGCTCTAAAGTCATCTCCACAGCGGTAATTTTGTGATATTGTCTATAATTGGGAAAAGTTTTTCCTCTTAGTTGACAAAACCCTCCAGTTTAAAAATATATATTATAAATTACTGAATCTAGGGTGTGCCTGTATCCATAGGAGTAAACCTCTACCTTTGTACATACATTTGAAATTTTTCATAAGAAAAATTTAAAATACACATTATAGACAAGCTTAAGTGCTTACTAATATAGTGAAGATGATTTTCTATCATTCCTACAACTTTTGTAAATATTTAGAATTCTATGATGGAGTTTTAGGGCTAGTAGGACCTTAAAAATCAAGAGGTTCAAGCTTGCCTCACTGCATAGGAAGGAAGCTAACGCCCAGAGGTGAAGTCTAGTTGAAGCCAGCCTGAGGCCAGGGCTGAGGCTGGAACCCTATCTCCCAACTCCTAGTCTGGAGCTATTTCCCTGGTATTCTACATTTAAAGCTCTTCATGTATTCAAAAACTTATCCCAAATGGCAATTTGGGATAAATAATATTTGTAACTGCTTCCCAAAACAACAGAATTTAAACTGATTTGCCAGACTCGTAGAAATGAAATATGGGTTGAAAATAGTATATACTTTAAAAGAAAGAAACTCAGCTATTCTTGTTTTCTGTTTAAATGAACTCTTTACTTTTTTTTTTTAAGGAGACAAGGTCTCACTATGGTACCTAGGCTAGAGTGCACTGGCTATTCACTGGTGTAACCATAGCACGCTATAGCCTCGAACTCCTGGCCTCTAGTGATCCTCCTATCTCAGCCTCCCAAGTAGCTGGGACTACAGGTGCACACCATTACACCTGGCTTTTGAAATAATTATTTTAAACAGACCTTTTATAATAATAGTTCATGTTCCCATCCTTGTTGAATGATTTGATTTTTGTTCTTAATGGAAGTATTTCTCTGTTTTCTCACAACTCTCTTTTGAAGGATTTCAGCTCACTAATGACACTTCTCAAGCACTTATCCATGCAGAAAGCCTTTACTGAACACCAAATGTGTGTCACGCACTGCAGGAAATGCTGAACACAAAAGGATGAAGAAAGATTCTGGTCCTCAAGCACTCAAAGTATACTGGGAGAAATGGGCAAATACTGATTACAATGTAAAGTGACAAGTAGTATACACAGTGGTACATATAATTTGCTCCGGGAGGGAAGAAGAGTTAGCTATCTCAGTCCTCAGAGCTGCCCCTACTCCCACTTAGCAAATGAAGAAACGGAATAGCTTCAGGTTACTCAATAAACACCAAAGCAGGACTTGAACCTAGGTCTCCTGATATGGAATAGAATGAACATTATTATCCAATATTGATCTAAATGATGAACTATTTTTTAATCTTGATGACAGCTGATGAGATGTATTTGAGTCCTAAAAGGGATTATAATCTACTGCTCTGTTTAGTAACTCTGTAACCCTGGGCAATTTATTTAACATCTCTGAATTAACTTTTCTCATCTGGGGACAAGAAATTTTACCTCTTAAGGTTGTGAGAAATAAATGAACAAACATATCAGGCAACTAATATAGTTGTTGGCACACCAGAGAGTCCACAGATTGAGAATTTCTTGTGGATGGAATTACTTTGTATTCATTTTTGAGTTTGTAGAGGCTGGTAGCATGCCTGACACGTAGATGTTGAATTAATATTTACTAAATAAAATTATTAAATAAATGTTGAACCTGAAACTATTTTTTTTTTGGACAGAATCTTGCTGTTGTCCAGGCTGAAGCACAATGGCACAATCACGGCTCTCTGCTGTAGCATTCATCTCCAGAGCTCAAGTGATTCTTCCACCTCAGCCTCCCAAGTAGCTGGGACTACAGGGACGTGACACCACACTTGACTAATTCTCTTGATGCTTTTTAGTAGAGATGGGGCCTCACTATGCTGTCCTGGCTGGTCTCGAATTCCTAAGCTCAAGAGATCCTCCTGCCTCGGCCTCCCAAAGTGCTGGAATTACAGGCATGAGCCACTGTGCCCAGCTAAGACTATCTTTGAGATATATTCAATACTTTTTTTTTGAGACAGAGTCTTGCTTTGTCATCCAGGCTGGAGTGCAGTAGCACCATCTCGACTCACTGCAACCCCTGCCTCCCGGGTTCAAGTGATTCTCATGCCTCAGCCTCCCGAGTAGCTGGGAATACAGGCGTGCACCACCACACCTGGCTAGTTTTTTGTATTTTTAGTAGAGATGGGGTTTCGCCATGCTGGCCAGGCTGGTCTCAAACTCCTGAGCTCAGGCAATCCACCCGCCTCGACCTCCCAAAGTGCTGGGATTACAGGCGTGAGTCACTGCGCACAGCCGATATATTCATTTCTACAAACATTTTTTTTTAAGTCTCCATTTCGTCCACATAAATGGCCCAACTTTTAAGGACTAGTTCCCTCTTACTTTAATACTTACTTTCTACTGTTGCTCCTTCGTTTGGATTTGAATATCCCTCTCCTTTCCGTTTGGTTCTCCGGATAATGCCTCCATCTTCAAATAAATCCTCTCCTTTGAAATCAAGGAGCTCAATCTAGAAAGAAAAAAGGAATTCAGCTGAGAAAAGACCAAATAAAGCCAACTGAACATATGTGAAGGCAAGGGCAACCAATTATTTCATTTTACAAAATAAAGCTGTTTTAAAATATATACATTCATTTATGCATCTTAATTATTGGAAAAGTAGCAAAAAAAAAAAAACCCACTATACTTTTCCATACTTGGAAAGAATTTCATGTAATGCTAATGTCTAGAACTATATCCTAAGGGACTGCAGTGCAAAGATAGGAAATACTAGGAAAACTACCCTGTGGGCAAAAAGCCAGAGCTACAAGGTGCTGGTGTAGAACTATTTTGTTTGAGGCCACAACTTTCCCATCCTGGGTTTATGGAGTTCCCTTCTCAAAATGTAAGAATAAATCTCATGGATGTGACCTACGACTGATTAAAGGTGTATTTTACCTAGCTGGGGTGGTTCTTAAAAATCAAGTTTTGCCAAATATATGTAATTCAACATAGGATGAATAATGTTTTATCACCACCAACGGCTTCTAGAGAAGTGAGATCTGTGACACATAAATTTTTATAATATGTAAATACCCCGCAACGTGACATAGGCATATTTCAACATTTATCGCCAACATTTCCATCCTGTACTCTGGTCAATTTTGAGTATGTCACACTCACACCATGGACCAGAATCTTTATTTCTAAGTGTAGCGTCTTTTGTTTATTTGGATATGACCTTTTTGTGCTAGAAACACGTTTCTAAGAAAGCACTGGCACGCGCACCCTTGGGTTTGTGGGAAACAATTCAAGAAGCCATGCTCCAAAATAAGTAAGTTGGATCTGATTCTCTATAGCAAGCTTAGCTCCTTTTCCCACTGCCTGTTGCTTCAAAGCCATTCCTATTGTAGAGCAGATGCTGACAAGGCAACATCACACACATACTTGCCTCAAAAAAGAGAGTTGCATTCGAGGGAATTTTAGGGAGACTGCCAGCCGAGCCATATGCATATTCTGGTTTGCACAGTAAATGGCATATCTCTCCTTTCTTCATGGTAGCCACCCCAATGTCCCATGCCTTGATGACTTGGCCTAAGGGAAAGGAAAAGGTAGTTGAAAGCTATAAGCCCTATTTAAAAAGATTTAACTTTCATAAAACCAAAGTTCTAATTTCCAGTTTTTCATACTACATACTCAGCTAGAAAGTATGGGCTACAAGATGACAGAGTGCTACATACAAATAAATAAATTATTTTTTTTGAAGGCTATCACAAAAGATTCCCTGTTGATCGGCCCAGCACTTTGGGAGGCTGAGGTGGGAGGACTGCTTGAGTCCAGGAATTTGACACCAGCCTGGGCAACACAGCAAGACCTCATCTCTAAAAAAAAAAAAAAAACACCCCAAAGAACCAAAGAACACAGCTGGGTATGGTGCACACCTGTAGTCCCAGCTACTCCGGAGGCTGTGGTGGGAGGACAGCTTAAGCCTGGGAGCCCAGGAGATTGAGGCTTCAGTGAGTCATGATTATGCCACTGCACTCTAGCCTGGGTGACAGAGTGAGACCCTGTCTCAAAAAGGATTCCCTGCTGAAAGGGATGAAAGTAATATAAATTCCTAAACTACTCAAAAATTAAGTCTTTGAAAACTGGTGGTAACATTATCCATGAAATATGGCTATGTTGCAATTGTTGCCTAATTTATCATTTCAACTATAATAAGCGCAAATTTTCTAGGCAGAGATAGAACAAAAATAGTATTGAAAAATAGAGTGTGTCCTAAGGAAGCTTATAATTTAGTTGGGTAGACAAAAAAAACAACAAAACAAGAAGTAACCAGAACAGGATAAATTGCATAAAAGGGTCCATGAAACACATTTCTTCTCAAAATTTAGAATCAGAAAAATGTTCCTTTAAACAAAAACATATGTGTCTTTTTGTCAAACCACAACTACAGAACTTAAAATATTTTATTTTTTGCCTACTTCCAGGAAACTAAGTTAAATTTACTGCTCAATTGTAGAACTATATTAGGCTATATAATTGTAATCTCAATGTTTATAGTTCCTATGATGTGCATCATTATCTTACTGTAAGCAGTATCAAGTCCTTTCGGAAACAATAGAAAATTTAGGCCATTTAAAAGGCTAAATTACATTTTGGTGGGGCATGGTGGCTCACGCCTGTAATCCCAGAACTTTGGGAGGCCAAGACAGGCGGATCACTTGAGGCCAGGAATTCAAGCCTGGCCAACATGGTGAAACCCCGTCTCTACTAAAAATACAAAAATTAGCCAGGCATGGTAGTGCGTGCCTGTAATCCCAGCTACTTAGGAGGCTGAGGCAGGAGAATTGCTTGAACCTGGGAGGCGGAGGTTGCAGTGAGTAGAGATCATGCCACTGCACTCCAGCCTGGGCGACACAGCAAGACTCTGTCTCCAAAAAAAAAAAAAAAAAGGCTAAATGACAAATGAGGTACTCTGTCAATCAGAAATATTAAGTATCTGGGGGCTGGGCACGTTGGCTCGCGCCTGTAATCCCAGCTGTAATCCCAGCACTTTGGGAGGCCAAGGCGGGCAGATCCCTTGAGCTTAGGAGTTTGAGACCAGCCCAGGCAACATGGTGAAACCCCATCTCCACAAAAAAATATATTTAAAAAATGAGCCAGGCGTGGTGGTGCTTGCCAGCTACTCAGCAGGCTGAGGAGAGAGGACTACTTGAGTCCAGGAGGTCAAGGCTGCAGTGAGCTGAGATCATGCCACTGCACTCCAGCCTGGGCAGCAGAGTGGAGACCCTGTCCTGTCTCAAAAAACAAAAACAAAAATGTAAGTATTCAAAAGTAGGATCAGATAAGAGATGAACCCCAGAGGAAGTGAATTTGAAGTGAGCTGGTGGTAGGATATTAGGACAAGGGAAACCCTACATAACAGTATGTAAGCAGGGATAGATAAACCATTTTTTATTCATGACTTTAGCTTAATCTTCATTAAATATTACAACTTTTCAAAATGTCAGCTACATTTATTTCAGTTAAAAATATATGTAAGTGGCCAGGAATAGTGGCTCATACCTCTCATCTCAGCATTTTGGAAGGCCAAAGCAGGAGCATCCACTTGAGCCCAAGAGTTTTAAGACCGGCCAGGGCAACATAGTGAAACTCCATCTCTACAAAAATTTAAAAAATTAGTGCGGCATGGTGGCATATGCTTGTAGCTCCAGCTACTTTGGAGGTTAAGACAGGAGAAGAGCTTGAGCCTAGGAGTAAGAGGCTACAGTGAGCAATGATTATGTCACTGCACTCCAGACTAGGTGACAGAGCGAGACCCTGTCTCTTAAAAAAAAAAAAAAATCAAGTAATACATGCCTATTATTAAAACACCCATGAAAGAGATGGAAAGTGAAAGCTGAAAGGCCATCCATCTGCTCCTTATAAGTAACTGTTACGTTTCTTTGGTATCCTACTGTGTGCTGTCACTTTTTAAAAAAATTTAAAATACAAATGACAGCAAACTAGACATTCAGTTCTAAACTACTTTTTCATTTATTATATATCTTCATCCTCTTTCTCCATCAGTAGAAAGGAGGATGTACATTTTAGAGGTCAAAAATGCAGCATACTCTAACTTCAGAATACCTGGATTTGAATACCAAGTTTGCCCTTTACTATCTGTGTAAACTTGTGCAAGTTATTTAATCTCTGTGCTTAGTCTCCTCACCTGCAAAATGTAAATAATAACAGTACTTGCCATATATTAATAGTTGTTTTAAGAATTATTAGATAAGGCCGGGCGTGGTGGCTCACGCCTGTAATCCCAGCACTTTGGGAGGCTGAGGCGGGCGGATCACAAAGTCAGGAGATCGAAACCATCCTGGCTCACACGGTGAAACCCCATCTCCACTAAAAATACAAAAAATTAGCCAGGCGTGGTGGCTAGCGCCTGTAGTCCCAGCTACTCCGGAGGCTGAGGCAGGAGAATGGCGTGAACCCAGAAGGAGGAGCTTTCGGTGAGCCGAGATAGCGCCACTGCACTCCAGCCTGGGCGAAAGAGCGAGACTCCGTCTCAAAAATAAATAAATAAATAAAGAGTTATTAGATAAAACACATCAAATGCATGGCACGGTGCCCGGCACATAATATGTATTTGATAAAGGAAAGACATCATCATCATAATAAATGCAAATAGACCTACCTCATTCTTAATGGGTGTATAATACTACAATCTTCTATTGATGCATATATTACCAACAGTAATCTAATGAGACTACTTGTCCATGTATGTTTGCCTACTTTGCATAAGTATATTTGGAATGTAAATTCCTGGAAGTGCAAAGGTGATATGCATTTTAAATTTGATAGTTATTGCCCAACTGTCTTTACGAAATGGCTACATCACTTTTTTTTTTTTTAAGAGACAGGGTCTTGCTCTGTCACACAGACTGGAGTGCAATGATGTGAGTATAGCTTACTGCAGCCTCAACCTCCCAGGCTCAAGCGGTCCTCCCACCTTAGCCTCCCAAGTAGCTGGGACCACAGACATGTACCACCACATTGGGCTAATTTTCTTTTCTTCTTCTTTTTTTTTTTTTTGTAGACAGTCTCACCATGTTGCCCAGGCTGGTCTTGAGCTCCTGGGCTCAAGAGAATCTCCTGCCTCTGCCTCCCTAGTAGCTAGGACTACAGGTGAATACCACCATGATTTTCTGTAGATATGGAGTCTTGCTACATTGCCCAGGTCGGTCTTGAACTCCTAGCCTCAAGTGATACTTCTGCTTCAGCTTTCCAGAGTGCTGGGATTACAGGTGTGAGCCATTGCATCAGCCCAGTTTTTTTCCTTTTTAAGAGACAGGGTCTTGCTATGTTGCTCAGGCTGGACTCAAACTCCTGGCTCAAGTGATCCTCCCACCTCAGCTTCTGAGTGGCTGAGACTACAGGCACCTGGCTTCAACTGATTCTTAACAAGAGTTTGAGAAAGAAAAAGCCTCCCCAACGTCTGGAAACTGCTTGAACACTTACAGCTGGACCTCAGTGCTGTTTGAAGCTGGCCTAGGGATCATAGGGAGGCCATATTATTCTCCTGTGGGACATAAACAATCTCGCAAAATATCAACATGAGACAAGGTCACTCTGAGACTGTGTTCAAGTGAGACAAAACAAAAATACTTCAAAATTTTGTCTGGCCGGGCACGGTGGCTCACGCCTGTAATCCCAGCTACTTGGGAGGCTGAGGCAGAAGAATTGCTTGAACCTGGGAGCTGGAGGTTGCAGTGAGCTGAGATCACGCCACTGCACCCCAGCTCCATTTCAAAAAAGAAAAAAAATTTTTTTTTTGTCTAAGCCCAGAGGAAAAAAACAAGGTCACTGAGCATTTTCACAAAATACCAAACATCCCCCTCTCCTGGCTAATATGAGTGACTGCTGCTTCTCTACCAGTTCTAGCTTTGGTCTCACTCTACTCTAGTTGGCCCACGTCCTAATAAGATTTATTAAGATACCCAAACATCAATCACCCCACATCCTAACAGCATCCAATCGAGAAAGCTCTGCTTTCTTAAACTCCCCAAAATCACCTAATACAAGCACAAGTCCTATAAAATATTCCTCCTAACACTCTTACTGAGATACTCCACAGTTCGCATGGTGTGCATCCTCCCTCACAAGTAATGAACCAACGTGTTCAACTATAGGTGTGTTCCTAGTGGTCTGTGGCTGCAGGGCACTGACAAGGCCCACTCACTGACGGGAGCAATGTGTGAGACCACACCACAGAACAAGAAACCAGTTGTATCATTCAGTATATATGCAAACAGAATGGAGAGCATCAATTAGTCTGGAGAGGGTTAAGCAAGCTTCTACACATTTCCTTAGGTTAAATTCCTAGATGTAGAATTACTGGACCAAAAACATAAATATTTTCTTCTTTTTGAGACACGGTCTCACTTTGTTGCCCAGGCTGGAGTGCAGTGGCACGATCTTGGCTCATTGCAACCTCTGCCTCCTGGGTTCAAGCAATTCTCGTGCCTCAGACTCCCAAGTAGCTGGGATTACAGGCACGTGCCACTACGCTTAGGTAATTTTTGTATTTTTTGGTAGAGACAGGGTTTCACCACGTTGGTCAGGCTGGTCTCAAACTCCTGACCTCAAGTGGTCTGCCCACCTCGGCCTCCCGAAGTGCTGGGATTACAGGTGTGAGTCACCATGCCCAACCCCCAAAGCATAAACATTTTAAAGATTCTTCATCTTCAGGATCTCAGTCATAGGTAACATACACCAAGAATAGGCCGGTGCAGTGGCTCACGCCTGTAATCTCAGCACTTTGGGAGGATGAGGTGGGCAGATCACGAGGTCAGAGGATTGAGACCATCCTGGCTAACACGGTGAAATCCCGTCTCTACTAAAAATACAAAAAATTAGCCGGGCGTGGTGGTGAGTGCCTGTAGTCCCAGCTACTCGGGAGGCTGAGGCAGGAGAATGGCGTGAACCCGGGAGGCGGAGCTTTCAGTGAGCCGAGATTGCGCCACTGCACTCCAGCCTGGGCGACAGAGCAAGACTCCGTCTCAAAAAAAAACACACCAAGAATACATAATGTCAATTTATTTATTTATTTATTTATTTATTTTTGAGATGGAGTCTCGCTCTGTCGCCCAGGCTGGGGTGCAGTGGCGCTATCTCTGCTCACCGCAAGCTCCGCCTCCCGGGTTCACGCCATTCTCCTGCCTCAGCCTCCCGAGTAGCTGGGACTACAGGCGCTAGCCACCACTCCTGGCTAATTTTTTGTATTTTTAGTAGAGATGGAGTTTCATCGTGTTAGCCAGGATGGTCTCGATCTCCTGACCTCGTGATCCGCCTGCCTCAGCCTCCCAAAGTGCTGGGATTACAGGCGTGAGCCACCGTGCCTGGCCACGTCAATTTATTCTTACACTTGATCTGGACTTCAGTTTTACTAGCTTATACACAATTTATCAATTTCAGGAGTCTTATTCCATTTGTAATAAAATATAAAACAAGAATATATATGTATACAAATGTATAATATAGCTATTACTAAATTTAAATGCTTTTTATACGTATGTAACTATAGGCAGGTGAAAAAGTTTAAAAGCATACAAAGCCCAGTATAAAAGCAATGCATTATACTTTTTCTTCCTTCTGTAATGTTACACTTTTTTCTGGTTTAAAAAAATTATATAACATATTTTAAGATACAACATTTTAATCACTTAACAGTTTCATTTATAGTAAAGACTATAGTGACCACTTCAGAACATTCTGACTACATAATGTTTTCTCCTTGAGTTTTAAAAAAAACGCTTAATTGTGGGGGGATAAAAAAAAGCATTTACCATCTTAGCTATTTTAAAGTGCACAGTTCACTATTTTTAAGTATATTCACATTGTTGTGCAACCAATCTCCAGAACTTTTTCATCTTGCAAAACTAAAATTTTATACCCATTAAGCATTTCCTCCTTCCCTAATCTTTGGCAACTTCTATTCTACTTTGTTTTTATGAATTTGACTACTCTGGATAGATAACTCATATAAGTGGAATCAGACAGTACTTTTCTTTTTGTCACTGGATTACTTCACTTAGTATAATGCCCTCAAGGTTCGTCCATGTTGTAGCATCTGCCAGAATTTTTCTTTAAAACGTAAATATTCCACTGTACGTTTATATCACATTTTGTTTATCTATTCATCTATTGAAGGACACTTGAGTTGCTTCCACCTTTTGGTTGCTGTTAATAATGCTGCTACAAACATGAGTGTACAAATATCTCTTCAAGACCCTGCTTTCAATTCTGTTGGTTATATGCCCACAAGTAGAACTGCTAGATCAACATGGTAACTCTATTTTTAATTTTTTGAGGAACTTCCATACCGTTTTCCACAGCAGCTGCACTATTTTACATTCCCACCAACAGCGCATAAGGGTTCCAATTTCTCTACATCCTCATCAACACTTGTTGTTTTCTCTTTTTTTAACAGTACCCATTCTAACCGGTATGAGGGTAATACTTCACTGTGGTTTTGACTTGCATTTCCCTAATGATTAGTGATGTTGAACATCTTTTCATATGCTTGTTGTCCATTTTTATATCTTCTTTGGAGAAATTTCAAGCCCTTTGCCCAGTTTTTAAAAAGTTTTTAGAGACAGGGTATCGCTATGTTGCCCAGACTGGTCTTGAACTCCTGGCGTCTAAGTGACCCTCCCACCTAGGTCTCCCAAAATGCTGGGATTACAGGTATGGCCACTGCAACTGGTCCTTTACCCATTTTTAAATTGGGCTATTTTGTTGTTTTTGTTGAGTTATAGGAGTTGTTTGTGTATTCTGGGTATTAATCCCTTATCAGATATAAGATTTGCAAACATTTTTCTCCCATTCCATAGGCTGCCTTTCATTCTGTTACTGTTTGATGCACAAAAGTTTTTAATTTTGATGTATTCTAATTTATGTTTAATTTATGATGTACAGTAATTTATGTTTAATTGTTTTACTTTTGTTGCCTGTACTTTTGATGTCATGCCAAGAAACCACTGCAAAATCCAATGTCATGAAGCCTTTCCTCCATATTCTTTATCTTTTCTTTTTTCTTTTTTTTGAGACATAGTTTCGTTCTTGTTGCCTAGGCTGGAGTGCAATGGTGTGATCTTGGCTCACTGCAACTTCTGCCTCCCGGGTTCAAGCGATTCTCCTGCCTCCACCTCCCAAGTAGCTGGGATTATAGGCATGCGCCACCATGCCCAGCTAATTTTTTTTTTTTTTTTTTTTTTTAGTAGAGACGGGGTTTCACCATATTGGTCAGGGCTGGTCTTGAATTCCTAACCTCAGGTGATCCGCCCGCCTCGGCCTCCCAAAGTGCTGGCATTACAGGTGTGAGCCACTGTGCCCGGCCTTCCTCCATATTCTTATGGGAAGGTTTCTAATGCAAGGTTTAGATCTTGCATTTAGGTCTTTGATCCATTTTGAGTTAATTTTTGCAGATGGTGTAAGATAAGGACCCAATTTCATTCTTTTACATGTGGATATCTAGCTTTTCCAACACCATTTGTTGAAAAGACTGTTCTTTCTCCCACTGAATGGTCTTGGCACCCTTGTTGAAAAATCACTACCTTTTAAATGTACATTTACATTTGAATATGAGCATCTTGAACACACTATAGGATGAAAGCTACACCATATCATACAGAAAAAAAATTACTTTTTCATATGGGAGTAGAAAAGAACAAGAAAGGTAAATATTTTAACTGTAAAAGATTTCCTTTCAAAATATAAAAGCTGACAAACAAGGTTAATCACTAATAAGCTTCAGGTAATAAAAATGCATCTGATTCATTCCTGCTTCACCTTCCTTGAGGGATTCCTAGGACTCAGTACCAATTTCTGATCTCTATTTTAACTACTTGCATATTCTGCTAATTTTTATGTTAAAAATAAGAAAAACCTCATATAACAGATAATACAGAAATCCTTTCTTCTTTTTATACTAAATAAAGCAAATTATTTTTCCTGTATACCTTTTCCTCATATATTTTAGGTTTTTTTGTTTTTGTTTTTTTGAGATGGAATCTTGCTCTGTCGCCCAGGCTGGAGTGCAATGGCACAATCTCGGCTTACTGCAACCTCCACTCCCAGGCTCAAGTGATTCTCCTGCCTCAGCCTCCCCAGTAGCTGGGATTATAGGCATGTGCCACCACACCAGCTAATTTTTGTATTTGTAGTAGAGACAGGGTTTCACTATGTTGGCCAGGCTGGTCTTGAACTTCTAAACTCAGGTGATCTGCCCGCCTCGGCCTCCCAAAGTGCCGGGATTACAGGCATGAGCCACCACGCCTGGCCTAGTTTTATTTTAAAATAGCTATAAAAGGGCTCTAATAATCATCCCTACTCCCTACCAATAGTAACTAATCATGAATTAAACAAATTAATTTATGTATTTTGTTTTGAGTCAGTGTCTCGCTCTGTCACCCAGGCTGGAGTGAAGGCATGTGATCATAGCTCACTGCAGCCTGGACCTCCTGGGCTCCAGTGATCCTCCCATCTCAGCCTCCTGAGAAAGCTGGGACTATAGGCGTGCACCACCACGCCTGGCTAATTTTTGTATTTTTTGTAGAGATGGGGTTTCACCATGTTGTCCAGGCTGGTCTTGAACCCTTGGGTTCAACTGATCCTCCTGCCTTGGCCTCCCAAACTGCTGAGATTACAGTAATTTATGTTTAAGACTCTTTTAAAGTGTTCATATCTTATGTTACATTGTATTTTTGTCATTTCTCTAACTACTAAGAGAACTAATCACAGGATAATCCCTCCCCACCTTCATGGCTTATAATTAAAACAAACAAACAAACAAACAGGGAAAGAAAACAGATATGGTAGCATTATCTGTCCTGGGACAGCCTTAAGGATCAACTCTGCCAGACTAAATTGTTACATACTTGAAGGTAGGGGTCATGTTTTAATTACTCTTTGCAAAGAACTATAGCACCACAACACTGTACTCAAAAAGAGAACAAAGGCATGATGTAATATCGAATTTAAATGGAGTGAGAAATTTGCTCAGCTTTCCACAGCCTAAATCAGCTCCTCCCTGATATCCACTCAGCAGTGGAAATTGGAAGCATTCCTCCTCTATCGCAAAGTACCAGGAAAAACCAAAGTAAGTACTTTCTTAAAGTTTGCTGTCTTTCTGGCTCACACTTTTGGGGACAATTAAAAAAATTAAATATTTTAGCCTAAAAGCTTTCCTTAAAAATCTCCTGAATGCTCCTAAACTGCATGTAAAAAAAAGTAAACAGATACTAAGAATATATTGGCTGAGTGCAGTGACTCATGCTTGTAATCCCAGCACTCTGGGAGGCTGAGGCAGGAGGATCACTGAAGCCTAGGAGTTCAATGCTGTAGTGAGTTATGATGGTGCCATTGCATTCCAGCCCCAATAACAGAGCAAGTCTCTGGAGAGAAAGAGAGAGAGAAAGAGGGAGGAGGAGGAAGAAAGAGAGAGAGAGAGAGAGAGAGCGAGCGAACACAAGCGCCAGTGCTTTTGATAAACCTTACTATGACATATCATTACTGGTAAGAAATGTCTACTGTGGCTGGGTGCAGTGGCTCACCCCTGTAATACCAGCACTTTGGGGGCCAAGGCAGGCGGATCACGAGGTCTGGAGATTGAGACCATCCTCGCCAACATGGTGAAACCCCGTCTCTACTAAAAATATAAAAATTAGCCAGGCATGGTGGTGCATGCCTGTAATCCCAGCTACTCAGGAGGCTGAGGCAGGAGAATCACTTGAACCCGGGAGGCAGAGGTTGCAGTGAGCCGAGATCGTGCCACTGCACTCCAGCCTGAGTGAGAGCGAGACTCCGTCTCAAAAAAAAAGAGAAATTTCTACTGTATATCAGGCACTCGATAAATACTGCTAACCAGGACCTACTTCATTTCTGTACCTGGTTTGGGCTATGTTTTAAACCTTAAGATCTAACATAACTTAAGAAAGACTACCTGGATTTGAATCCTGGCTCTGCCACTTACTGTATAGCCTTGGGCAATTTACCGAGCTTCTCTGTACCTTAGTCTGTAATATAGTAAACAAAAAATCACATCAAACCAAAAATGGTTAATAACAGTAGGTAACCAAACCATAAAAGAAAAAACTGATAAAGCTGACTTAATCAGAAGTAAAAACTTTTACTTTTCCGAAGACCAATTAAGAAAATAAAAAGGCAAGATAGACTGGGAGATCATATTTGCCAAAGTGCTTGTCCTTTTAAGTACAACTCAGTAAGACAAACAACTGATGTTTTAAAATGGGCAGAAGATCTGAACAGACACTTTACAAAAGAAAACATACAAATGCCCACTAGGCACAAGAAGAGAGACCCTCAATCATCACTAGTCATCAGGGAAATGCAAACAAAAACCAAGGTGAGATACTACTTCATACTTACTAGAATGGCTAAAGTTAAAAAGATCGACAATACTACGTGTTAATAAGGATATGAAAAACTGAATAGCCCCAAATTGCAAACAACCAAATGTCCTATTTTTGAATGGGTGAACAAACTGTGGCATTCCCAAATTGTGGAATACTTCTCAGGAATTCAACATGCATGAATCCCAAAGTCATTATGTTAAGTGAAAGAAGTCAACACCAAAGATAATACAAGATTCTGTTTATATGAAATTCTACAAAAGGCAAAATTATAGTAACAGAAACCAAGTTAGTGACTGCCTGGGGCTCAGGGTCCAGGAAGGAAAGTGACTGCAAAAGGACATAAAAATACTTTTTAGGGTAAAGAAATTGTTTTATATTTTGATTGTGGTGGTAGTTACAGAAATATTATCAAAATTCATCAAACTATATACTTAAAAGGGTAAACTTTATTATACGTAAATAATACCTCAATAAAAAAACCAAAGTGGCTTCGACACAAATATTAATATGATTGTCACCTAAATTATACTAATTGTACAAAGAATCCAAAAAATAGTAAGATTGAGGCTGGGTGTGGTGGCTCACGCCTGTAATCTCAGCACTTTGGGAGGCCGAGGTGGGTGGATCACGAGGTCAGGAGATCAAGACCATCCTGGCCAACATGGTGAAACCCCATCTCTACTAAAAATACAAAAATTAGCCAGGCATGGTAGTATGCACCTGTAGTCCCAGCTACTCAGGAGGCTGAGGCAAGAGAATCGCTTGAATCCGGGAGGCGGAGGTTGCAATGAGCGGAGATCACGCCACTGCACTCCAGCCTGGGCGACACAGCAAGACTCTGTCTCAAAAAAAAAAAAAAAAAAAAAGGGTAGAAATAATTCTTTCATCCTCCAAATCTATTGCCCTCTTCCATTTTAGTGAAAATATATTTGCTGGGGGGAGTAGGGTAAAAGAACAGAACCCCTATTATAGAAGTATGTATGAAAATCCTTGTTCTTAATTCAGCTTCTTTTTAAATGGGCTATGACCAGTTCTAATAATTCACAACCTCTAATATTTAGTTAAGAAAACCTAGTAAGAGAAATCATCACCTCTTCACTCTAATTTCTGTAACATATTCCACAGTAGTAATAATCAGTTCCCTTAGATTGATTCTGTCTTTCCCAACTTCCTGGGGCTAAGCAAGATGGCTGAGCATTGTTTCCAAGGTTTGTACGCATGCATAGTCAACAGATGAAGTCAGGACCCAAGATGTTATAACACAGCTTTTACCATTCCATTATAAAACCAGTGAAAAATCCTAACACTGCCACAATAATAATCAACATCTGAGTGCTTACCATTTGTTAGGCTGAATGCTAGGCGATGGTGTACATTATCTTAATCCTCAACATAATAATATATACTTATATAATCATATATAATATATGTAGTATATATGATTATCATAACCTTAGATGAAGAAAGTAAAGAATAGAGTTTAAAAGATGGTACGGCTAGCCAGGCGCGGTAGCTCATGCCTGTAATCCCAGCACGTTGGGAGGCCAAAACGGGTGGATCACCTGAGGTCAGGAGTTCAAAACCAGCCTGGCCAACATGGTGAAAGTCCGTCTCTACTAAAAATACAAAATTAGCCAGGTGTGGTGGCGCATGCCTGTAATCCCAGCTACTTGGGAGGCTGAGGCAGGAGAATTGCTTGAACCTGGGAGGTGGAGGTCACAGTGAGCTGAGATCATGCCATTGCACTCCAGCTTGGGCAACAAGAGTAAAACTCCGTCTCAGAAAGAAAAAAAAAAAAAGAAAAGAGAAAAAGATGGTATGATAAAAGCAACAGACATACACAAAGCAAAAGACATATACAAAGCAAGTGTAGGTATAGCTTGAATTTGTGTATTTTATGATATGTTTATCTTTTCAATGGGATTTTTACAGATAGGCTCTTATAGTTCTATGTTAAATACTGAAGTCATACTAGAATCCCCAAATTAGGATGACTTTCCATTGAAATATTTCTATTTATTCCCTTGGGAGAGGTACAATATAAGGGATCAATGGAGTTCAATGAATAATATTTATACTACTGTCCATTTATATTATTTTCTTCATTTTGATAAACTACCTAATGCTATAAAATATAAGTATAAAACTATAGTCTGGGCACAGTGGCTCATGCCTGTAATCCCAGCACTTTGGGAGGATAAGGCAGGCGGATCACCTGAGCTCAAAAGTTCGAGACCACCCTGGGCAACATGGTGAAACCCTGTCTCTACTAAAACACAAAAAATTAGCCAAGCGTGGTGGGGCGCGCCTGAAGTCCCAGATACTGGGGAGGCTGAGGCACGAGAATCACTTGAGCCCCAGAGGCAGACGTTGCAGTGAGCCAAGATCACGCCACTGCACTTCAGCTTGGGCTACAGAGTGAGATTCCATCTCAAAAAAAAAAAAAAAAAGGAAAAAAAAAACCCCACAAAACTATAAACTGCCTAACCAATGTTTCTTGTTTTGTAGGCAACTAAATACGTTATGTTATAGATGTTTTACCAGAGGTATATTGCTCTATCCTAGTATTTCCAATTACCATCTTAAGGAGGCCTCTAAGGGTCTCTTTGTGTTGGTATTAGTCTTTTATGGTTTTTGTTCCCGCATTCTTTACAGAAGGAACAAGAATGGAATCACATAAGCTCTCCACAGACTTCTTTTTACAGAAGCAGGTAAGATTAAGTGGCTTACTCATGTTAACACACCACAAGGAACAGGGAAGACAGGAACCCTGGCTTCCTAATGCCCGGCTGGAAGCTTTTTCCATGAGACCGCACTGACTCTAGACAGGTGTGTCAGAGGTACAAAGTCAACTGAAAGTTGCCTCTTTTTTTCTCCCAACTTGTATTTAAAAAAAATAACTCAGAAAATCTTCTTACTCTGCTTAAAATTCCAGGAAACTCATTCACCATAGTGTTTTACTGAGAAAATCTCAGTAGAGAAGATACCAATATAAATTCTCAACAATTCTTAATTCTGCTCACCAAGATAACTGCTAAAAGGACCTGTTATCTTAACTCTCAGCTTCTTTAAGACAGGAATTCTAAGGATAGAGTAAGGATTTAGCAGGTGGCAGGAACAAGGGGGTCTGACAAGGTCAGTCACTCTTAGGTCACCTAAATAATGATGCCACACCCATTCTGGCAGCCCTGGAGGTTCATATGCCTAAATCAACAACAACAACAACAACAAAATTCTAAAATAACTGTCATAATTATCTGCCACAAGACTGTATTTGATTTTTACTGCTATCTTATTCAAACAAAAAATTAATATCTCATGAGCCATTAACCTACTAAAGACCCAAAGGAGAAGAGAGCAGGGGCGTGGCCAGAACTGGAGCTTGGAAAGAGCACAGCTGGACGGGAAGCAGAATTCACCAGGCACACAAATGATACAGGAAGCAGGGAAGGCTGAGTGGCAAGAGACAGAAAGTAACTCCTCAGTTTCTGCTTACTATATTTCCTTTCCAGATCCATGCTTAGTTAGCAATTCAACTAGATACAGAGCTGAAGGACAAGGGAATGAAGTCCACACATAGCCATGGTGGTGAATAGGGGGAATACTTCTTTTTTCCCTAATCTAGGAACAAACTACAGTTGCTTGTCTGTGGCAGACAAGAATAAAAGATGTAACTCAGCCACCAACTTCCAATAAGCCACATGTTCTACAAAGTTTAATTTGATGTATGGGCTATTATTCCTACAAGATTAAAAAATAAGAACATTAAATGAACTAAAGACATTTAACAGCATTTGAGGCCAGGTGTGGTGGCTCATGCCTATAATCCTAGCACTTTGGGAGGCTGAGGCGGGCAGATTGCTTGAGCCCAGGAGTTCAAGACTAGCCTGGGCAACATGGTGAAACCCTGTCTCTACAAAAAAAAAAAAAAAAAAAAAATTAGGCTGGGCATGGTGGCTCATGCCTGTAATCCCAGGTGTTTGGGTGGGCTGAGGTGGGCGGATCACTTGAGGTGAGGAGTTCATGGCTAGCCTGGCCAACATGGCAAAGCCCCATCTCTACAAAAAACACAAAAATTAGCCAGGCGTGGTGGTGTACGCCTGTAGTCCCAGCTACTTGGGGGGCTTAGGCATGATAATCTTGCTTGAACCTCGGAAGTGGAGGCTGCAGTGGGCCGAGATGGTGCTACTACACTCCAGCCTGGGCAACAGAGCGAGCCAGACATGGTGGCATGCACCTGTATTCCCAGCTATTTGCGGGGCTGAGTTGGGAGGATCACTTGAGCCTGAGAGGTTGAGGCTACAGTGAGCCGGCCCGGGTGACAGATCGAGACCCTGTCTCAAAAAAAAAAGGCATTTGAAAATAATTTAGTAAAAATCATACTTAATACTTGAAAATAGTAGTTCTCAACCTTTTTTCCTCAGGACCCCTTAACATCTTAAAAATTGAGGACTCCAAAGAACTTGTTTATTTGACATATCTACTGAGATTTAGTAAAAAAGTAGTTATTTAATAATTCATTTTAGAATAACCCCATGTTAATATAAGTAATTTAATTTTGTACAAAGTATTTGTATATTTTGTATTTTCCAAAATAAAAAAAAAATTAGTGAGACGAGTGTCATTGTTTTAGAATGTTATACATGTGGAAATGTGTTTGACTTGTAACACGAGACAACCAGATTCTCCTATTTCTGCATTCATCTGTTGCAATTTTGGTTGAAGTACATAGAGAAGAAAATCCAAACCCACAAAGATAGATAGTTGAAAAGGGTAGGAGCCCTTTAACAACCTTTTAGATAATTGTGAATATAATTATCTGATACTACATCAAAACTGTACAACTTGTAAGATTCATAAAAGTCAATTACAATGTGGAAACTGAAAGTGTATCAGTGAACTTTTCATACTGTTACATTAAAATCTGTTGGTCTAACTTTGAATGAATTGTTTATTCACACATGATCTTGTAACATCTTGCATTGGTCACTGAGAAAATATTCATTCTTAGTTATACAGATCTTCCAAATGTGGACACATTTCATTGTATATTTAAAACCACATTCATTAATACCCACCAATCTCATCAGAAAAGTCTTCGGAAGCTGTCAAGCCCACAGTGGCAAATAAGCCCACAGTGGCAAATAGGAGTTCTCCTAAACTATAATTTTTACTTGAAAACTTAATGGCAAAAAACATTGTCAGTTGTTTTTCCTTGAAGTGACAGACTTACTCCATTCATTCTCAGAAAAACACCTGCCAAATACTGAATCAAGTCTGCATAATCAGATTTGCCCTTTCAAGTAAAAATGGTATCTCATGAAATAAATGCAGTTAGTTCAGATCTCAACTAAAACAAGAGCACAAGTACTTTTCCTTGAGACAACCATCATACTTTGGGGGACAGAAGTGCTCTACACGTGCTTCCCTTTCTGTCACAGAATATCAAAGTGATGTGAAACTCAAAGATTGGGTTTCAATAAAACTAATAATTTTTACTGCTTTATCAGGACATTTTTACGTGAAACTAGCTTTTTCCCTTATGTAAATAGTGAAGGAGTGGCAGTGGAAAATACCATGACTACTGGAACAGCTGGTTACCACTGCCTTGATTTGTGTTAAGGAACCAGCAGTTTTTTTACAACTGCAGCTTTTGTACCATCAGTGCAAATAAATGTCAATACAGTAAAATGGCAAATAATATCTTAGTATTGTTATGAAAATAAATGACATTTGGGACCCCCTAAAAAGATCTCAGAGAGCCCTAGGGATTCTCAGACCATTCTTTGAGTACTACTACTCTAAAATTTCTTTACTTTTAGAAAGGATAGAATCCTCTGCTCCTATATATTACAAATAGTAATAAAGCTAAGTAAAACACAACTCAAAAAAATACCCTCTTACCTTTGCCAAGACTAAAGACAAATGGTTCATTTCTATCATGACTGGAATCAAACTTCTTTCCATTTGACAATTTTCCTTTGTAATGGACATAAACTTTGTCTCCAATCATCGGCGTTTCCTCACCATTCCCCACTCTTTTGACAATCTAGAAAAGACAAACATTAAGAAAAAGGAGGTCAAACTTTTTACTTGTAATCAGAGAATAAAAAGGTCACACAGTCCATCCCAAGACATCCAGGCAGATATGCAAATATACTATTATCCATTCTTTCTAATGCCTCCCTTCATTCCTCACAATAACTCATTGTTAGAAAACTGTCCTTTACCAACTTGTCTTTTATGTTATATCTACTTTTATTGCTAATCGCACTATTTATTCCTTCAAAGAATTAACCAATAAATCCTGTTCATTGGTTTAATGCCCTATATTTTGACAGTAAACTCTTTTTTTTTTTTTTTTTTTTTTTTGAGACGGAGTCTTGCCCTGTCGCCCAGGCTGGAGTGCAATGGCACGATCTCGGCTCACTGCAACCTCTGCCTCCCAGGTTGAAGCAATTCTCCTGCCTCAGCCTCCCGAGTAGCTGGGATTACAGGCGTGCGCCTCCGTGCTCAGCTAATTTTTGTATTTTTAGTAGAGATGGGGTTTCACCATGTTGGCCAGGCTGGTCTCGAACTCCTGACCTCGTGATCCACCCGCCTCAGCCTCCCAAAGTGCTGGGATTACAAGCATGAGCCACCGCGCCCGACACTAAACTCTCTAACACAGGCTTGTGAGCTAGTCCATATACACACGGACTTAGACCAGAAAGAATGGTGGACTTTTAAAATATTCAAAAAGAAGCTTAAGCAAAGCTTCAAAGGTGTAATTTTATTTCCCTCCTTTGCTAAAAACATTAGCTCCTGACTAGATTCTGCTTGTTTATTTTCAGAAAGCCCAATTTCCTGGTAAAACAGGTTACATTTCCTATTATTTGAAACATAGTCTATCTGTAAAAAACATGAGTATCATTGCACTGCTTGATATGATACTGAATAACTTGTTTTCTAGTAAAGTATTTAACTACTGTAAAATCCAGTGTATTTATTTTGTTCTTGGCAGAGCAAGCTGCTAATGTATTTGGTCAGTTCTGGGAAAAGAAAATCAAACCCAGGTGTGTGATGGTGTAATTTGTTAATTTGTAATCTATGCCAAATTAATCATTTTTGGTAGATAACAGAGGATGGTAGCTAACATCTGATGAACATCTTTTTGGGGAAGGAGTTTGCTTTGAGTTTTATTTAAATAATTCGATTATTTGCTCCTAAATTCTTTTTTTACAAGTATACCGTCCACCTAACATAAATATCACATAAACACTGTGAACTTAAATTCCACAGCTTTCTTAACTCAAAAGCCCAAACATCTTTATTTTATTTTTTGAGACAGGGTCTTGCTCTTTTACCCAGGCTAGAGTGCATGCGGTGGTACAATCATAGCTCACTGTAGCCTCTATCACTCAGCTCAAGTGATCATCCCACCTCAGCCTCCCGAGTAGCAGAGACTACAGGCACATGCCACCACGCCTGGCAAATTTTTTTATTTTTAGTAGAGATGAGATCTTGCTACATTGCCCAGGCTGGTTTGGAACTCCTGAGTTCCAATGATTCTCCCGCCTCAGCCTCCTAAAGTGCTGAGATTACTGGTATAAGCTATCGCACCCAGCCCCAAATATTCTTTAAAGGCAAAGAAACACTACTGCCCTTCTAGGACTTCAAAAGAAAAAAAAAGTCTCAAAACATTAATCTAAAAGATATTACACAATATTCTACAAGTGCTCATGTTCACGAACTGCATGTGGTATTTGGGAGGCTATGCTCAACTGTAAGCCTCACGTGGAAGGAATCTGCATTTCTAGGACTATAAACAGTAACTGGGCATGTGGGATGAATGGCTACCAGAGAGTCAGAGAGCCATCCACACCAGCAAGTGGTACTATGGTATCACTTCAGGCTTCCCTAGCAAGATGAATTTGTACCTAAATCTAGAGTTGCCTTAAGAACACAATCTAGGTTCTATTCATTTTTAAAATATAAATCCATCTTTTATCTTCCTCAGATAGTTACTGAATTTCCAAACCAGCACTGGTTCTTTTTTTAAAAATACGTAATAGTTAATAAGATAGATTACTATAGGACAGGCACTATGCTAAGTGCTTCACCTAATCCTAATAACTCTATGAGGTTGATGGCATTATTATTCTAATTTTACAAACAGGAACTTAATCACAGAGAGGTTAACTAAATTGCCCTAGCTTGCACAGTTACTAGACCTATTTAAATCTTAACCAAAAGCCTCATGGTGAAATCCGAGGCTCTAGACAATGATAAATGATATAATTTAAAGGGCTTCAAATCTCAAATGTTTCTTAATAAGCCTAAAAATCTTGCAATTAGATTTACTCCCTAGAACAGAACAGGGTCTGAGGCAAGTTGGGGATCATGTTCTCTGGGCATGGGCACTCTGAAAAGATGAAAGGGTAAGTCGTAAACAGAGGCAGGGAGATGCTGAGGACAGCCTGCAAAGTCTCCACTGTTTCTAGAAGCTTCCTGGAATTTAGGATGAGTAACTATAGCTACAAGGTTGAGAAGCCTTCTAAAAAAAGACAATAGGATGTAAATCTATAGCATAAAGCCCTTATTCTATAGCTGCAAGTCCCCAAAATTTGACTTAGCACATAATAGCAATTCACATATATTCAGAAGAGATCCAGGCACAGAAGGCTTTCACATAAGCAAAGTTATACAAAACAAAAATTCTTACTTGCTACTGCTGGCACAAGAGATATTAAAACTCAGCATCCTGGTAATATTCAGAATGCATCAGATAATCTTTTCAGGAAAAACAAAACTTAACTATACAAAACTTACATGTGTTAACAATGGTGTAGGAGAAATAACTATTTAATGTGACTAAAGCCACTTAACCTTTCTCAGATTCAGTTTATTCACTTATAAGATGGAAGAATCAAGAGATGCTCTGATTGTCTCACCACATTGTTGTAAGAAACAAAACAAAAGAAATGCACGTGAAAATGATTAACTATAGAGTGAAGAAACACACACAGTCATGCATCGCTTAAGGACAGGGATATGTTCTGAGAAATGTGTTCTTAGATGATTTCATCCTTATGTGAACATCGCAGAGTGTACTTACACAAACCTAGATGGCCTGGCCTACTTGTACACACCCACGTTAGGTGGTTTGGCCTACTGCTCCAAGGCTACAAACCTGTACATTGTGTTACTGCACTGAATACTGCAGGCAATTGTAAAACAGTGGTATTTGTGTATCTAAGCATATCTCAACATAGAAAAAGGTACAGTAATAAAAGGTATACAAGAAAAAAAATGGTACACCTATACAGAACACTTACCATGAATGGAACTTGCAGGACTGGAAGTTGTTCTGGATGAGTCAGCGAGTGAGCAGTGAGTGAACATGAAGGCCTAGGATATTACCATACACTACCGTAGACTTTATAAACACTGGACACCTAGACTACATTTATTTTAAAATTTTTCTTCTTTCTTTAATAATAAATCAATCTTAGCTTACTATAACATTTTTACTGTGTAAACTTTTTTTTTAGCTTTGACTCTTGTAATGACACTTAGAACACAAACACTGTACAGCTGTACAAAAATATTTTCTTTCTTTATATCCTTATTCTATAAGCATTTTTCTGTTTTTTAAATTTTTTATTCTTTTACTTTTTAAACTTTTTTTTGTTTAAAACTAAGACACAAACACATACATAAACCTAGGCCTACAGAGGGTCAGGATCATCAGTATCACTGTCTTCCACCAACACATCTTGTCCCACTGGAAGGTCTTCAGGACAGTAACATGCATGGAGCTGCTGTCTCCTATAATAACAATGCCTTCTTCTTGAATACCTCCTGAGGGACCTGCCCAAGGCTGTTTTTTGTTTGTTCATTTGTTTTTGAGACAGGATCTCACTCTCACCCAGGCTAGAATGCAGTGGTATGATCATAGTTCACTGCAGCTTGGAACTCCCAGGCTTACATGATCCTCCTGCCTCAGTCTCCTGAGTAGTAGAAACTACAGGTACATGCCACTATGCCTGGCTAATTTTTTTAATTTTTTTTCTACAGATAGGGGTCTTACTATGTTGCCCAGGCTGGTCTTGAACTCCTGGCCTCAAGTGATCCTCTTGCTTTGGCCTCCCAGGGTGCTGGGATTACAGGCATGAGCCACTGCACTCAGCCAAGGGTGTTTTACAGTTAACTTTTTAAAAAATAAGAAGCACACTCTAAAATAATGATAGAAAGTATAGTAAACACATAAACCAGTAATATAAACATTTATTATCAAGTATTATGTACTATACATAACTGTGACTGCAGTGCAGTAGGTTTGTTTACACCCACATCACCACAAACACATAATACACTGTACTACCCATGCTACAACAGCTATGGCACCACTAGGCCATAGGAACTTTTCGGCCCCATTATAATCTTATGGGACCACTGCTGAAGGTGCAGTCTGTCACTGACTGAAATGTCATTATATGGTGAATGACTGTATAGTGCTTTAATAAGTAGGAAAGCTAATTCAAAAGTAAGATATATTCTAAGAGGAAATCGCAAAAGATATCTTCACTGTACACAGGAACAATATTTATATATAAAAATAAACCCCTTTGGGCCGGGCACGGTGGCTCATGCCTGTAATCCCAACACTTTGCGAGGCCAAGGCAGGCGGATCACCTGAGGTCAGGAGTTCAAGACCAGCCTGGCCAACATGGTGAAACCCTGTCTCTACAAAAATTAGCGAGGCATGGTAGCAGGCGCCTGTAATCCCAGCTACTCGGGAGGCTGAGGCAGAATTGCTTGAATCCAGGAGGCGGAGGTTGCAGTGAGCTGAGATCATACCACTGCACTCTAGCCCAGGCAACAGAGGGAGACTCTGTCTCAAAATAAAATAAAATAAAATAAAATAAAATAAAATAAAATAAAATAAAACCCCTTTGAATTTTTCAAGTTAGCTTTTCTTTCCTTAAAAAGTCTTCAAAATTGTCATTAGCTAGCTTTAGTGTACTAAAAGGATACATTAAAATAGTAACCTATTTGTATACTCTGAGAATAGGGAAATATAGCCCTTTAGAGTGAGATATAACTTGGACCTGAACCCCAGGTAAATCTGCATTACTAAGATATATGATATTAGGCAAGTTAATTTACCTAGCCCAGTCTCAATTTCAACATCTATAATCTGGGATTAAAAATTAAAATCTCTAGCTGGGCACAGTGGCTCGTGCCTATAATCCCAGCTACTCAGAAGGCTGAGGTGGGAGGATTGCTTGAGGCCAGGATTTCAAGACTTGCCTGAGCAACATAATGAGATGCCCTCTCTCAAAAATTTAATTAATTAATTTAAAAAGAAAATCCCAGCTACTCAGGAAGCTGAGATGGGAAGATCACTTGAACCCAGGAGCTCAAGACCAGCCTGGGCAACATAACGAGACTCAACTCTTAAAAAAAACCTTGAAGTTATGAAGACAAAATGAGAATCTAGCTCTAGTGTTTGGCACTTAGTAACCATCAATAAACATTATCCACCCCAGCCCCCCTCAGAAAGAGATGCTATAATCTTTCCAGACAGCAGGTTTCCTTGTATGTCACTCAGCTTTGTGGCCTCACCTTTAATACTCCCCTGTCTTTTTTGGAGGTAATATCCTCTCCCTGCTCAGCAACAGTGGCTGTGGGGCTTTCTTCATTGTTCTTGGCACCTTCATCAGTAGTCATTGTCTTTTAAGTAGAGAACCTGGTAAGAAGAAAAATATTTTAGCTGGGAAAAATATCACTTCTTTATGAATCTTGAATGTCCCTGGGAACTGAGCTCTACCTAACCTAAGATTTACTTAGGGCCAATAAGCTTAGATACTGAAAATGAAAACAAAGGCATTTGCTATGAGCATGTATTGATGTCATCAGGCATGTAAATAAAACATCATCCAATTCTTTAATTTCCCATCTAGCTCTGGTCTCAAAACAGAGAACAGTACAAGTCAAGTTGGGTAGTGATTACATTCCTTAACATAACATGGTGAGAAGCAGTCCCTTCACAACTTTGAAAACATCCTTTTTCTACAGCCATATTCTTGACAGAGGATTAAGACCTTATCAGTTCTTAATAAAAGAAGTGACAATATATCAATCACAGTGAGACACAGAACAGGATTTAGAATCCAACAGACCCAAGTCTGGGTCCTAGCTGCAGCTCTTGACATTTCCAGTTTCCTTAATCTTGCTGAGCCTTCATTTTTCATCTGCAAAATGGACACAGTACACTATTCATAGTTACAGTGAGATAACATTTCTTAAAAGATTAGCATAGATTGGTAACTTAAACATATTTAACCATTTATCAT
Source organism: Homo sapiens (assembly GCF_000001405.40). Taxonomy (NCBI): domain Eukaryota; kingdom Metazoa; phylum Chordata; class Mammalia; order Primates; family Hominidae; genus Homo; species Homo sapiens. The sequence goes on from NC_000006.12 coordinate 35,643,451, forward strand.
CATTATTGGGCCTTCTGTAGGGTCATTTTTCATCTCCTGCCCAAAATACCTACAGAATGTTCTTCCATGTGGCATTCAAGGCCCTTCACAATCTGGCCCTAATCTATCTTTGAGTTCTAGCTGCCATTATTTTATTTTACTTTCTTTCATGCAGCTCATGCTCCAGCCAAACTAGGCCAATTCCACCTCTACAACAAACCCAGTGCTTTCCCATAGTCATTCTTCTGGTCACTCCCTTTCTTGTTTCCAAAACATCCACCTCTCTCAAATCCTACTTCTGTCATACCAACCTTGACCCTCTATTTGTAGGCCATTTTGCCCTTTTACGTACTTCCTTAGCTCTTCTCTCGATTTGTTGTCTGTAAGAGATTCATAAGACTATGCGCCTGTTAGGTTTAAAAGATCCTTCAGAGCAAGGTCCATGCTTTGTTCATATTTAGATTCCCTAGAATGCCTCTACCTTTGAGAATGGTAAGACAAAAAGTGCAAGGAATTTGTAATGGAATTTGGGGGTGTTCTTCCTCTGCTCCTTACAAGCTGTTTGATGTTGGCTACCTTAACTTCTCTAAGATTTTTTCCTTACCTATGTGATTAGAATAAAAATATCTGTTTTCACAGATAATCTTCTGAAGTGGTATAATGTGTATTTTTAAGGTATACTATTCAAATGTTAGCTCTTATTGTTATTGGTAGTCACCTGACAGACATTTTTTCATGCAAGGCAAGCCAATGTAACCAACAGGCTAATCATAGGCTAAGCAAAACACACCTAACCACTGCCATGATGAATTCCACACTGCTCCCTGTTTGGGCAGGGAAAATCAAGAAGGAATCACTCCTACAGCTATTACACATTAGGCTAATAACAAACTTAATGCCCCCTAAACTCATCTCCTGAGCCTTCTTGTCTACAGAGTCAAAGAGTCTTTCTGCACTTGCAGAAAATGTCTTATTGATACAACTATAATTAGACAACTAAAACATATACTGTAGTGTTTTAACTCATTTCCAAATGACCACTATTCAGTTCAACAGAGACACAAATCCAATTGTTGTGCCCCAAAATCTTCAAATGAGAACACCAAAAACCAGGGGCTAAGTCTCTCTGCTCTAGTTTCTAGTACGCTTTATACCAAACATGAAAGATCCAAATGTTTGGCTCAGGATAAGCGAAAGGCCAGAACAATCGTTCTCAAACAAACAACAAAAATTATGTACCTAGCTCTACATGAGGTGAGCTAGATAATCAGGAAAATCAGAAGAACGGGATTGGTTCCCAGCTTCTAGAAACCCACTGCTTATAATATGCTTCTGTGATGCACAGAAACTTGTAAAAGGCACCTTGATAACAGAGGGAAAAGATCTCTTAAATATTTGGAGGGTCCTGGACTGTATGCCTGGGAAAATATATGCACACAAAAAAATTTCCTGGGGATTCACAGAGATGCTGACATCCATCAATAGATCTCTGGGTGTAAAGCACTGAACAAATGAAAACCACCAGGTGAGAGGTTATTGGGAAAGTACCCCACAGATTACTTATTATTAAAAAAGGAAAAAGACCTTTCAAGTAAAACAATCTGACTGATAACACTTTAACAAATGATCTGCATCATAACCAAACTCTGCATCACCAATAATGAAAAAAAGTGCTATTACTCTGTCTCCTAATATGATGTAGTGATGTGATTTAGATGTGCTATCACCTATGTGCTATCCCTATCAAAAATGTTTAACCTGAAACTAACCAGGAAGAAAAGACAAAAACAGATTGTGGAGCACTCTACAAGACCATTGGCCTACACTCCTGAAAAAATGTTAACAACATAAAGAACCAAAAAGGTGGCGTGCACCTGTAGTCCCAACTACTCAGGTGGCTGAGATGGAAGGACTATTGATTGAGCTCAGGAGTTTGAGACTGCAGTGAACTGTGATCATGCCACTGTACTCCAGCCTGGGCCGAAGGGTGAGACCCCATCTCTTAAAAGATAAAAAAAGAGAGAGAAAGAGAGAGAGGGAGAGACGGGAGGTCTGTTCCAGATTAAAGGAGACTATAGAGATATGACAACCAAGTGTAATCAGTGATCCTTGGCTGGATCCTGGATTAGGGGACAAAATATAAGAACTTGGAACAGGAGACTGCATATTAGCTTATTACTACTATATGTCAGCCTTTTGGAATGTGATATAGTATTATGGTTTTATGCAGAGTAATATCCTTGTTCATAGGAGACACATGCTGTAGTATTTAGGGGTGAGGTGTCATGATATCTGCCACTTGCTTTCAAATCATCCAAAGACAATGCTTTCTTTTGAATGTTCATCATTTGGAGTTCAGCTAAATTTTTAAATGAAAATACTGTCAATGAAGAAATGTTTTCAGGCTGGGAACAGTGGCTTACGCCTGTAATCTCAACACTTTGGGAGGCTGAGGCGGGTGGGATCACTTGAGGCCAGGAGTTTGAGACCAGCCTGGCCAACATGATGAAACCCCGTCTCTACTAAAAATACAAAAATTAGCCAGGCGTGGTGGCACACGCCTGTAATCCCAGCTACTCGGGTGGCTGAGGCACAAGAATCACTTGAACCTGGGAGGCAGAAGTTGCAGTGAGCCGAGGTCATGCCACTGCACTCTAGCCTGGGTGACAGAGCAAGACTCTTTCTCAAAAAAAAGAGAGAGGAAAAAAAGAAACATTTTCTTTTGGTTCTCACCTTGCTATTTTGAAAACAATGGCTTGTTTAAATTCGAGTAAATAGGCAACCTGTATAAGCTGATTTACTAGCTTTCTAAATCCCATTTGATAAAGGAATTAGCTCTTCATGTTTTGGCTCCAACACTTCAAGGGATGCAAGTCATCTTAGTAATCTCAGAGGATGGCTCTTGTCAGTAGTACTGAGTCCATATGAAGAGAAGTACTATGAATAATTAAAACACAAAGATAAAAACAACAAGAAAACAAACTTTTGAACTTTCAAAAGCAGATAAAGCTGGAAGAATAAAGACATAAACTGAATTTTCCAAGTATTTCCCCTTAATTCCAGTTAAGCCATTAGGAGTATAGGTTTTTGTAAGCTAACAAAACAAATAAAACTTTTTCCTTGATTGAATGTTATATAAAAAAGACAGTAAGGACAGACAATTCCTAAAAACTGTAATGACACACTGAGACAGTTTCACCATTTTTATAAGAGAGACTTTTCTTCTTTCCCTCACCCTAGATTTATTCTGGATTTAAAATCACTATGTAGCTATGGATATTAATCTATGATAAAGCTTACTGTGCTGAACTGTCCAAAGGCGGAAAATTGCTACCCAATGCATCAGAAAGGGAACACAGTTCGTTCTGTTATGGACATGGCAGATAAGCATACACTCTCCAAAGTGCTAGTCAGCAAACACCTGAGACATAACAGAAAAATGAGAATACACTTAATATTTTATCAACAGTGTACTAAAAATTTCAGTTAACATAACTAAACTATCAGGTCCCCCAAATGAGAAGTCATTTTAAAGCCATATCTACCAATTCCCTATGTATATTATGTAAATTACTGTATTGTTCTCTTTGTTAAAATATCAGTGTCTTGCCTCAGATTATGCTACTAACAGGAGAGTTTTCAGAAAGATATTTCTTTGGTAAACTTATTTTTCTTCTCGGAACAAATAATTACTGAAGAAAACAAAGCTAAGAGACCACACTTCCCCTGACTCTGAGTGCTGAGTTGGATAAATTACTGTTTTCAAGTAAGCAGAAAGCAAAGGATTATATTAAAACAAACAAAAAAACCCCAGAAAATATTAGACTATCCAAATGTTACCATTATATACTAAAGGATGAACCTGAATACAGGATTATTCCCCTTAATATGATTTTACCCTATTTGGCCTCAAAAAGGTTGAACGACAGGACTAAGTCATCAACTTCCTCTCCCCAGGAAGATGCTGGGATGACAAGAAAAAGTTTTTAAAATCTGCAAAACTCTGAGGTGGAAAACAAGACATGTTCCTAACTGAACCAGAACTTTGGGGGAATTTCTGAACACTACACAGCAGATGAGGTCAGACCGAAGGAGAGAGCAAAGAAGAGAAAGTTGCCTCCCAAACACCAACTGTTAAGAGCAGCTCTTCCCAGGGAGCCTGGAGAAGCTCTAGGTCTGGGGTCAGCCCCAGAAAGCAGGAGTGAGCTAGGGGAATGCACTGGAGAGCAGCATCTGGGGGAAAAAGCAGAAACTGTGTTTGGATCAGTTAGGCCAGGTAGGTTTCTTTCCTTCCAGAGTGCACACTGTGGCTCCCATCTTTTCTTCTCTGGAAGACATAATAATCCTTATTTTTGGAGTTCAGACCCATCGAAAGGATATGTCAAGGTACTTGTCTTCTTTCCTTAATTCCTGCAGGGGCCTTGATATTCTGGCCCTTAACTGCTGAAGACAAGTCTTTGCAGAATCTCCAGAAAAATTTTCTAGCATTATTTCTTTTCCTTTGATGTCTCTGTCCTCTACTTCTAGAAGTATTATTAGATAGACTTCGGACATTTTGGTATTATTCTTCAGGTTTCTTAAGTATTTTTCTAAACCTGGGCTAAACAACAGAATCACCTGAGGAGCTTAAAAAAGCTACTGATGTCTGGACTCCAGCCCAGAGAGTCTGGATTTAATTGGTCTGTGGTGGGGCCAGGGTAATGGTGTTTTCAAAAACCATGTTAGATGATCCTAATGTGCAGTCAGACATGGTTGAGAACCACTGGACATTTCTCCCATTTTTCATCTTTGTCTCTGGCTTTATACCCTAAGAGAAATTCTTTGATGGAATTTTTATTTATTTCTTATTGTCTCTTAAGAGACAGGGTCTTGCTCTGTTGCCCAGGCTGGAGTGCAGTGGTACCGTCATAGCTCACTGCAGCCTTGAATTCCTGGGCTCAAGCAATCCTCCCCTTCAGCCACCCTAGTAGTTCAAACTATAGACATGTGCCACCACACCTAATGTTTTTTTTTTATTATTTTTTTCAGAAGAGACAGGGTCTCACTATGTTGCCCAGGCTGGTCTTGAAGTGATCCTGGGCTCAAGTGATCCTCCCACTTCGTCCTCTCAAAGTGCTAGGATTATTAAGAGTGAGCCACCACACCTGGCCTGATGGAATTTTTACAACACCATTTGGTCATCAGCTATATTCAATATATCATTTAGTGTGCTCAAGAGATTTTTAAAAGAATTTAGTGGCCAGGTGAGGTGGCTCAAGCCTGTAATCCTAGCAATTTGGGAGGCCAGAGCAGCCAGATGACTTGAGGTCAGGAGTTTGAGACAAGCCTGGCTAATATGGAAAAACCCCATCTCTACTGAAAATACAAAAACTGGCTGGGCATGGTGGCGGGCACCTGTAATTCCAGCTATTCAGGTGGCTGAGACAGGAGAATCGCTTGAACCCTGGAGACGGAGGTTGCAGTGAGCGGAGATTGTGCCATTGCACTCCAGCCTGGAGGATAAGAGTGAAACTCCATCTCAAAAAATAAAAATAAAAAAAGGCCAGGCGGGATGGCTCACATCTGTAATCCCAGCACTTTGGGAGGCCAAGGCAGACGGATCACAAAGTCAGGAGATCGAGACCATCCTGGCTAATATGGTGAAACCCTGTCTCTACTAAAAATACAAAATATTAGCCGGGCGTGGTGGCGAGCGCCTGTAGTTCCAGCTACTTGGGAGGCTGAGGCAGAAGAATGGCGTGAACCCGGGAGGCAGAGCTTGCAGTGAGCCAAGATCGCACCACTGCACTCCAGCCTGGGCGACAGAGCAAGACTCTGTCTAAAAAAAAAAAAAAAAAAAAGAATTTAGTAATAATGTTTTTTATTTTACATATTCTTATCGGATTGCTCATTTTCTTAGCACTAAGTCTTTATTTTGTAGATGCAATTACCTCTGAAATCTTTCTGAAGATACTACTGAGAATAAAATGGAGCATTTCTTATGAGTAAGTATTTGGCTAAAAGGTTTTTTTTTTTTAAAGAAAAAAAATGCCTCGACCTTCTGGGAGGTGGCATTTTGTGTAACCTCTAGCATCTCCCAAGAACACTAAGCAGTGGGGATTCTCTGAAGTTTGAGAAGGTAAGAACTGAAAATAAGAGAAAGGTAGCTTATTGTAAACATGAAAGTTAAAAGTAGAAGAGAGATGTAGAGAGAGGCAAAAGTCACAGGTGAGAAGTTTGATACTTATACTAGGGTTATAAAGGCGAAACATGAAATGCTTTGAGTGAAAGGGGAGTAGAGAGCAAAGGCTTGAGAAAAGAACCAGACAGGCTTAAATGCATATAGGGAAAAGAATCAAGGGAAGATGAAAAAGTCATGATGCAAGAATAGCATGGATCAGTTCATCAACTAAACACAGATCACTTAGTTCCAGCTAAATTTTAACCGTATGGCTAAATAAAAGTATTTCAAAGTTTTTCCTTAAAAGGATGGTCATGGGAATGTTAGACTAAAATTTGGCAAATGCATACTATAAAAATATACAGTTTTTGAAAAGCATGAGATAAATCTATACAGTAGAGAATCATTTAGCTAAGAGTCTAAACAAAAACATCCAAACAACTAAATTGGGAAACTATTTTGTAAATGTTCATCCATTATAAAAGAATGCCAGGCGCAGTGGCTCACACCTGTAATCCCAGTACTTTGGGATGTCAAGGCTTGAGCCCAGGAGTTTGAGACCAGCTTGGGCAACACAGTGAGACCCGATCTCTGCTAAAAATAAAAAATACACGCCTGTGGTCCCAGCTACTGGAGAGGCTGAGGCAGGAGTATCACGCCATGGTTGCACCACTGCACTGCAGCCTGGGCAACAGAGCAAGATATTGTCCAAAAAAAAAAAAAAAAAGGAAAAAAGAATAGCATTGTAGTAAATGAAGTGTATTGTTAATGGTGCATAGTGCCCAGTGATGATTTGGTTATCTGGACCATTGAAAAAAAAAAAAGTCAGTTGATGATGCCACAATGGGCTAATACATGTAACACAAACAGTGTAATTTATTTTTTATTTTTTTAAATTTTTTGAGACAGACTCTTGCTCTGTTGCCCAGGCTGGAGTGCAGTGGCCTGATCTTGGCTCACTGCAATCTCCGCCTCCTAGGTTCAAATGATACTCCTGCCTCAGCCTCCTGAGTAGCTGGGATTACAGGTGTGCGCCACCAATGCCCGGCTAATTTTTGTATTTTTAGTAGAGATGGGGTTTCGCCATGTTAGCCATGCTGGTCTCGAACTCCTTCAGCTCAAGTGACCCGCCCGCCTCAGCCTCCCAAAGTGCTGGGATCACAGACATGAGCCACCGCACCTGGCACAAACAGTGTAATTTATACCAATATATTTGCAGCCACCAACCATGGTTCCCAGTTGTTTGTAGATTTTGGTGGGTGGGTGGGTATGATCATTTTAGAGCACTGGATTACAATTATGCAAATATTGTTCATTACATGCCAAAATGTCTTTTTCACTGTTTTCCCTTTAAGACAGCTAATCTCTGAAAATATCACTAATATGGAGCAGGTGACGTCTTACCCATTCCACATAAACAATCTTCTAATACTCACATGAAAAGACAGATGGATTTTCAAGATGTACTATTAAGTGAATGGTGAGTTGCAGAATGATTTGTAACATGATCCTATTTCCAAGAGGAAAAAAGTATATATGTGTTTGTATATTTGCTTATATATAGAAGAAGTTTGGAAAGATAACTTACCAAACTGCTCAAACAGTGTTACCTCTGGAGAATGAGATTTGGGAAGATAAGAAGGAATTTTCACTTCTTAGATTTTATTTTTATATTATTTAAATAGTTTAACATTAAACATGTATTACTTTCATGATCTTTTTAAACTTAGGGAAAAAAGATGAAACATTTCATGGTTCCACTCATCAGGACTTTTTATTCTTTCTCTTCAATTTAATTCGAACATTTCAGATTGCTTTTTATGGAGAGCAAGAGAACTCTGGCTGGGGTATGTTGAGCAAGGGGTGCTTGTGCGATGTCCAGAAGGTTATCAGAGATAAGGCCTGAGCTCAGGAGAGAAGTGTGGGTGACAGTTATATGTTGGGGAGTCATCAGATTCTACACAATAATTAAGATAAAAAGTACTGTTGCAGTTATATACTACTAAGCAAATAAAACCGTGGCTTTCAAACTTTTAATATCCAAGTCTTACTTCTGATTAGGTTGAGCATTCCTAATTGGAAAAATCCGAAATCCAAGATGCTCCAAACTCTGAAACTTTTTGAATTCTAACATGATGCCACAAGTGAAAAACTCCACACCTAATACTTGTTTTCTAATGATTCAAGGTACACAAATTTTATTTAATGCACAAAATTATTAAAAATACTGTATACTACACTGTTTTTGTTTAACTTGTGGACAAAGACTTATGGTTAGGTGCAAAAAATAAATCCTCTTTTGCAACCCAGAACTCATTGTTCAGTATGAGTTTTGATACATATAAGAAGGTGTTGCAGGAAGTCAGGGACCCCAAACGGAGGAACCGGCTGAAGCCATGACAGAAGAACGTGGATTATGAAGATTTTATGGACATTTATTAGTTCCCCAAATTAATATTTTTGTAATTTCTTATGCCTGTCTTTACTGCACTCTCTAAACATAAATTGTAAAGATTTCATGGACACTTATCACTTCCCCAATCAATACCCTTGTGATTTCCTATGCCTGTCTTTACTTTAATCTCTTAATCCTGTCAGCCGAGAAGGATGTGTATCGTCTCAGGACCCTGTAATAATTGCGTTAAGTACACAAATTGTACAGCATGTGTGTTTGAGCAATATGAAATGTGGGCACCCTGAAAAAAGAACAGGATAACAGCAATTGTTCAGGGAATAAGAGAGATAACCTTAAACTCTGACCGCCGGTGAGCCGGGCAGAACAGAGCCATATTTCTCTTCTTTCAAAAGCAAATGGGAGAAATATTACTGAATTCCTTTTCTCAGCATGGAAAGTCCCTGAGAAAGAGAATGCGCACCTAGGGGTAGGTCTCTGAACTGGCCCCCCCGGGGCATACCTGTCTCTTATGGTCGAGATTGCAGAGGTGAAATAAACTCCAGTCTCCCATAGCGCTCCCAGGCTTATTAGGAAGAGGAAATTCCCGCCTAATAAACTTTGGTCAGACTAGTTGATCTCAAAACCCTGTCTCCTGATAAGATGTTATCAATGACAATGGTGCCCGAAACTTTATTAGCAATTTTAATTTCGCCTCTGTCCTGTGGTCCTGTGATCTCGCCCTGCCTCCACTTGCTTTGTGATATTCTATTACCCTGTTAAGTACTTGACGTCTGTCACCCACAACTATTCGCACACTCCCTCCCCTTTTGAAAATCCCTAATAAAAACTTGCTGGTTTTTGTGGCTTGTGGGGCATCACGGATCCTACCAATGTGTGATGTCTCCCCCGGACGCCCAGCTTTAAAATTTCTCTCTTTTGTACTCTGTCCTTTTATTTCTCAAGCCAGCTGACGCTTAGGAAAATAGAAAAGAACCTACGTGATTATCGGGGCAGGTCCCCCGATAAGAAGGGATATTATGATACCTGAGACAGTTAACTGATGGGAGTATTGATAGACATAAAGGTTGGTTCCAGGCCAGGCACAGTGGCTCAAGCCTGCAATCCCCACACCGAGGCGGGAGTATTGCTTGAAACCAGGAGTTCAAGACCAGCCTGGGCAAGAAAGTAACAAACACCTCATCTTCACAAAAATTTAAAAATTAGCTGGGTATTGGGGCATGTGCCTGTAGCTGCAGCTACTCAGGAAGGGGAGGCTGAGGCAAAAGGATTGAGCTCAGGAGTTGGAGGCTGCACTGAGCTTTGATGGCACCACTGTACTCCAGCCTGGGTAACAAAGACCCTGTCTCTTAATAAAAAAAGATGGATTCTAGGACTGTAGAATAGATAGTTAAACAGCATGGGATATGAGGGAAGTCCTCAGCAGTATTAATTTTGCATTCCAATTTCATATTGACGATACATATGATGGCTTTTTGTTTTAATGGAGTTATCTTGAGAACATGATATCTGGAGTTAAAGGTACTGGCATATTCCACACATCTGTACTATTCTTGAGTGTCATCGCTTAGGAATGAATATGATTTGAATTCATTCATGTTAAGAGAGGGTGTCAAATTGAGAACCAGGCAGATCCACCACCTACAGTAAAAAGGACCCTAAAGTACACTGGTTGAAGAAATTAGATCCCAAAGATTCTTGGTGAATTTTGAAGTCTTCATCAGTATATCCATATTAAAAGGAGATGACAGAAGCCAAAATAAAAGAATTATGGGCTGACAGGACAAGTGGATTAAAATAAGCATCAGTTTCATTAAAAATGGCTAACTTGAAGATAAATCTTTTGACTCCAGCTCTTTAGAGGATCTAAAGTGGCCCTGATGGATAGTGGAAGAAATCACAACATGGAATTCCATGAATAAAAATTTATTGACTTAAAAAAAATAATAAAAATAAAAAATATTGTATAATATTACCTTCAGGCTGTGTGTATAAGTACATGTGAACATAAATAAATTTCATGTTTACATCTGGGTTCCATCCCCAAGATACTATATCTCATGTATACATGTATGTGCATATGGTCAATTGACAATGTCACAATGGGCTAATACATGTGATACAAACAGTGTGGTTTATCATAGTTATTTGCAGCAAACAACCACAGTTCCTTATTGTTTATAGATTTTGGTGGGTACAATCATTTTAGAACACTGGATTATAATTATGCAAATATTATGCATTACATGCCAAAATATCTTTTTTCCCTTAGAGAAATTTGCAAATATTCCAAAATCTGAAAAACTCCAAGATCCAAAACACTTCTTGTCCCAAGCATTTTGGATAAATGATACTTGACAACCTGCAGTACTTTTGGCAGCATAATTGAATAATTAAAACTCAAACCATCACTAAAGAAGTCAGCAAGACTATGATGGATTTTAAAAGATCTACAGCACTTAGAAAGTGTCTGAAGTTAGTGTACTATTCCCCTCATTGTCTTTTAATACCATACCATACCATTGTTCAAATAAAACTACTTACTGCTGTTTTACCCCCTGAAGCAACCTGAATCCTTCTCTGGCACTTTCTTTCTTGACTTTATGCATTGCCTTTTTTGTTTGTTTGTTTTGCTTTTTGAGATGGAGTCTTGATCTTGTCGCCCAGGCTAGAGTGCAATGGCACGATCTCAGATCACAGCAACCTCCACTTCCCGGGTTCAAGCGATTCTCCTGCCTCAGCCTCCTGAGTAGCTGGGATTACAGGCATGCGCCACCACGCCTGGCTAATTTTATGCATTGCCTCTTATCTCTCATAAGCTGTATCCAGCTCTGTACCAAGACAAGAGACCCCTTAGCTCAAAGGTACATCTGATAGGCATCACTGTTAAAGTTATGGCAGCAGCTGGGTCCAGTGCCAAGTGCCTGAACCTCCAGCAACTTTGGAGTTTGAGGTGGGAGGGTCGCTTGAGCCCAGGAATTAAGTCTAGCCTGAGTAACATAGTGAAACCCTGACTCTTCAAAAAAAAGTAGTTGTGGGCCAGGCTCGGTGGCTCACAACTGTAATCCCAGCACTTTGGGAGGCTGACGTGGGCAGATCAGTTGAGGCCAGGAGTTCAAGACCAGCCTGGCCAACATAGTGAGACCCCATGTCTAAAAAGAAACAGAAATTTAAAATAATAATAATAAATTAATTGAAAGCTGAAGGATAAGTAGGAGCCATTCACTTATTTATTCAACAACTATCTACTGAATACCTACTATGTGCCAGGCACTATTGTAGTGGAGATACAGCATTAAACAACAGAAAACAATTTCTGTCTCCATGGAACTTACATTTTGATAAGGGTGAAGACAGTAGGAATGAGCCCCTATTATTTGTCTAGGTTTTCTATAGAAAGTCAAATTTCTACCTGTGCCACAGTGGTAGAGTAACTTGAGGTGATTCACTAGGGCCAAAGAGTTTGGTTCTAAGTGTCCTGATGATTTCTAGGAACGAGCCAACAAGGTAACATATGAGAAAAGTCTATAAACACTATACATGTAGAGAATGTGTCCTATTCATTTTGTACTCCACCACCTAGTATAAGTAAATGGCATAGGAGCAGTACTCAATAAATGATGAGATGATCACGATTTTCAAAATCACAGTCCATGTAAAGATGGCAAAATATCAGACACCATAAAGAATCAGTGCTGAAATACCATTACAAGCTAAGTATATTCCTTCTCTAAATTTAATCTGAAAAATCTAATCTGGAAAATTACACTGTACCTGAGCGTTTAACTATAAAAGTAAAAATAAAATTCTGTTCTAATCAGGAGTACTAATTAAGAACACCTAAGCATAATTAAAATCTATCTCTGAAGTACATTATAAGAGTGTCTGTACATACACAACACATAGCAGATTTACCTTATTAATTAGATTAGTTTGGTTTAAATATGGACAGTCAAGAACAAAGGACCACACCTAGCTGCCAATATTTGAGTATACATTAACTAGCAACTGGAGGAAGAGATGTTTCAGACTTGAGACGCAGACAGAAAAACCCAAAAGTTTTATGTAATACTGTATCCTCTTACAGTACTAGCTCATTAAAACACTATTACATAAATTGTTTCCCAAAGTCCATTATATGCCTAAGAGAAAAACTGTACAAGAATAGCATTTGAGTCTGTGTAGAAAGAATAAAAAATCTCGGCCATCTTAAATCCCCATCTTAAATTCCATAAAAATATGGAAGGAAGAAAAGGCCAATAAACTCAGATCTACTATTAACTAGCTGTGGAATCTCTGGCCCTCACTCAGTTTTTCCATCTATACTTTTCGGGGGTTAGACTAGAATCATATCTAAGGTTTATTCCAACTCTGTTATTTTGTATTTATTCATTAAAAAGTAATTTATAAATATATGTTTTACTTTTGGGGAAAATGAGGTTTGCTATGTGGAAGGAAAAACAATTTCCAAGGGATAGAAAGTTATCTTAACAATACAGAGTTCACTTTCCATTGCAACCCTCTGGCAAAATATGAATTCTGAGCTTTACCCACTTACATGTGGTATTAGTTTTCTACAGATGCCATAAGAAATTACCACAAACAGGCTGGGCAAAGTGGCTCATGCCTGTAATCCCAGCACTTTGGGAGGCCGAGGCAGGTGGATCACTTGAGGTCAGGAGTTCGAGATTTGAGACCAGCCTGGCCAACACAGTGAAAACCCATCTCTACTAAAAATACAAAATTTAGCAGGGCATGGTGGCGCGTGCCTGTAATCCCAGCCACTCAGGAGGCTGAGGCAGGAGAATTGCTTGAACCCGGGAGGTGGAGGTTGCAGTGAGATGAGATCGTGCCACTGCACTCCAGCCTGGGGAAACAGCAAGACTCCGTCTCAAAAAAAAAAAAAAGAAAAAAGAAAAAGAAAAAAAGCCGGGCACGGTGGCTCACGGCTGTAATCCTAGCACTTTGGGAGGCTGAGGTGGGTGGATCACAAGGTCAGGAGATCGAGACCATCCTGTCTAACACGGTGAAACCCTGTCTCTACTAAAAATACAAAAAAAAAACTAGCCGGGAGTGGTGGCGGGCGCCTGTAGTCCCAGCTACTCGGGAGGCTGAGGCAGAAGAATGGCGTGAACCCGGGAGGCGGAGCTTGCAGCGAGCTGAGATCGCGCCACTGCACTCCAGCCTGGGTGACAAAGTGAGACTCCGTCTCAAGTAAAAAAAAGAAAAAAGAAAAAATTAACACAAACTTAGTGGCTGAAATAATACCAATTTATCATCTTACAGTTCTGGAGATCACAAGTCCAGAATGGGTCTCACTGGGCTAAAATCAAGGTGTTGGCAGGGCTGCATTCCTTCTGGAGGCTCCGGGAGAGCACTCATCTCCTGGCTTTTTCCACATTCTAGAGGCTGCCCACATTTCTTGGCTGGTGGCCCCCTTCCTCCATCTTCAGCCGGGAATACTGCATTTCTTTGATCATTCTTGTGTAGTCATCTCTCTCTCTGACTATAGTTGGGAAAGTTTTCCACTTTTAAGAACCCACGTGATTAAGTTGAGCCCACCTGGATAACCCAGGATAATCTCCCCATTTCAAAGCTTTTAACCTTGTTCACATCTGCAAAGTCCTTTCTGCCCTATAAGGTAACATATTTACAAGTTCCATTTTTGAGGATCCATTATTCTCTCTACCACCGATACCTAATCATCCAATCAAGATCCTAAGAATTTCTCTCAAGCTTGGAATTCCATTGACTTCCTCCATTTTGTACTTAGGGGGTCTCACAACATTCTTTCCTTTTCCTTTTCTTTATTTATCATCCAGTTGGATAACAATGTTCTAATCTAAAATAAAATTTAACATTTTATATCATTCTGAAAATACATTCAGAAATTTAGAAAACATAAAGTAAAACATCTGGTTTCTCAATTTTGTAATAAAATTATAAGGCCAGGCACAGTGGCTCACACCTGTAATCCCAGCACTTTGGGAGGCTGAGGCAGGCAGATCACGAGGTCAGGAGTTTGAGACCAGCCTGGCCAACATGGTGAAACCCTGTTTCTACTAAAAAAAAAAAAAAAAAATACAAAAATTGGCCAGGCGCAGTGGCTCATGCCTGTAATCCCAGCACTTTGGGAGGCCGAGGTGGGTGGATCACGAGGTTAGGAGATCCAGACCATCCTGGCTAACACGGTGAAACCCCATCTCTACTAAAAATCCAAAAATTAACCGGGCGTGGTGGCGGGCGCCTGTAGTCCCAGCTACTCAGGAGGCTGAGACAGGAGAATGGCGTGAACCCCAGGAGGCAGAGCTTGCAGTGAGCCGAGTTTGCGCCACTGCACTCCAGCCTGGGCGACTCCGTCTTTTTTTGAGACTCCGTCAAAAAAAAAAAAAAAGAACCTCCAGAACAATGCTGAACACAATTGGGAATAGCAGATATCTTGACTTGTTCTAAATATTATATAGGGAAAGCATTCAGTCTTTCAGCATTAACTATGATTTCAGCTATTGGTTTTTCACAGATACCCTTTATCATATTGAGAAGTTCCCTTATTTTCCTAGTTTGCTGAGTTTTCATCAGCAAGGCATGTTAAACTTTGTTAAATGTTTTTTCTGCATCTATTGAGCTGATCATATGCTTTCTCTTGCTAATGTGGTACATGACATTGGTTTTCAAATGTTAAACCAACCTTGGATACCTGGAATAAACCCTATTTGGTCACTGTATTTTATCATTTTTATATGTTGTTGGATTCAATTTACTAAAATTTTGTTAAAAAATATTGCTGGCTGGGTGTGGTGGCTTACACTTGTAATCCCAGCATTTTGGGAGGCTAAGGCGGGTGGATTGCTTGAGCCCAGGAG
Source organism: Homo sapiens (assembly GCF_000001405.40). Lineage (NCBI taxonomy): Eukaryota > Metazoa > Chordata > Mammalia > Primates > Hominidae > Homo > Homo sapiens. The sequence goes on from NC_000006.12 coordinate 35,658,866, forward strand.
TTCGAGACCAATCTGGGCAACATGGCAAAACCCCATCTCTACCAAAAAATACAAAAATTAGCTGAGCATGGTGGCACACACCTGTAGTCCCAGCTACTCAGAGGCTGAGGTGGGAAGACGGCTTGAGCCCAGGAGGTGGAGGTTGCAGTGAGCCATGATCACACCATCACACAACCACACTCCAGCCTGGGCAACAGGGCGAGACCCTGGTTCAGGAAGAAATAAGTAAATAAATAATAAAAATCATAGAGTGACTTAAGAAATATTCCATCTTTATCAATTTTATGGAGGAGTTTGTGTAAAATTGGTATTATGACTTCCTAAAATGTTTGGTAGAATCAGGAATACCATGTAGGCCTAGAGTTTTCTTTGTGGGAATTCAATTTTTTTTTTTTTTTCGAGACTGAGTTTCGCTCCTGTTGCCTAGGCTGGAGTGCTGTGGCACCATCTTGGCTCACTGCAACCTCTGCCTCCTGGGTTCAAGCGATTCTCCTGTCTCAGCCTCTGGAGTAGCTGAGATTACAGGCATGCGCCACCACACTCAGTTAATTTTGTATTTTTAGTAGAGATGGGGTTTCTCCATGTTGGTCAGGCCGGTCTCAAAGTCCCGACCTCAGGTGATCCGCCTACCTCAGCCTCCCAAAGTGCTGGGATTATAGGCGTGAGCCACCAAGCCTGGCCGAATTCAATTTCTTTAATAGATATAGGACTTTTCAGGTTGTTTCTTCTTCAGTGAGCTTAGGTATTTTGTATCTTTCAAGGAATTTGCACATTTCATCTAGCTGTCTAATGTATTACTATAAAGTAATTCATATTATTCTCTCATCCTTTTAATAATTATAGAATCTGAGCTTTGTTAGCAATTCTTTCATTCTTGATATTGGTAAGTTGTCTTCTCTCTCTGATTCCTGATTAGTCAGGTTAGAGTTTTATCAATTTCATTGTTCTCAAAGAACCAGCTTTTGATTTCACTGACTTTCTCTACTAGTTTTCTTTTTTTCTATTCCACTAATTTTGGCTTTTATCCTTAACTCTTTTCCTCTGTTTACTTTGGGTTTAATTTTCCCTTCTTTTTCTAATTTCTTAAGGTGAAAGCTGAGGACACTGATTTGTGATTTTACTTCTTACCCAATATAGACATTTAGTGCTATGAATTTTCCCCTAAACATTTGCATTAACCACAACCCACATATTCTGATATGATTTTCATTAAGTACAAAATACTTTCTAAATTCATCTTTGATATTCTTCTTTGACCTGTGGGCTTCTTAGGAATACATTAGTTTCTAAATATTTAATAATTTTCCAAGTATCTTTCTGTTATTGACTTTTAATTTAACTCCCTTTTGGTCAGCATACATACTTTATGATCTAAGTCACTTTAAATGCATTGATGCTATTTTTTTTTTTTTTTTTTTTTGAGACGGAGTTTTGCTCTTGTTGCCCAGGCTGGAGTGCAATGACGCAATCTCAGCTCACCGCAACCCGTGCCTCCCAGGTTCAAGCGATTCTCCTGCCTCAGCCTCCTGAGTAGCTGGGATTATAGGCATGCACCACCACGCCCGGCTGATTTTGTATTTTTAGTAGAGACAGGGTTTCTCCATGTTGGTCAGGCTGGTCTCAAACTCCCGAGCTCAGGTGATCCTCCCGCCTCGGCCTCCCAAAGTGCTGGGATTACAGGCATGAGCTACCGCGCCTGGCCAACACTGACACTATTTTATGAACAAAAATATGATCTATCTTATTAAATGTCCTGTGCTGTGTGCAACTGAAAAGAATGTGTATTCTGCTTGTATTGGGTAGAATACTATGTAAATGTCAATTAGGTTAGTTGACAATGTAGTTCACATCTTCTAAATTATTTTTTGTCTACTTGTTCTATCAATTATTGAGAGACAGGTGAGGTATTGAAATCTCCAACTATAATTTTAGATCTACTTATCCTTTCAAGTTCTATCAGTTTCTGATTCATGTATCTTGAAGCTCTGTTATTAGGTGCATATTTAGGACTATTAATTTCACTTGAAGGCAGCCAATCATGAAAGGCCATACATTATATGATCCCATTTATACGAAAGGTTCAGAATAGGCAAATTCATAGAGACAGAAAGGAGACTGGTGGTTGCTTAGGGTTAGGGGAAACAGGAGGAAATGGGGAGTGGGAGATTTCTTTTTAGGGTTATAAATGTTCCAAAGTGGGACAGCAGTAATAGTTGCACAAATCTGGAAATATGCTGGAAACCACTGAATTATATACTTTATTTTATTTTTGATTTACCTTATTTTATGTATTTATTTATTTATAGAGATATGGGGTCTCGCTACATTGAGCAGGCTGGTCTTGAACTCCTGGTCTCAAGTGATCCTCTCATCTCAGCCTCCCAATGTACTGGGATTACAGGCATGAGCCACCACACCCGGCCTGAATTGTACACTTTAAAGGGGAGAATATTATGGTATGTGAATTTTATCTCAATTAAGCTGCTAAAAAATTATTCTACTCAATGGATGACCATAATTCATGAATGATATACATTCCTTCCAACTTATTAATACTATATAACACTGCTATGAACATTTTTGTGCCTAAGCTTTTATCATATGTAATTGAAAGTATGGCTTCTTGGCTGGGCGCGGTGACTCGTGCCTGATCCCAGCACTTTGGGAGGCTGAGGTGGGCAGATCACCTGTGGTCACGAGTTCAAGACTAGCCTGGTCAACATGGTGAAACCCCGTCTCCACTAAAAATACAAAAATTAGCCGGGTGTGGTGGCAAGTGCCTGTAATCCCAGCTACTCAGGAGGCTAAGGCAGGAGAATCACTTGAACCCAGAAGGCAGTTGCAGTGAGCAGAGATCGAGCCACTGCACACTACAGCCTGGGTGACAAGAGCAAAACTCCGTCTCAAAAAAAAAAAAAAAAAGAGTATGGCTTCTTGAACACAGTCTGCTTGAGTGAGAATCTTAGCTTGACAACATAGCAACTGTATGATCTTGTGCAAGTCACTTACCTTCTTTGTGCCACAGTTTCCCTATCTAAAACACAAGGTTATCAGTTATCAACATCTCTTGGGATTGTGAGGACTAAAGTAATGCACATAAAGGGCTTTGTACAGTGCCTGTTACATGGTATACTTTCAACATTAGTAGTAGTAGATGTTGTAATTATCATTTAGTTTTTGTTACTTTCTCTTTTTTATTTATTTATTTTTTTAATAGAGACAAGGTCTTGCTATGTTGCCCAGGCTGATCTCAAATTCTTGGGCTCAAGTGATCTTCCTGCCTCAGTCTTCCAAGTTGCTGAGATTTACATGCAAAAGCCACTGTGGCTGGCTAGTTTGTATTATTTTCTTAAGAAGATTTTCAGAAGTGGTATGACCTTGTCAAAAACCATGAGCATTTATTTACGTGTCTTTTTTTTTTTTTTTTGAGACAGAGTTTTGCTCTGTTGCTCAGGCTGGAGTACAGTGGCACAGTCATGGCTCACTACAGCCTCAACCTGCCAGGCTCAAATAGTCCTCCCACCTCAGCCTTCTGAGTAGCTGGGATTAGAGACATGCACAACCACACCCAGCTAATTTTTTAATTTTTTTTTTTTTTTGTAGAGACAAGGTCGCACTATGTTGCCCAGGCTGTTCTTGAACTCCTGGGCTCAAGCGATCCTGCCACCTCAGCCTCCCAAAGTGCTGGGATTACAGATGTGAGCCATCACGCCTGGCTGTGTCCAAATATATTTCAACAAACTGCATCTCAAACTGGGTATACTAATATTTGGTGCCACTAGTAAGTATATATAAATATATAAGAGAACAAGGATTACCTAGCTATCATAATTACAGTAAATTTGTTTTGTTAATAGGAACTCATTTTAATTGTGCATTCATTTTTGCTGCTTTTGGCCCTTAGTTGTTTGAAAGCCAATAGTTTTCTAATTATACTATGAATCCTACACACCATGAATACCTACTGAATATGAAATGTCTGTAAGACCCTGTTCTAGGAGCTACAAAGAAAACTGAAATAAGTTAGCCCAAGGATTTTTTGTGAAGGCAAAGAAACATTTTAATTCCAAATAATTATTATTAGGTAGAAGAGAGCTACAAAGTGTTTCTGAGGGTCCCAAGGAGGCAGAAGATGGCAGTGTCTGAGCTGGATAGGCATACTTTCAACCGGCAAGGGTGTGGCAAGAGTAAAATCAAGGCTGGTAAAAGAACACAGCACGTTTCAAGCCTAAGCAGCTTAAGTGCAAAGTGGCTCCGGGTGGAAATGATGAGAGAGCAAGAGCACAAAGAGGACCCTCTAAAACAGAGCCAGTGACCATGTGAGCTGAGGGGGAGGGCTTCTCACAGGGCAAACGGTACAGAAAGACGCGAAGACACAAAGCATCATGACCCATCCAGGGAGCTGCATGTGATCCCACTTGGCTAAAGTGAAGGGTACATGTGGGAAAGAAGCAGATGATGCTAAATAAACAGGCAGAGGCCTGACTGTGAAGGACCTTGTGTGCCAAAGTAAAGTACGTGAACATTATTCCAAAGGCAACAGGGAACTGAGGCATTTTTAAGAAAAGAAATGACAAGCAGACTAGCTTTAAGAAAAAATTACTCTGGCACTCCAATGGTTTCCCATCTCACACAGGATAAAATCCAAAGTCCTTCTTATGCTTAATACCCTATACATGCTGATCACTCGCTATCTCTGAAATTATTTCTCCTTTTCCCTCACTCACTGCTCTGGCTACAGTGGCCTTCTTGCTGCCCCCTCCCATGTGCCCTTTCCTCAGTGCCTTTGCACTTGCTATCCCCACTACCTGGAACTCTTCCCTGGTTAGCTGCATAGCTCACTCCCTCACTCGCTTCAGGTCTGCCTTCATGTTCAAACCTTTTCTTATCAGAGTTGTTTTACTGTTACCGGAAATAAAAGAGCAAAAATCGACTATAATCAGCCCCACTATGTTTTCCTCCAGTGTATTTATAGTATTTGTATACTGCCTGTCTCTCCTTACTAGAATGTAAGCTCTATGATGGATCTCTTCAATAACCGTGTGACATTGAGATTGTTACTACTGACACGTCCAGACAGCAAATCTAATGGACGAGCTAAGTAATCTATCCAAGGATATACTTCTAGTGAACAGTGGAACCAGGGAGACTGACTCTGGAGCCTGCACTCTAACTATTTTACATACTGACTCCCCAGAAGTGTCACAGGTCTCTGACTCTGATTCTAAAGCATTTCCTGTGAACAGGCTCCATGCTGACAAGCACTAAGCCAGCAAAAATTCTGAATTCACAGTATGTTCTTCTAAAAAGATGGTGATTCTTACAATTTGTATTAGCCAAGTTTTAAAAGCCAGGGAATATTTTTTAAATAATCAATTAAAATGTACAAAGTATCTGGACTTTTACCTATCCAAAAATTAGCTGTTTTTTTTTTAGACCCACAGATATTCAAACAAGATGAAAGATTTTATGAACTAAAAGGAACACAGCATATGACACCAAAAACTACCCAAGACCCTTTTTCCGTTACCATATTCAATTTCAGGAATAAAACTCAACATCTTTAAAATAATCATCAAATTTTCTGACATGCCACTCCCGGAGGAAGAACAATGTGGTATCTACAGGAAAACATCCAGCAAATACAGTATCTCATGCACAGTAAAAGAATGAAAGGTAGGCTGCAGTAACATTTGTCTTTATTCTTTCCCCACTCCTGAAATTATTAAATTTCCTCTCTGCCTGGGCATTCTTTCATCCCATCTCCCATTACTATCAGTATCCTCTCCTTAAAATGCAGTTGTCAATCAACAGTTGTCCCCATCAACCACTTCATACCAGAACTCATCCACTCTTAATTTCAACTATTACCTCTATTAGTATAACTCCCAAATCCTAATAGAGGTAGTAGCTGAAATTAAAAGTGGCATAATTTCTCCCTCTTTCCTTCTCCAATCTTTGATTTCTCTCACTTCAGGACCCTTTTATTTCCTTATGTTTTTAAGGAAAATTAACTTTTTCAAAATTGGTCCCTTCTCCATTTATTTCATAATCTGTATTATCTGGCCATTCTCCTAGGTTTGCAACTTCAATATAATTTTTCTCCACTTAATCAATAGGACCGCCAACTATTCATTGTGTTTCTTATCTTACTTTCGACTCCATAGCTATCATCATATTTTGAGTTTTCTTCCTCTCCTTTGTGAATTACTACAGTTCTCCAGAGGACCTGCCTACCTCCAGACGGCTCACTCACTCCCACTCATTCTGTATACACTGCTAGTGAAGCCTTTCTGACACAGCACACCCACCACATTACTCTCTAATTCATGGACCTTAAATAGTGTTCCAACACAACAAATCTAAACTTCTCAAACCAGCACTCAGGGTCTTCTGCTCCTTTAGAATGTCACTAGTAAATGCTCCTCTTTTTTTTTTTTTTTAGAGGAGTCTCACTCTGTCACCAAGCTGGAGTGCAGTGGCGCGATCTCGGCTCACTGCAACCTCCGCCTCCCAGGTTCAAGCAATTCTCCTGCCTCAGCCTCCCGAGTAGCTGGGACTACAGGCGCGTGCCACCACACCCAGCTAATTTTTTTTGTATTTTTAGTAGAGATAGGGTTTCACTATGTTTGCCAGAATGGTCTCAATCTCTTGACTTCATGATCCGCCCGCCTCGGCCTCCCAAAGTGCTGGGATTATAGGCATGAGCCACCGTGCCTGGCCATAAATGTTTATCTTAAACATTCTAAAAAGATAAAAACCTAGAAACCCAACATTCTGATCTTCTTCATCTAAATCTGTACAATACACACTATGGGTCTGTAGAGGTCATAGTACACTATCTTCCACCTAACTTCAACAGATCACATCAGGCAATGGAACTATGGACAGTCCCCAACTTATGGTTTGGGTTACGAGTTTCAACTTTATGATGGTGAGAAGGCGATACACATTCAGTAGAAACAGTACTCCAAGCACCCATACAACTATTCTGCTTTTTCACTTTCAGTTTTCAATAAATTATGTGAGACATTCAACACATTATAAAATAGGCATTCTATTAGATGGTTTTGCCCAACTGTAGGCTAATTTAAGTGTTCTGAGCATGTGTAAGGTAGGCTATGATGTTCAGTAAGTTAGGTATATTAAATGCATTTTCAACTTGTGATATTTTCTATTTACAATGAGTTTATCAGGAGGTAAAACCACCATAAGCCAAGGAACATATATATTACCTAATGTATCATCTTCTGAACATCTCAAGCTACTATGACAAGGATTCATTTTCAGAAGTTTAATCCTTCTAATCCACAAAATTAAAGTGTGTACAGTTATCAGAAAAATAACACTTCATATCTTTAGTAAGAGTACAAATTTGTTGAATATTTTTAAGGGCGAATTTCCCAATATCTACTGAAAGTTTATGTGCAAATATCCTTTAGCCCAGCAATATCACTTCCAGGAAATAACCTGTAGATATTCTCACAGAAGCAAGCAAAAATACATGCAGAAACACTACTATTATAGTTAAAAAAAAAAAAAAAAAAAAAAAAAGGAGGGGAGTGGATTTCCTTCATAGACTTCTATTATACATCTCTACAATGGAAAATTATATAATTAAAAATAAAGACACAGTTACAAACGAATTGATATGGAAAGTTTAAGAATGCCATGAAGGGGAAAAAAAGCTATTTATAGAACAGAATATAATTATTCTATTTGTGTAAAGAAAATGTATATGAAGGCTGGGCACGGTGGCTCACGCCTGTAATCCCAGAACTTTGGGAAGCTGAGGCAGGCGGATCACGAGTTCAAGAGATCAAGACCATCCTGGCCAACACAGTGAAACCCCGTCTCTACTAAAAATACAAAAATTAGCCGGGCATGGTGGCAGGCGCCTATAATCCCAGCTACTCGGGAGACTGAGGCAGGAGAATCCCTTGAACTCGGGAGGTTGCAGTAAGCCGAGATTGCACCACTGCACTCCAGCCTGGGCGACAGAGCGAGACTCTCTCAAAAAAAAGAAAAGAAAGAAAATGTATATGAAGAGAAAATACCTAGAAAAAATATAGTAAGCCATTAATAGTAGCTAATTCTGGAGAATGGGGCTCAGGGGAAGAAACAATAAATTTTCACTTGTTTTGTGTGTGTGTCTGTGTGTGTGTGTGTGTGTGTGTGTGTGTGTGTGTGTGTATACATAGATGCATGCCTTTTAAAAAAATCAGTTTATTAAATTTACATTAATAAAGAAAACTGAGTATAGCAAAGGCTCTTAACCTTAGATGAATATAATTGATCTTGATTATCCACAGTACAAGAAATATGAGCTACTAAAAGTGCTTAATGAGAAACTCATCCATTCATTCAACTATTTATGGAACACTTACTAGGCGTCAAGCATTGTGCCTGATACTGACATAATGGTGAACAAGAAAGACCTAGTCCCTGCTCCCAAGGAACTTACAGAAAGGCCTTTTGGACTCCATTTTTCCTGTCTCCCCTGTAAGAACCACTCTGACTTACAAGTGTGTGCTCTCATTATGCCTATTACGCTTATGGCTCCCATAAGACAAATATTAATTAATAGAATCATTATATCAACCAAAAAGAATCCTTAAAATGATTAACCCGTTTCCTCCATAATTAATATTTAAAGTTATTAGAAGCATAATCTGTGGAAAGAACAATTCAACAAGCACTCTTTCAAATAAACAAATAAGAAGTAACCTAGTTGGCTGGGTGCAGTGGCTCATGCCTATAATCCCAACACTTTGGGAGGCCGAGGCAGGTGGATCACCTGAGGTCAAGAGTTTGAGATCAGCCTGGCCAACATGGTGAAACCCCATCTCTATTAAAAATACAAAAATCAGCCAGGCGTGGTGGCGGGTGCCTGTAATCCCAGCTACTCAGGAGGCTGAGGCAGAAGAATTCTCTATTAAAGATACAAAAATCAACTAGGCATGGTGGCGGGCGCCTGTAATCCCAGCTGCTCAGGAGGCTGAGGCAGAAGAATCACTTGAACTCAGGAAGCAGATGTTGCAGTGAGCTGCGATCCCGCCACTGCACTCCAGCCTGGGTGACAGAGTGAGACTCTTTCGAAAAGAAAAAAAGTAACCTAAATGTTAAATGAAGTTTAAGGGAAATTAGCTAAGAACATTCAAAAAGGGAAAAAAATTATAGGAAATTTTTATTTTATTTTCTTCACTAATTTAATTTTTCTACAACGAGTGTGTAACACAATAAGAAAGTAAAAGTTATTATTCAAAAAGAATCCTCTATGGCAACAGCAGATCAGCCACTGCATAAAATCCAACTCTTCTTCCCACTATACCCAGCCCTTTACGGTCTGGCCTTGCTGAGACTCCTTGTGTGAGCCCAGAGCCCACTCCCCTTTATGCTGGAAACAGCATCCCGGGACTTTCCTCTGGGAAGCCCTGCTTCTCCCTCTTAGGCTAGGCCCAGTGTCCATTTTTTGCCAGTCAGTGCTTTCTATCCCTTTGGCTACCACAACAGTTCAGGGGTAAACACACAACCCTAACAGACCAAAACCAAAATCAATCCTGAAAAGAGTCTAATTTTAATGAAACTATTAAATTGATTATAATTAAGTGACATGTAATACAGCTAAAAATCCTTTTAAAAACTTTGTAATAAATGGAATTTTCACTTAATGTGGCCCCTAAATGTTCTGTGTGACTACAATTTCATATCATAAAACTGGAATGGAATAGTTATAAGTCACCTCTTTTGTTGTTTTTTTTCTTCTTTTTTTTGTATTATTATACTTTAAGTTTTAGGGTACATGTGTTTTGTTTTGTTTGTTATTATTATACTTTAAGTTTTAGGGTACATGTGAAGTCACCTCTTTTGTTAAAATGCACAACAATAAAACAACAAAATATAATGACACAATTTCCATTTCTAAGAAACTATCAGAACTTCATGATTGTCTTAAAGAATTAGAATGTTAAATTCCTATCAATCACATCCTGTTAAAATACTAAGTATAGAAACAGTAAGAAAATGCAGCTCAACCAAGCATATACATTAGTCATATTTCCTCTGATAATTTTTTTTTATAACTTCAAAACTAAAGACTCCTGTAGGAAGTATTTTATAAGGAACCTAAAATGAAACAATATCTAAGAAAACACTTGAGATGCAATTAACTTTTCAAAAAAAGTTTGATCAATTAATCATTTTCTTCTCAACTCTAAGAAAGCTATAGACTGTATTAATAAATCACAGGAAAACAAAGTTAAATTCAGTGTATGAAAACAGAAGTTAACCATTAGAACTCCCTAAGACTGAAATAGGCTATCCTGTAAAACAGGGACCTCCTCTTCCTTGGAACTAAGCTAAAACTAAAACTCTGGAATTCTCTGGAAATAAGACATCCTTGAGGAATTCAATTGATGTGCCAGCTGTTTTGTTTCTTGAAAGAATATAGCTGAATACATACAATAATCTGTTGCCTTTTTTTCTAGCATTGCACAATATTCCTGGCCTACAATGCACATACTGTATCTATTATCATATTTAAGCATCTGATATGAATCCTTAATATTCATCTCTAATTAAATACATACATATTTCAGTTTTCAAAAGAGCATGGTTTTCAGTAAAGTATCATATATATGTTTTCCACAGTCTAAATACAATACATTTCCTGAACTTTTAGCTTTCAGTTTCCTGTTCGTCAGTGGCTACAGCTCTAGAGGCAATACATAAACACACCCCAGCCATGGTATTTCCACTTTTGACAACAGTGGACATGAACTTAATATGACCAATATAATTACAATGCATAGAATGGTACCTGATGGCTAAGACAGCAACAGAAGAAATTCAATAATTTTCAAAATTAGAAATATAAATTATGTTCCATATGTAAGAATTCACATAACAAACCTCTTATAACTTATGACTCAGAAAAAGTTTCTCTCTTCTGAAAAATTGAAAAAGCTTTCTTTACTGGACAATAACTATAAAAGTCACCCTGTTTCCTTTTTTCTCTTGCTTGCCAGGAAGCTCAGAGCTAAATTTAATGTTCAAACACAGAAACTATCTTGCCTCAGATTACTGGTATAAAGATTTCTTCCCATTCCCCCATTCTGCTCATTATTTCTCAAGTGATTTATGCTCATTTTCTGTCTTTGTTTTTAATGGTCTTTGCCTGTTTTGCTTTAATCACAAACTATCAAATCCTTTTCAATGAATAGGTTAATATAAATTATAAATTAAAGAAAACTTAATGACCTTAGTTTGTATCTTCACATCACTGCATAACTTGTTAATGCAATTTATAAAAAATGAAGGTTCTAAAAGGTATCTTTGCTGTTTTAGAGTTAATTATTTCACATGAATCATGATTCACGATTCACTTTTAGAAAAGCCAATGACAATTTTTTTAAATAAAAGAATGATAGAATGAAACAAGGATCAAAACTTAAAATTACTAAATTAGAGACACAGAATTAGGAGGATTCAAAATTTTTTAATGTTTTAAATTTACTAACAAAATTGGTCTGGCAAAGCTAGATAACTATCATAAAAAATTAACTTACATAAAGTGTATTAAATTCTCAGTGGGCACGGTGGCTCATGCCTGTGATCCTAACACTTTGGGAGGCTGAGGCGGGTGGATCACTTGAGGTTAGAAGTTCGCCCTGGCCAATATGGTGAAACCCCGACTCTACTAAAAATACAAAAAAAAATTAGCCGGGTGTGGTGGTGGGCACCTGTAATCCCAGCTACTCGGGAGGCTGAGGCACAAGAATCGCTTGAACCTGGGAGGCGGAGGTTGCAGTGAGAAAAGATCGTGCCACTGCACTCCAGCCTGGGCAACAAAGCAAGACTCCATCTCAAAAAAAAAAAAGAAAGAAAAGAAAAGAAAAGAAAAACTCATATACTGCTATCTGTGTCATTAGCTGCAGAGTAGACAACAGGTATAAAAATATTGAAATAGCCTAGGAATCTAAGAAAAAGGGAAAAAACTCAGTCACATATTTAAAAAATATAAATGCACACATACACATGAAAATATCTCATATATGGTAATACCAAAGTTTGTTAAATGGAGGTAAAAGCAAAGTATTAATGAAATTAATAAGCCAGGTGCAGTGGCTCATGCCTGTAATCCCAGCACTTTCTGAGGCCAAAGTGAGACGATCCCTTGAACCCAGGAGTTTGAGACCAGCCTGGGCAAAACGGTAAAACCAAACCCTGTCTCCACAAAAAATAGAAAAGTTAGTTGGGCATGGTGGTGCACACCTGTAGTCCCACCTACTTGGGTGGCTGAGGTGGAAGGATTGCTTGAGCCAGGGAGGTAGAAGTTGCAGTTAGCTGAGATCGCACCACTGCACTCCAGCCTGGGTAAGAGAGTGCAATCCTGTCTCAAAAAAAAAAAAAAATAATAAATAAATAAACAAAAACAAGTTAAAAGAAACTACAATCCAAACTGACAAATCTAGCCAAAATCTTAAAAAATATATCATGAATTACAGAAAATCTAGAATATAGTCATATTAAAAATGGAAAAGTGAAATGAACACATTTTATAAAAGAAAAGACAGCCTATAAAGCGCCTAACATTATATTAAAAGGTCCCCACTTTTAGGAGACACAAATAAAATGAAAATAAAGGGAAGGAACAAGGTAGCCAAATAGTATCTATAAAATGAAAGTGAAAAAGTCAATTATCCCTTTCTCTCTCAAGGTATCAGAATTGCAGGGTAAATACCTAAAGAAGTTAAATTACAAAAAACTTCATATTCTAAGAATGAAGTTAACAGCAAAATTTATTACTATGTAAATTTAAAAGGCTAGCAACCACCCATAAATACAGTTTTAACATATTTTTTTCAAACAGCAATAAAATAATTCAACATAAGAAAACATTTAAAAAATAGAAACAGAAGTTCCAACACAATATATGAAGGGGCTAAGAGAAACCTACACACACAAACTCAGCCCTCAAAAGAACCCTAAAATCTAATTTAGAAGAATTTTTTTTTTTTTTGAGACGGAGTCTCACTCTGTCGTCTAGGCTGGAGTGCAGTGGCGCGATCTCGGCTCACTGCAAGCTCCGCCTCCCGGGTTCACACCATTTTCCTGCCTCAGCCTCCCCAGCATCTGGGACTACAGGCTTCCGCCACCACGCCCAGCTAATTTTTTGTATTTTTAGTAGAGACTGGGTTTCATTGTGTTAGCCAGGATGGTCTCGATCTCCTGACCTCATGATCCGCCCACCTCGGCCTCCCAAAGTGCTGGGATTACAGGCGTGAGCGACCGTGACCGGCCACTATCTTCTCGCTTAATAGCATAATTAGAAGATAAAATTTGTTATAAAGGGTAATCATCCAAATACAAAACAAGTTACAGATCAGAAAAGGGGGGAAAAAATCCCCTTTTACCTTCAGAAAAATGAAGACAAGAAAAAGAAACCAAACCATGAGAAATATAAATAATCTGATACAAAGTATTGAGGACATGGAAAAAAGTTTTGTATAGGCATTTGTGAATTATACAATTCAACTTCAGTGTTTAAAAATAATAAAGAAAAATTAATATTTCAGTAAAAATCAATCTAGTCCAGAAGCTTGCTTTTTTTTTTTTTTAAAGAAATAATGTGGCAGATTGCAGAGGTCTACGACATCTTTATGCATCCCAGGCCACTTTTTACCTCTCTAATCATGGGAAAGAATACACAACATGAAAAGCTTACCATTTGCAAAATGATTTCTTGATTATGCTTATGGCGACTAAAAAGTATTTGTGGCTGGAGGCGGTGGCTCACGCCTGTAATCCCAGCATTTTCGGAGGCTGAGGCGGGCGGATCACAAGGTCAGGAGATTGAGACCATTCTGGCTAACACGGTGAAAACTTGTCTCTACTAAAAAAAAAAATACAAAAAATTAGCTGGCGTAGTGGCAGGCGCCTGTAGCCCAAGCTAGTCGGGGGGCTGAGGCAGGAGAATGGCGTGAACCTGAGAGGCGGAGCTTGCAGTGAGCCGAGATCGCGCCACTGCACTCCAGCCTGGGCAACAGAGAGAGACTCCGTCTCAAAAAAAAAAAAGAAAAAAAGTACTTGTACATTATGCAAATGTTCAAAATGCAGAGAGGGCAAATGTATTTAAACATACGTTTCCAGGGAAGAAAAGGAAGTGATGTGATAGTGAATTGGTGATTGGGAATTAACATTATATAAGAGAAAAAATTACCAGCCCTGTAAAAAGGGAAGAGAATATTTATTGAGCAACTGGTATGGCCAGACGCTAAGCTTAGGGCTTTATACCTTCTATCACATTACATCTAGGTAGAAAAACAATGTAGAAGAAAATGCTTGAATACATAACATACCATTATGTGTTGTGTGTGGCATATATTAAAATCTAAGAGATTGGCTGGGTGCCGTGGCTCCTGCCTGTAATCCCAGCACTTTGGGAGGCCAGGGCAGGCAGATCACTTGAGGCCAGGAGTTCAAGACCAGCCTAGGCAACAGAGTGAGACCCCATCTCTACAGAAAATTTAAAAATTAGCCAGGTGCGGTGGTGTGCACCTTTAGTCCCAACTACTTGGGAGGCTGAGGTGGGAAGAACGCTTGAGCCTGGGAAGGAGCTTTGAGAGTGCCACTGCACTCCAGCCTGGGCAACAGAGCAAGACCCTGTCTCAAAAGAAAAAAAAAGAAGAAAACAGAAACAAAAAGTCCATTCTTTTGAGAATACTATTTATGTTTATAATACTATTATATTTATAATTTACAACTCTAAAAATGAAAGCAAGAAACCCTCTTCTCAAAGCAGATTTTGGAGACTTGGTTTTAAGTATTAAGAATAGTGAGGCTCATCTGAGAAATACAATCATGGGCTTATTAATAAGGTTGAATTATTATCATATAGTTCCTGGTAATAAAACTATTTTTTGTCTTGGTGCTTAATAGTAATAACAGAAAATTTATTTATTGTACTACTATAATTCCCACCCAGATAGCTGAGAATCACACTGAGATGAGAGTATAAAACAGCCTTCATCTAGTCCTGAAAGGGGCAGCCCTGCTCATTCGGTAGCTGTGGATCTTGAGCATATGCCTCTACTTCCTCTGAACCTCAATTTCCTCATCTGTAAAACAAGATGGCTGGACTAGAGGATGGTTCCCTTCCTTCTTCCCTTTCTCCCTCTCTCTGGTCCTTTCCACCTTATGGCTTGATGATTTAGGATCTAGACTGGGGTTTTGAGGACAGAGAGGAAACACTAGCAGAAACCCACTAAACTTTGGAGAAAAGGAGTGAGGATTATGTAAACAACTAGAATACAGAGAAAAAGAGAAAGCCAAAAACATTTACAAAAATAAATGAGCAAATAAAGAAGCATAATGGCCCAGTTTAGAAGATTATGAGCTTTACTATCAAAATTAGCTTGAATAGAAGTTTCAGTTATTTTGAAATCAAGGAAGGTAGAAATGCTGGAGATACAGACTTAGAAATTATCTGTAACACATAAGAGTTGACAAGTAACCCAAGAGTCTTTCCAAGTTCCCTCAGTACATATGGAAAAGATGTCACACTTCTTGGCTTACCTATTCATAACTGTGCCCCGACATATTCATCCACTAATTTCCAACAAGCTATCCCTCTAACCAATTTGGCTTCATCACTTCAAACAAACCTAGAGTATCTCCCCTTCATTATCACTCAATGTTCTATCTGAAATGCATTCTCCCTTCTCTCAACTTATTAATAATAATTTATCAAGCTCTAACAATGTTTGCGGAACCATTCTAAGTGTTTTACATGTATTAACTCATTTAATTCTCTCAACAATCCTAGGCGAGAGATCACGTCACTTGCTTAAGATGACACAGTAGCAGAACTAGGATTCAAACACAAGCAGTCTGGCTCCAAGGAGACTGTCAACTTGCTAATTAGTCCTTCAAAGCTGAGATCAAGTTCTGTCACCTTCCTGAAGTTCTCATTTGCTTAGCCTCTTGAGCCCTTAAGTAAACCACTCCTTTGCCACTTACCATTGGATCTAGGTTGTTAATTATCTTTTGTGCATATGTTCTGTCCTTTCTGAGAGCAGGATCATGTCCTGTTCATTTTGTTAACCCTACTTAGAACCTAGCAGAACTTAATAAATATCTGGAACACAGCAGTACTTATTAATGAAACTACACTAGTATTTAATATTTAGTGAAGACATACTAGGCGCTGAGCTAAGTGCTTTACATGTATTGTCTCATTTAATCCTCACAACAACCTTGAGGTAAGTGCTCATTTTGTCCCTCTCGCATGTTATAGTTGAGGAAACTGAGACTTACAGAAAATAAGTATCTTATCCCATACCACAAAGTGGTAGTGATAAGATTCACTGAAGTCTTACACGAGTCTATACCATACTCTAGGCTGGGTGTGGTGGCTCACGCCTGTAATCCCGGATTCTACGGATTCTACAGATATAGCATTTTGGGAGGCCGAGGCGGGTGGATCACAAAGTCAGGAGTTTGAGACCAGCCTGACCAACATGGTGAAACCCCGTCTCTACTAAAAATGCAAACATTAGCTGGGCGTGGTGGCACATGCCTGTAATCCCAGCTACTCAGGAGGCTGAGGCAAGAGAATCGCTTGAACCTGGGAGACAGAGGTTGCAGTGAGCCGAGATCACGCCACTGCACTCCAGCCTGGGTGACAGAGAAACACTCCGTCTCAAAAAAACAAGTCTATACCATACTCTTAATCCCCAGCCTACCACAAAACACCTTGAGGGAAGAAAGCATCAATCCTAACAATTTAATTCAACTTGCACTTAGCAGCAGCAATACTTCAGCATTACTGAATGCTGTGGATTCAGAATTAGAAGTTCAGCTCTGCCTTCAAGAAACTCTCACAGTCCATTATGACTTCAGGATCAAACTTTTATCAGTGCAAAAGTCATCATCATCGAAACTTAGGATTTTAACTTATATTTTAGGGGCAAAATCAAAACAATCCTTGGAATTCTCTTCTACACCATTCCTTCTACCCTCAGGCTTGCCCACCCCCTCTAACCCTAGGACTCCTCTCTCCAGTTGCTGTATAACAGAGTAGAAGGGTCCTATTAATCCTAACAACTATTGGGACATCTGAATTTAAATCAGTAATAGCTTAGACTCAAGGGCCTATTTGATAAATTCCACAGTCATAATGAAATATGGGTAATGAAGGACAGCTGGACAAAAGCAGCAGCAAGAAGAGAAAAAGAGGGATTTGACGTCATAGTGTAAAGCAAATAGAAAAAGAAAAGGCAAGAAAAGCAGGAGAGTGGATACAAATATTAATAGAAGGTGAAAGTAAGGGTCCAGGATAAATTCAGTGGAGAAACATAAATAAATCTAAATCCACTTTAGAAACGCTGACACCTTTAATTATTTCTTCTCCTAACCGCTATCGGAAACAGAAAAGTATGTATGAGAAACAGCCCCTGAAAAATCATTAACTAGGAACAGCATATAAATCAGTTTTTTTTCCTGAGAAACCACTCATCTTAGAATTTCAGAACTGCAGAGGGACCTTAAGATACTACCTAAAATCCAACCCACTCATTTTATAAATAAAGGCTCGGAATGGTTAAGTAATTTTAACACGCCCAAGATCATACAGCAACTTAGTGGCAACACTCCTGAATCTCATTCCAGTGTCTAGTCCTACCATACCAGGCTTCCTAGGAATGGTTTATTTTTCTCTTTTTTCCACCCTTAATAATCATTAAATTATTTTCTGCATAAGCATTTCCAAATCCCTATATTATCTGTAGTTCCATCAGAGAAAATAATCAGATGTTCTCAATTATCTAGGGCAATATAGTATTTCATTCCCTTATCCCCAAAGTCAGTAATTACTTAAACTGGGTCTTGGTTTGTACCAGGAGGAAATTTTAACATTTCCCAAAAGGGCAGAAATAAGAAAGAAATCTCCATAAACTGACCAAAAACAAGTAAAAACTACCACCCATTTGGAAAGGAATCAGGCCCAAGACCCCTGGAAGCTAGACAACTGCTAGTGGGAAGAACAAAGGAGATCACTTATAATCTCATTTCTATTTTATCTCCTCCCAACTAAGCTCAAGCTCCTAGCTTTCTGACAAACCAATTCCAGAAGCCTGCAAAGAGAAGGCAGAGTAATGAAATAGAGTGTCACGTCATTTTCAGCGAAGGTGGATTTTTGTTTTGTTTTGTTGTGTTGTTTTGTTTTAAGACGTGGTCTCCCTCTGTCGCCCAGGCTGGAGTGCAGTGGCGCAATCTCGGCTCACTGCAAGCTCCGCCTCCCGGGTTCACTCCATTCTCCTGCCTCAGCCTCCCAAGTAGCTGGGACTACAGGCGCCTGCCACCACACCCAGCTAATTTTTTGTATTTTTAGTAGAGACGGGGTTTCACTGTGTTAGCCAGAGTGGTCTCGATCTCCTGACCTTGTGATCCGCCCGCCTCGGCCTCCCAAAGTGCTGGGATTACAGGCATGAGCCACCACACCCAGCCCAGCAAAGGTGGATTTTTAAAGGGAACTATCTTGGTCAGGAAATATGAGACATGGGATAAGAAGAGAGTCTTCAAATAAACCCAAAGAAAAGACCTGTACTTTCTCCCATGAAAACACTAGAAAGTCCTGAAAATGTGTTATATATACTCGGTTCAGCATTTCCCCTACTACAAAGCACTTGCAGGTATTCCGGGCTGGGGAGAATTCATCCTGGGCCACAGTCTGTGGTCTAAGAAAGTCTGCTGCTCAAACTCCTTGAAAAATCATGGGCACTGCCAGCCACCACTATTCACCAGGTTATCTGAGCTGAGTGATTTGGCAATCTTCCATATCACCTTGGTTTAAATATAATTATTACCTAGGTCTTAAAAATGATGTGTCTGCCTAAAGGCTGACTGAAGCCTTTTTTTTTTTTAATTTAATTTTTAAAAACAGAGGCTCTCTCTGTCATCCAGACTGGAGTGCAGTGGCATGATCATGGCTCATTGCAGCCTCAACCTCCTGGGTTCAAGTGACCCTCCCACCTCAGCCTCTTGAGTAGCTGGGACTACAGGCACGCGCCCCCACACTGAGGCCTTCTCTGGAAGGGAAGAAAATGTCCTATTTTACATCGAGGGCATATCTTAATTTTGATATGTATGAAGTTCATTATAGACTCGGGATAACATCCTGCTTTACCACATTAACCAAATTAGGACAAGTGTAGTGAAAATCAAAAGGACAAAAAGATAAAGAGACATAAAGTTAGAAACAAAAGAATTTAGTGACTCACTGAGTTTAAGAAGGAAAAGTCAAAATGACCAATAAGAATAGTGGAGTCATTAACAGCTGAAGAGGGAAGTCAGGAAGAGAAGTGTTTTGGCTGGAGGGAGTGGGGAGGGGTCATGTTGGTATACAGCTGCTACAGAGATGGTATTTAAATACGTTTCATTTCAAGACATAGACGAATATTTAGACCTCAAGTTTAAACAGTGATGTAGGTTTGGGGCCTAAAAAAGAGGTGGCAGTTAAAGCACTGCAATGATGAAGGTTTTAGAGAAAGAAAAGGCAAAAGAAGAACATTTAGACAATTCCAGTATCTTAGGAATTGCATTCCTAAGATATTACACTAACCAAACTTTCCAGATGAACAGTACCTTATTCTACAGATACGGAGTACTTAAACTAATTTATTCTAATGAAAAGCATAAAAATTAATCCTTCTTTTTCTTTTCCAGGCTATGAATTGACAAAAAGCAGCTAAAGACAAAAACAGTTTCATAATTACCATTTGTCCAAAGTCAATCTCTGAGCTAAAACACAATGTTTTTTATGTTTCTCTACTTATAACAAAATTTCGGGAAAAAACTCAGAAAAAAAATTGGTACACCAATACTACCACTGTTTTATGATCTCTGTGAGAATTTAACAGTTTAAAAAAGCACATGGCTGGACACAGTGGCTCATGCCTGTAATCCTAACACTCTGGGAGGCCAAGGCAAGAAGACAGCTTGAGCCCAGGATTTTAAGACCAGCTTGAGCAACATAGTGAGACTGTGGCTCTACAAAAAAACTTAAAAATTAGCTGGTCATGGTGATGCATACCTGTAATCCCAGCTACTGTGGAGGCTGAGGTGGGAGGACTGTTTGTACTTAGGAGGTCAAGGCTGCAGCATGCTGTGATTTCACCACTGCATTTCAACCTGAGCAACAAGTAGGACCCTGTCTCAAAAAAATATATGAAATACAAATAACCAAAATGTCAGTAATTAATGAATCTGGGGAATGGGTACATGGAGGTTCATTAAAGAATCTGGAGAGGAGGTATATGGAACTTCATTAGACAATTCTCTACGATTCTGTGTATGTATGCAACTTTCATAATAAAAAGTCTAAAAAGGTCTACTTACAGGTATACTTTTTAAATCCTATCTTCAGTTAAGGCTGACCATTCTAAACAAAATTCTGGCAGATACTTTTCAAAGAATGTTTTCTTCATTCTCGACTGATCAATTAAACACCATAGTGAAATGGACCATAAAAGGGGAAAAGGCCTATTCTGTCATTTCAGAGAAATATGAACATGTTTATTACATGGAAGAAGTTAGTCCTTTTATCCATGTTGATTGATATCAGACATCTGTCATTCTTCAAAGAATTATGTTTTTGTTGAAAAATATATAAGTTAAATGAGTAAAGAAAACATGGCATACACACACAACGGAATACTACTCAGCCATAAAAAAGGAATGAAATAATGTCTTTTACAACAACTTTGATAAAGCTGGATACATTATTCTAAGTGAACTAACTCAGGAATGGAAAACCAAATACTGCATGTTCTCACCTATAAGTGGGAGATAAACTATGAGTACACAAAGGCATACAGAGTGATATAATGGATTCTAGAGACTCAGAAGAGGGCAGGGGAAAGGAATAAAAAACTACATATTGGGTAAAATGTGTATTACTCAGGTAACAGATGCACTAAAATCTCAGAATTCACCATGATATAATTCATCCATGTAACCAAAAACCACTTGTACTCCAAAGCTATTGAAATAAAAATATATTAAATTTAAAAACTTATAAATAAAAATATATAGGTCATATAACTTTATTATTTTCATGAGTAAAGGCAAAATAAATGTTTATGTTGAATATCAATGATTAATTTGTTGAAGCATCTGGTTAGCCCTCCAGTTACTTCAAACATCTTCTACTCGACTATATGACCAAATAAAACAACTTTCTGATGTAGATGGAAAAAAAAAAAAGATTTAAAAAAATGAACCAGGCCAGGCACAGTGGCTTATACCTGCAGTCCTAACACTTTGGGAGGCCAAGGTGGGAGGATCACTTGAGGCCAGGAGTTCAAGACCAGCCTGAGCAACACAGCAAGACTCTGTCTCTACAATTTTTCTTTAATTAGCCAGACATGGTGGTGCACGCCTATAGTCCCAGCCACTCAGGAAACTGAGGCAGGAGAATCATTTGAGCCCAGGAGTTCCAGGCTGCAGTGAGCTATGATCGCACTACTGCACTCCAGACTGGGCAACAGAATTAGACCCTGTTTCAAAAGAAAAAACAAAAAGAACCAATATCCATTAATTATGCCTAATACTAAATTGTAATGAACACATACTAAAAATTACATAAAATAAGTAGTAGAATTGGAAAGTTGAATTTTTTTAGCCATTATTGTTTAAGCTATGATTTAAATTGATTTAATCTAAATCAAATCACACTATTGAGGCTGTGGAAACATTAAATCTAGTAGACAGTGACAGATTTACCACTTACCAATGATCAAGAATAGTTTAGTTTACAAACACCAATGTCTTTCCTGCCTATGAAAAATAGCACCACCCAAAAACAACAACCAGATTTGTATGCCTCCTCTTCTTTGGCTAAGTTCTAGGATAGTAAAAACTGTTCATGTCTTTGCAACAGCTAGCACATTGTAGGTATACAACTCTTTTAACAGAAACAGTCACAACTTCCAATTCCCAGAAAGCTATTGCTAGGTTTCAGTCACATTCCCTAGGTGACATGTGTAGGATAACAAAATAAAGCAGGTTTGCCTTGTAGGCAGTTCTACCTTGAATCGTTTTGAGGATCCTGTTTCTTCTAACAGAAACATGTCATGAGTCTTTAGTGAAAAGCAGTATAAATACATATACATGAAGACAAAAGACAGCCAACGATTCTTTTTCTCATCATTATTAAACCACTGGTTAATTCCTAACTGAGGTATTTCATGTTTTTTAGATAACAAGATCATCCTCATTTTCAACACTTTTTTTAGCTTTCTTTCCTTTATTAAAGTAAAATTTACATACTATAAAATCTTAAGTTTGAATCAATATGTTTGAGTAAATGTATATAACAATTGGCAAAACTGGATAAAGGTATACGGAAGCTCTTTGTACTAGTCTTGCAACTTTTCTGTAAGTTAAAAATTACATGAAAACGAAGTTACCCAAAAAGTATATAACTGAATTACCATCACCCAAGTCAAGCTACAGAATATTTCCATCATGCCAGAAAGTTTCCTTGTGCTCCTTTCCAGTCAACCACAACCCCTACCCAGAGGCAACCACTGTCCTGATTTCTATCACCATACCTTAGTTTTGCCTGTTCTTGTATTTTTCATAAATGGCATCATAAACACTTATACATACTCATCTGTGCCTGGCTTCTCTTGCTATGAACAGTATTTCTGAGATTCATCTATGTTGCTATGTGAATCAGTAGTTTATTCCTACTGTGAAAAAAGCTGCTATGACCCAGTCTTTTTGTGGGCATATATACTTATTCCTCTTGGTACAATAAGATTTCACAGAAAAAAAGTTTCGCATATAAATATGCCTGGGAAATAAGGCAGTATAGATAGATACTGCTATACACACATAAAACATATAGCAACCATATATACCATTATATATAATGTAAAAAAGATATTTGATATTTATACATATGTGTAATATATGTGTAATACACACACATACATAAGCTTGAATAATTCTGATCACGCCACTGCACTCCAGTCTGGGCGATAGAGTGAGACTGTCTCAAAAAAAAGAATTTATAAAGTTCATAGTGAAAGTAAATCTAAGATGGGAAAGATGAGCATCTCAATTTTTCTAAGTTTATGTCTTAACCTAACAATAACTCAAAAGAGAAACAAGTATCTCTCCATGTAAATTACCCTGTTAGGTTTCAATGAAACACCTTTTCTCTTGTAACAAACATCTCCTCCAAGCTAGAATTTCAAAACAGTGTTACCATCCACTAGGTAATAATTTTTATGCTAGCAACAAAACCCAAAATATGTGTTCAGATTACAAGACTGTTTTTATTGTCTTGCTTTTTTAAAAAAGTTAAACATGGAAAAACTTAATTAATTAATATCTAACATGGGTAAAGAACATTCCATGCTCATTCAGAATATATTCTGATGCAGACTCAATCTCTAAGATGTTTTCTCCATTCCAAAAAGTAACCTATCGCAGCATTATGTCCATGACTGGGACATCTTGACTTTCAAATTCACTGTGCAATTTTCAGCTAACAATGGAGGAGGTTCTTTAGTTTCCAGAGATAGGAACACTGAGAACAAGTACAAATCTAACTTTTGAAAAGATCAATCTGAAATTTGCAACCCTGCTTTTGATAATGAAATGACCATTTTCTGGGGACTCCTCATTTATAACATCTTTAAATTGCCAAGTTTAAAACAGAATGCTACAAATGATTCTAGAAATTTACCACTGCCCACTTAGGATTTGCAACTACAAAAGGGAAAAAACAACCCTCTTCCAGTCTGATTTTTCTTCATCTCTTATTCTTCTTTCCAAAAAACGAACAATTTCAAAAGGATACAATTCAAATGTACTACATTTTTAAGCCAGGCATGGTGGCTTGGGCCTGGGATCCCAGCACTTTGGGAGGCTGAGACAAGAGGATTGCTTGAGCCCAGGAGTTTGTGTCGAGGCTGCAGTTAGCCACCACACTTCAGCCTCGGTGACAGAGCAAGAAACAATCTCTTTTAAAAAAAAAAAAAAAGAAAAAAAAGTATATATATATATATCCCATTTCTTTTTTAAAAAAAGGTTAAAAACATACGTCAATCTCTTTAAAATGTATGTATGTGTCTGTGTGTATATATATGTCTCTTCCAATCTTTTTCTTAAAAAAAGTATAGAAATATATATCCCAAGCTCTTTCTTTAAAAAAAAAAGTGTGTGTGTATATATATACGTATATGTGTGTGTGTGTGTGTGTGTGTGTGTGTGTGTGTGTGTGTGTGTGTGTGTGTGTGTATTTGAGACTGGGTCTTGCTCTGTCCCCCAGGCTGGAGTATGGTGGCTCACTGCAGCACTGAACTCCTGGGCTCAAGTGATTCTCTTGCTTCACCCTTCCAAAGTGCTGGGATCACAGATACAAGCTACCACACCTGGAGAACTTTATATTTTTTGTAGAAATGGGGTCTTACTATGTTGCCCAGGCTGGTCTCTAACTCCTGGGCTCAAGCAACCCTCCTGCCTTGGCTTCCCAAAGTGTTGAGGTGTTGACATTACAGGTGTGAGACATCATGCCTGGTATATATATATACTTTTTTTTTTATTGAGATGGAGTTTCACTGTGTTGCCCAGGCTGGAGTGTAGTGGTGCAATCTCAGCTCATTCCAACCTCCACCTCCCAGGTTCAAGTAATTTGCTTGCCTCAGCCTCTTGAGTAGTTGGGACTAAGGGCATGCACTGCCATGACTGGCTAATTTTTTTTTTTTTTTTTTTTTTTTTTAGTAGAGATGGGGTTTTGCCATGTTGGCCAGGCTGGTCTCCAACGCCTGACCTCCTGGCCTGGCCTATATTTTTAATCTTATAAAACATTATCAGAATTTGGACATTCCTAGGCTGGGCATGGTGGCTCACACCTGTAATCCCAGCACTTTGGGAGGTCGAGGCAGGCGGATCACCTAAGATCAGGAGTTTAAGACCAGCCTGGCCCTGGCCAACATGGCAAAACCTCGTCTCTACCAAAAATACAAAAATTAGCTGGGCGTGGTGGTGTGTACCTGTAATCCCAGCTACTCAGGAGGCTGAGGCAGGAAGAATCGCTTGAACCAATGGAGGTTGCAGTGAGCGGAGACTGTACCGCTGCACTCCAGCCTGAGCAACAGAGCAAGACCCTGTCTCAAAAAATAATAATAATAAAATAAAGAATTTGGACATTCCTTAGCTTTCACAGATGTGTGACTGTTTACTTAAAAACCCATTATTTCACTTTGAAAATACATCATTTTCATTTTTCCAGTAATTGTATCTTTTTTTTTTTTTTTAAGGCAGGGTCTCGCTCTGTTGTCCAGGCTGGAGTACAATGGCTTAATCACCGCTCACTGCAGCCTCAACCTCCCAGGCTCAAGTGATCCTCCCACCTCAGCCTCCCAAGTAGCTGGGACTACAGGTGTACTCCACCACACCTGGCTAACTTTTGTACTTTTGTAGAGAGGAGGTTTCACCATGTTTCCCAGGCTGGTCTCAAATTCCTGGGCTCAAGCAATCCACGTGCCTTGGCCTCCCAAAGTGCTGGCATTACAGGCGTGAGTCACTGCACCTCGCCACCTTTTTCTAAGAAGAAAAACAGCCTTGATTAAGCCTTGATTTTGATAACAAAAATGACAGCAACTCCAAACAACTACAATCACAATTTTCAATATCTTTTGACTGATTGTTTTAGAGAACTAAAATAAAATCTTATTCTTATTTTTTAAATGTTTTGATTCCAGACCAAGGGTAAAAAACAAATACAACAAATATATAGACCCCACACTCCCTCTGGTGGACCTTCACTTTCATTAACCAAATGTTTTCCAAGAGGCTATAAGTCGGCCTGGCACTGTGGCTCGCACTTATAATCCCAGCACTTTGGGAGGCCAAAGCAGGAGGATCACTTGAGCTCAGGAGTTGGACACCAGCCTGGGCAACATAGTGAGACCTTATCTCTACTAAAAATTAAAAGTTTTAAAAATTAGCCAGGTGTGGTGGTGTGTGCCTGTAACCCCAGCTACTTGGGAGGCTGAGGTGGGAGGATCACTTGAGACCAGGTGGTTGGGCAGGAGGATCTCTTGAGCCTGGGAAGTCTGCAGTGAGCCATGATGACACCACAGCACTCCAGCCTGGGCAATAAAGCAAGACCCCGACTCAAAAAAAAAAAGACTAGAAGTAAATACTAAATTAAGCATAAAATGTAGGTTCTCAAACTACTATAAGAAGTACAAATTATTTTGAGTAGTGGAATTTTAGTGTTCTAAATATTGTTAAAATATCCTTATTAATCTGTTAGTAACCTGCTAGTACATATGGCCCCACTGTAAATTATTTTAGCCAGTCTCATTTGGCAGTACTGTCTTTTACATAGTAAATAAACATCTCATTTGCAAATTAAATTACACTTAAGTGGTTATTGTTTTAAATCAATAGTTATGTGACATACATACCACCACCACCCAGTCGCTACTGAATGTAGATTTAATTTTCTTTATACTTTTGGGGATATGATGTCAGAATTTTAAAATGCACTAAAATGTACTGCAGAAAAATTTAGAAATATAAAATACTTAAAAAACAAAATCTACTAATCAGCTAAGTTGTAAAGTTCAAATAGTTTCAGAATTATAAAATGCAGATATTTGTTAAACATGAATTACAAAATTTAGTGTGCCAATATGTATAATATAGATTATTCTTTAGGAATTATGAAAACTTATTTTAATTAATGGTCTTTAGAGGAATTCTTCATGCCGGGTACAGCAAGCATATTACTGTTAAATAAAGCAATACTAGGCTAGGCGCGATGGCTCACGCCTGTAATACCAGCACTTTGGGAGGCTGAGGCGGGTGGATCACCTGAGGTCAGGAGTTCGAGACCAGCCTGGCCAACATGGCAAAACCCCGTCTCTACTAAAAATACAAAAATTAGCCGGACATGGTGGCGCAGGCCTGTAGTGTCAGCTACTCAGGAGGCTGAGGCAGGAGAATCGCTTGAACCCGGGAGGCAGAGGTTGCAATGAGCCGAGACTGCGCCCTTGCACTCCAGCCTGGGCAACAAGAGCAAAACGCCATCTCAAAAAAAAAAAAAAAAAAAAAAGCAAAACTAATGTCTATAATAGTGGCATTTGATCTAGCCTCAAAATTAGTTGTTTTAATGTAAGCCCTTGTTTTCTGTAGCTTCATTTATTTAAAAATACTTACTATCACCTCCAAACTCAAAAGGAGTTATACCTGAGGGTAAATGGCTTTAAAAACACTCCCAATGTTTATTGTGTGGATTTGAGAATTCAACTTATGCTTAATTTTTGAAACTGAAATTGTAGTTGATAATTTTATGATATCATCTATTACAAGTTAAAGTAGAGAAAAATCAGTAATTAAAATATCTAAAAACTAAATTTTAAAATGGGCTTTTAATTAAACCTAAAGTTAATAAAACTTTAACTTTTATAGTTAAAATACTAAAATACACATATGTAAATAAATTTATGAAATGCAACTTTATTGTATGTGGTTTATATACATACATCATCACAGAATAAGGACAATAAACAACTAATTATTAATAGTATTTTATATATTTAAGTACACTAAAGAGCAATTATATAAATGATAAAAAATAATGGAAGCTACAGTCTTATCCAGTTCCTTTCAACTATTTACATAGAATAAGCCCTCCGAACGTGAGGATGAATTATTGTTCAACCTATCCACACTAAACATCAAAAAGCCAACTTAGCTTTTAACAGCAGTAACTTCTTCTACAGGTATACAAACAGGATGTTCTTTCCTCTCCAGACTAATTCATCCTAAGCAGAGAAGCCTTTAGGAAACTAAACTGAACCCAAAATATGCATTATTTTCCAAGAATAAACAGATAACTAAAGATTTAATAAGTTGCCTAATGCAATATTTTAAGTTTTTCATTTGAACTGATTAAAAATATGTTTTAAAAAAGAAATTCACCCAAAATTCCCATAACTAAAAGAATTAAAGACTCAGAAACATACAAAGACCTCATAGCTTGTTATGGAGAAATAAAACAATAAAGACCACTATATTCTTTTTAATCTAAAATAGTCACAATTATTGGTTGAAGAGTTGATGGTTCAATGGCGAACTCTTATCAGCTATTAGCTAACTGTAATTACCTAGGCAAATAAGTAAAATGACCATTCAATGAATAATAAACTAGCATAATTAAATCAAGATTAGCAACTTTGTTCTTAACTTAAACTTAATCTCCGAAGTATAAATCTTACCTAATACAGATATCAACCAAGACACATTAGAAGAAAAAAACTGGGTAACTAAATAAAGTGTTTCTCACAAATAATGAGTATTAATAACCCTCGTTTTAAAAATGTCATTTGTATAGAATCTCTAAATTGGTCAGGGCCATAATTGCAGACTGTCAGGCAGAGGTCAGCTGGGGGAGAGACAAACAGAAAATGGTGAAGTGAAAGTATGACAATAAAAATTTCCCACCAGAATAAGAATTTTTTTCAAGTCGATTCTTGGCTTTTGATTCAAACACCAAGAGAAGCAGCTCCCTTTAGAGAATTACTTTATAATTCTCTAAAGTAAAAACCCTTATGGAGGAGGTGGATAGAATCCCAGACTATTAAAAATACTTAACCAAAATATGCTTTAACTTTTCCCTTGTCCACAATCTAACAAAATGGGAAGACAATGAAAATAAACACTCCTGTCTACACTCAGAGAGGCAAAGAAAGCTCCCATTCAGTAGTAAGCCTTATTCCACTGGAAAACATACTCCTGAAAAGTAAATCCAAAACCACGAGCTCAAACTGCTTCATGCAGAATTTACTGAACGGCGGCCAAACGCTGAACACACTGTCCTGAACCACACTGAAGGGTATCTACAATTCTGCATCTCCGCTTACAACTTGAAACTTACTACGCTTTCGCCACCACTGCAGAACCCGATTTTAGAGACTACGATGGTCCTGCCGGTTCGTTAATCGAAGAAAGCCACTCTGCACCCTGACGCTCGTAGTGTCTTTTTGGTAATACTGGTTTTTGACTCTTATACTGTGACCGGTGCACCTTTTTGGACGACCAATAAGGCGGAAGACGTTTTCACGTCCCAGAACAGAAGAGCATAAGGAGCCCTGGCACAGCGTTCAGCCGCTTCGGTATGGCCTGGGAGTGACGCGGATCACCTGTTAGACGGCGCTGCGCGGACTCCTCCACAAGCGGCCGACAGCGGCGATGCGGTTCCCCAACGCTTGTCCCGAGGCGGCAGGTGAAGGCGGGGACCGCCCGTCCACACCCGGAGCGCGGCCACCCCGCCACCATCCCCTTCACAGCCCCGCCAGGTGGGCGAATCCGCCCCGCGCCCGCGGCGTCCCGGCGCTCGGCTCGCCCTGGGGTCCGGTTGTCCCGGCGCCCGGACCCGAAAGCGAAGTTTGGCTCCCGCCCGCAGCGGTGCCGGCTGAGGGTCCGGCCGCCTGTCCGGGGAGAGCCGGGGGCCAGAGACCGGAGGCGGAGCGGGACCTGTCATCCCGGGCGGGAAACAAAAGCCCAGTGAGGACGGGCGGGCGCGACCCGCCTCGCCTCTGCCGGGAGAGGCCGGCGGGGGCGGAGAGCGGCGCCCGCGGTCACTAGTCTCCGCGCCTCCCGCGGGGAGCACCGGCCCCGCGGCCCCTGGGGCGCGGCGAGGGGCGCCGCAGTGGGGCCGAGGCCTCCCGCGCGCTCCCCTCGAGGCTTCCGGACCCCGCTCCCCCGCGACACGCGGCTCCTGGGCTGCGAAGCCGCGTGGGGGTGGGAGCTGAGGCAGCGAGTGCGACCGCGGCGGGACCTGGAAGGAGGGCGTTCGGCTCCCGGGGCGCCGCGGCCGGCCGCCCCATCTCCGTGGCCATGGCGCCGGTACCTGTCGCCGCGGGGGCTCGCCGACTCCGTCACTCTCCGCCTTGCCCGTGCTCCGCTAACCCTTCAGCCCGCCCAGCAGGCCGCCCGCGCGCCGGACACCGCCGCCCGAGACTGGCAGCGCCCGCGAGCCGGCCCGAATCCCCGGGGCAGCGCCCGGCGCCGTCCCGCCCCAGCCGGCCGCAGGACCCGCCTTCCATAGGGCCCCGGGGCTGTCAGTCCGCCCCCAAAAGGCGCGCGGGCTGTCGATCCGCCTGTCCGGATTGGTGGCCGCGCGCCGTCCATGCAAATGAGGCCCCGCCCCCATCATTTGCTCCTCCACCTCCCCACGCCAGCCCACGTGTCTGGCCCTTGCCCTTTGTGGGGGCCATAGAGAAGGGATGGTGGAAACTGACACCCCCTCACATCTCTTACCTCCCGAGAAATTAATGCCTAAGCAAGCTAGTTGACTTCCCATCTGTATCGTCTCTCTGAAGGCACTGCCCCTCCTATCTGTCCACAGGGCCTACCTAGAGGCCGGAGAGGGGCAGGCCAGGCTGTTTGTTAGGTCAGCTGGCCAGGTTAGCCCTAGGAAGCAACCCCATTAAGTCTAAGATGCCCAGTCGGGACTGGGGAAATCCCACCTCGAGAACCAATTTAGCAGATATCACCTCCCTCTGGACACCCAGTGACTGTAAAGACCATACTTTCTCTTGGCTTGCTACCTTTCAAGCAGGAGATCCCAGGAGATTAAAACAGGAAGAGGCCTTACGGCTGAGTTCGGCCAGGTGGGGTGGCTCACGCCTGTAATCCCAGCACTTTGGAAGGCCGAGGTGGGCGGACCACGAGGTCAAGAGATCGAGACCATCCTAGCCAACATGGTGAAACCCCGTCTCTACTAAAAATACAAAAATTAGCTGGGCTTGGTGGCGCGCGCCGTCCCAGCTACTCGGGAGGCTGAGGTAGGAGAATCGCTTGAACCTGGGAGGCAGAGGTTGTAGTGAGTCGAGATCACGCCACTGCACTCCAGCCTGGTGACAGAGCAAGACTCCATCTCAAAACAAAAACAAAAACAAAACGGCTGAGTTCTTCCGCCAACTCCGAAAGGTAGACTGCCAACCAGATGGCTACCTCTGAGTTACTCCCATAGAGATGCAGGAGCTGCACCTGGGCCTTAGGGAATCTCTAATCAACTCTCTCATTTTTAAGGAAACAGAAACCTGATGTCCCATAGCTAGTTACACGTGGGACCTAATAGTTACCTATGGAAACCTAATATCCCATAGCCAGATTAGAACTCATGTCTCCTGGCTCCAAACCTGCTCTCTTTGCACTATACTGCATTCAAACATTTATGAAGAGCCTCGTCCAGAAATCGCCATGCTGCCTTCAAGAGATGATGCCTGGGCGCCGGGCGCGGTGGCTTACGCCTGTAATCCCAGCACTTTGGGAGGCCGAGATGGGCGGATCACCTGAGGTCGGGAGTTCGAGACGAGCCTGACCAACATGGAGAAACCCCGTCTCTACTAAAAATAATTTTAAAAAATTAGCCGGGCATGGTGGCGCATGCCTGTAATCCCAGCTATTCAGGAGGCTGAGGCAGGAGAATTGCTTGAACAGAGGTTGCAGTGAGCCGAGATCGCACCATTGCACTCCAGCCTGGGCAACAAGAGCGAGACTCCATTCTAAAAAAAAAAAAAGGGTGATGATGTCTGCAGAAAAGACAAATAAAGCCAAGACTGAAACCGCCTCGAGGGCAGGGGTTCTGTCTCAGTCATTTGTCTGTCCTCAGTGCCTAGAAGCTTCCCTGTTTACCAGTTGCCGAGGGGAGTCACTGAAACAATGTATTTGTTCATTAACGCAGAAAAACAAAGTTGATCAAAATTCCTCTGCATACTAATACCAATTGATTAAGCATCTACTATGCTTAATAATAGCACATATTAGGCAGGGCACAGTGGTTCACACCTGTAATCCTAGCACTTTGGAAGACAGAGGTGGGCGGATCACCTGAGGTCGGGAGTTCGAGACCAGCCTGACCAACATGGAGAAACCCCATCTTTACTAAAAATACGAAATTAGCCAGGCATGGTGACGCATGCCTGTAATCCCAGCTACTCGGGAGGCTGAGGCAGAAGAATCGCTTGAACCCGGGAGGCGGAGGTTGCAGTGAGCCGAGATGGCACCATTGCACTCCAGCCTGGGCAACAAGAGCAAAACTCCATCTCAAAAAAAATAATAATAAATAAATAAAATAAAATAAAATAAAAATAACAGCACATATTAAGCTCTATGCTATCAGGGTATATATGTCCCAACCCTCAAGGGCTTCATTAGGAGACAGTGACATACACGTAACATGTCAGTTCTCCTCTTCATGTTACAGGGGTTGTGACAGATGTCTGCATAGGGCACAATGGAAGGCGCCAAGGAAAGAGGAATCAGCTCTTCCTACGAGAGGCAGGGAAGGCGTCATTGAAGAGGTCACCTGACAGTAGAGCTGAATCTTAGAAGATGAAGTAGGTGTTTGCCAGACAGAGGGGTGTGGACAAGGGGGAAAGGGACTCCCAGGCAGGAGGGGACAGCGTGAGCAAAAAGCATGCAGACCTGGAAAAGCCTAATAATTGAGGGAACAGTGAGGAGCAGTGTGGGCAAATCTGCAGAGGGCTGTGTGGACGTGTCACATGTCTGGGACCAGGCTCTTCCAGGAGGAAGACAGAAAGGCAGGGGAGGCTGCCAGGCTGTGTTGTAATACACCGCAGCAACAACAACAGGCCCTGTAGATACAGCTACACGGTTCTTTTTTTTTCTAGGCCAGAGTCTGTGGAGAACAGTCAGTTCCACAGTTCCGATGGCAGCCTTGCTAGCCCCACCCACTCTCCCAGAAAACCACTCTGATCACTGCACTTGCCTTCCTTGGCATTTGGAAACACATGTGCTTGCATTTTCCCTAAACATTACTGCCCTTCAGAATTCAAAGATGACATGCGCTATGGCTGCAGATACCTGGATGTGGGATGAGCAGCCCTTTCCTAAGGCACAGTACGGTTCTTTGCAGGGTCTGTACCTAAGACCAGTTCCATGGGTATGTGACCTGTGTAGTACACAGGGCCGTGTACTTAGAAGAGCCCTGTGCTGGGTCTAATGCTCTGCTGCCGCCGTCTTGAAATTCTTAGTACTTTCTCAACAAAGGGCCCTGCACTCTCATTTTTCACTGGGCCCTGCAAATTATATGGCCAGTCCTGCCTGTCACTGGTAGTGACCCTGGGCATGCTTGTGGAACTGCTCAAACCACATCTCATTTTAAAAGCACTTCGCATTCACTAGACTCATTCACATGCATTTTATCATTTGATTCTCTTTTTCTGTCTTCCTTTTTCTTTTAGAGACAAGGGCTCACTCTATTACCCAGGCTGGCCTGGAACCGCTGGGCTCAAGAGACCCTCCCACCTTGGCCTCCTAAACTGTCAAGATTGCAGGTGTGAGCCACCTTGCCCGAACTTATCATTTGATTCTCACAATGGGGTAGGCCAGTGTTACTCTTTATTTTCATTTATTACTTGAAAAAATTGAAGTTTGGCAACTTTCTCCAGGTGGCACAGCTAGGAAGTAGCAGAGCTTGTACTTGAACTCAGCCCAGGCAAGCCCTGTTCCAACTACTACCGAGCTACCTTCATCTTGGTTTCAGAATCCTTTTAAAGGCAGCTTTGTACATTAAGGTTTTTGAGAGTCAGAGTATGCCAGGCGTGGTGGTTCATGCCTATAATCCCAGCACTTTGGGAGGCTGAGGTGGGCGGATCACCTGAGGTCAGGAGTTCGAGACCAGCCTGGCCAACATGGTGAAACCCTGTCTCTACTAAAAATACAAAAATTAGCTGGGCGTGCGCCTGTAGTCCCTGCTACTTGGGAGGCTGAGGCATGAGAATTGCCTGAACCCAGACGGTGGAAGTTGCAGTGAGCCAAGATTGCACCACTGCACTCCAGCCTGGGTGACAGAGTGAGACTCTGTCTCAAAAAAAAAAAAAAAAAAGAAGAGAATACACGGTAGAGTGGATATCTGTCATTTCACGGCTGCCTATCACCTTTGAATAGTTTTTCCTCAGTTTTGAACAATTCTCAGACATTATATGTTCAAATACGATTTCTGTCCTTTTTCTTCTTTCTTTCTGGGGCTCCAGTTGAAACACATTCAACCTTCTTACTTCATCCCTTTATTCTGTATTTTCTGTCTTTTATCCTTCTATGCTTTGTCCTAATAAGTTTCTTCTATTTTCAGCTCACTCAGTCTCTTTTCAGCTAAAAAAAAAAAAAAAAAAAAAATCTCATCTTAAACCCAACCATTGAGCTCCATTTGGTTATTCTATTCTTTTTCTTTTCTCTCTCTCTTTTTTTTTTTTTTTTTGAGATGGAGCCTGGCTCTGTTGCCCAGGCTGGAGTGCAGTGGCGCGATCTCAGCTCACTGCAAGCTCCGCCTTCCAGGTTCACACCATTCTCCTGCTTCAGCCTCCCAAGTAGCTGAGACTACAGGTGCCCGCCACCACGCCCAGCTAATTTTTTTGTATTTTTAGTAGAGACGGGGTTTCACCATGTTAGCCAGGATGGTCTCAATCGCCTGACCTCCTGATCCGCCCGCCTCGGCCTCCCAAAGTGCTGGGATTACAGGTGTGAGCCACTGCGCCCGGCCAGTTATTCTACTCTTTAAGTCTAGAATTTCTATTTGGCCCTCCCTCCCTTCTTTCTTTCTTTCCTTTCTTTTTTTGAGACAGAGTCTTGCTCTGTCGCCCAGGCTGGAGTGCAGTGGCACAGTCTCAGCTCACTGCAACCTCCGCTTCCCAGGTTCAAGCAATTACCCTGCCTCAACCTCCCAAGTAGCTGGGATTACAAGGCACATGCCACCACGCCCAGCTAATTTTTTTATTTTTAGTAGGGACAGGGTTTCGCCATGTTGGCCAGGCTGGTCTTGAACTCCTGACCTCAGGTGATCCGCCCGCCTCGGCCTCCCAAAGTGCTGGGATTACAGGTGTGAGCCACTGTGCCTGGCCTCTATTTGGTTCTTTTTCAAATCTGCTATGCCACTTCATGTATTTCCCAGTACCCTGCTATAATTTTCAGGCTTGTCTTATCCATCCTTAAACATAGTATTGTTGTTTTATGGTCTATAACTGATAATTCTAATCTGGAGTTCCTGTGAATCTGCTTCCATTGTCAAATATTGTTTTTGCTTTTTACTTTAAAAAAAAAATAGTGACAGAGTCTCTCTATGCTGCCCAGGCTGGTCTTGAACTCCAGGGCCCAAAGGATCCTACTGCCTTGGCCTCCCAGAATACTGGGATTACAGGTGTGAGCCACTGCACCCAACCAGTTTCTATTTTTGTTTTCATTTTCAAGACAGGGTCTCACTCTGTCACCTAGGCCGGAGTGCGGTGGCGTGATCATGGCTCACTGCAGCCTTGACCACCTAGGCTCAAGCGATTTTCCCACTTCAGCCCCCCAAGTAACTGGGACTACAGGTGTGTGCCAACATGTCTGGTTAATTTTTTTTATTTGTAGCGACAGGTCTCACTATTTGCAGAGACCAGGCTGGTCTCGAACTCCTGGCTTCAAGTGATCCTCTTGCCTCGGCCTTCCAAAGTGCTGGGATTATAAGTGTGAGCCACCACTCCCTGCCCCATTATCAGTTTTTAGTGATTCATTCTCATGTCACCATATACCTGGTTATGTTTTGGACATTGTATTTTAAAAAATCATTTTAAGTAACAATAGTAATATCTTCCTCTGGGAAATATTTCCATTTGCTGCTACCAGGCATCTAGGGGCACCAGCAGTCTGGGATCATCTTAACTCAATTTCAGGGCTCCAGATTTTCTGAGTCATCTGATGACTCAGAGCTGGACTACAGTCTATGGAAGCATTTTTGTTTTGTTTTCTTTTTAGTGTGTGTTTTTTACGGTTCCCCTTTACTCAATTGTGCAGTTCTTTGGGGTCCCAGTCTAAGATTGGGGTTTTTTTAGTTATGTATTGCTTCATAGCAAACTATTCCAAAATTTAGTGGCTTAAAACGATGTCCAGCCAACTTTTTTAAGGACCAGATAGTATATAGTTTAGACTTGCAAGCAATATAGTCTTTGTCACAACTACTCAACTCTGTCATTATAGCACAAAGCAGCCATATAGCACAAAGCAGCATATAATAAATAAACAAATGGCATGTCTGTGTCCCAACAAAACTTTATTTACAAAAACACGCAGCCATCTTCAACCTGATAAAGGGCATCTATGAGAAACCTACAGCCAATATCATACTTAACGGTGAGAGAATGGATGCTTTCCCCAGGAAATAAGACAAGGATAAGAGAAGAATGTCCATTTCAACCACTTCTATTTATTTTTGTTTTGTTTTTTCAAGACAGAGTCTCGCTCTGTCACCCAGGCTGGAGTGCAGTGGCTTGATCTCAGCTCACTGCAACCTCCGCCTCCTGGGTTCAAGGGATTCTCATGCCTCAGCCTCCCAAGTAGCTGAAATTACAGGTGCACGCCACAACGCCTGACTAATCTTTTGTATTTTTTAGTAGAGACTGGGTTTCACCATGTTGGCCAGGCTGGTCTCAAACTCCTGACCTCAAGTGATCCACCTGCCTTGGCCTCCCAAAGTGCTGGGATTACAGGCATAAGCCACCATACACAGTCATTCCAACCACTTCTATTTAATGTTATACTGGAGGTTCTATCCAGGGCAATTAGGCAAGAAATACAAATTAAAGGAATCCAACTAGAAAGGAAGACATAAAACTATCTCTTCACAGACACACAACCTTGTATATGGAAAATCTTAAGGAATCTACTAAAAAACTATTAGAACTAACAAACAAATTCAGCAAGGTTGCAGGATACAAGATAAATAACAAAAATCAATTGTATTTCTACATACTTGCAATGAGCAATCCAAAGATGAAATTAAGAAAACAATTTCATTTATGATAGCATCAAAAAGAAGAAAATACATTTTATTGGAATACATTTAATGAAAGAAGTGTAAACTTAGAAAACAACAAACATTGTTGAAAGAAATTAAAGACAGTCTTTAGGCCGGGCGTGGTGGCTCACACCTGTAATCCCAGCACTTTGGGAGGCTAAGGTGGGAGGATCATGAGGTCAGGAGATCGAGACCATCCTGGCTAACACGGTGAAACCCTGTCTCTACAGAAAATACAAAAAAATTAGCTAGGCATGGTGGCAGGCACCTGTAGTCCCAGCTACTAGGGAGGCTGAGGCAGGAGAATGGAGTGAACCCAGGAGGCGGAGCTTGCGGTGAACCGAGATCGTGCCACTGCACTCCAGCCTGGGCGACAGTGTGAGACTCTGTCTCAAAAAAAAAAAAAAAAAAAAGACAGTCTTTAGTGGAATGTATGCAGAGGTTTTTTAAAAAAGAAATTAAAGACCATCTAAATAATTGGAAAAACTGGCCAGGCACGGTGGCTCCTGCCTGTAATCCCAGCACTTTGGGAGGCAGGTGGAAGGAGTGCTTGAGTCCAGGAGTTCAAGACCAACCTGGACAACATGGCAAGACACTGGCTCTACAAAAAATTAGCCCAGCATGGTGGCATGCACCTGTAGTCCCAGCTACTCAGGAGGCTGAGGTGGGAGGATTGCTTGAGACCAGATGTTGGAGGCTGCAGTAAACTGAGATCATGCCACTGTACTCCAGCCTGGGCAACAGAGCCAGACTCTGTCTCAAAAAAAAAAAAAAAAATTGGAAAAACATCCTGTGTTTATGGATTAAGTAATGTTAATGTTTATGGATTAAGTAATGTTAAGTAAGACTTAACGTTGTTAAAAATGCCAATTCTTCCCAAATTGATCTTTTGATATAATGCAATCCCCATCAGAATCTGAGATGACTATTTTATAGAAATTGACAAGCTGATTTTAAAATTCATATGGAATTGCATTAGACCAAGAATAGCCAAAACAATGTTTAAGAAGAAAAACAAAGTAGGAGGGTTCATATTTCCTGATTTCAAAACTTACTTCAAAGCAGCAATAATCAATGCAGTGTGGTACTGGAAAAGGATAGACTTATAGAGAAATGGAATAGAATTGAAAGTCCAGAAATAATCTCACTCATCTGTGGTCAACTGATTTTTGACAAGGGTGCCAAGCATTGGTGAGAATATGGAGAAACTGGAATTTTCATGCATTGCTGGTGGGAATGTAAAATGGTATGGCCTCTGTGGAAAACAGTTTGGCAATCCTAAAATTTTCAATATAAAATTACCATATATTCCAGTAATTCCACTCGTAGGTATTTATCCAAAAGAATTAAAAGCAGGAACTCAAACAGATACTTGGATACCAATGTATATATCAGCATTATTCATGATAGCCAAAAGGTGGGCCCAATTCAAATGTCTAACAATTAATGAATAGATAAACAAAATGTGAACACACAATGGAACACTATTTGGCCATAAAAAAAGAATGAAGTAAGGCCGGGAGCAGTGGCTTACGCCTGTAATCCCAGCACTTTGGGAGGCCGAGGCAGACAGATCACCTGAGGTCGGGAGTTCAAGACCAGCCTGACCAACATGGAGAAACTCCATCTCTACTAAAAATACAAAATTAGCCGGGCATGGTGGCCCATGCCTGTAATCCCAGCTACTCAGGAAGCTGAGGCAGGAGAATCGCTTGAACCCAGGAGGTGGAGGTTGCAGTGAGCCAAGATGGCACCATTGCACTCCAGCCTGGGCAACGAGAGTGAAACTCTGTCTCAAAAAAAAAAAAAAAAAGAATGAAGTACTAATAGATGCTACAACATGTATGAACCTTGAAAACATAATAAATGAAACTAGTCGGTCATAAAATATCTCATATTATATGATTACATTCATATGGAATGTCCAGAACAGGGAAGACAGGTAACAATACATAGATTTCTTAAGGCTGGAGGTGTAGGAGAGGGGAGGATGGGAAGGTGATAGGTAAAGAATACAGAATTTCTTTTTGAGAAATTATTATAAAGTTGACCATGGTAATGGTTGCACACATATGCGAATATACTAAAAACCATTGTGCTGTACACTTTAAGTGGGTGAACTGTATGGTATGTGAATTATATCTCAATAAAGCTGTTAATAAAAATAAAAGAACAAATAACCAGCCATGGGTCATAGTTTGCTTACTCCTGGCTTTAAGCAACAACTATCATATTTACTCACTGTTATTTGTCCATTCTCACATTGCTATAAAATACTTGAGACTAGGTAATTTATAAAGAAAAGAGGTGGCTGGGTGTGTTGGCTCACGCCTGTAATCCCAGCGCTTTGGGAGGCCAAGGTGGGTGAATCACCTGATGTCAGGGGTTCAAGACCAGCCTGACCAGCATGGTGAAACACCGTCTCTATTAAAAATACAAAATTAGCCAGGCGTGGTGCCGCATGCCTGTAATCCCAGCTACTCGGGAGGCTGAGGCAGGAGAATCGCTTGAACCTGGGAGGTGAAGGTTGCAGGGAGTGGAGGTCGCACCACTGCACTCCAGCCTGGGCAACAAGAGTGAAACTCCATCTTAAAATAAATAAATAAATAAATAAGGCCGGGCGCGGTGGCTCACGCCCGTATTCCCAACACTTTGGGAAACCTAGGTGGCAGATCACCTGAGGTCAGGAGTTGGAGACCAGCCTGGCCAATATGGTGAAATCCTGTCTCTACTAAAAATGCAAAAATTAGCCGGGCTTGGTGGCAGGAGCCCGTAATCCCAGCTTCTCGGGTGGCTGAGGCAGGAGAATCGCTTGAACCTGGGAGGCAGAGGTTGCAATGAGCCAAGATTGCGCCACTGCATTCCAGCCTGAGAGAGTAAGACTCCATCTCAAAAAATAATAAATAAATAAATGAAAAATAAAAGAGGTTTAATTGGATTGTGGCTCTGCAGGCTGTACAGGAAGCATAGTGATTTCTGCTTCTGCTTCTAATCATGGCAGAAGGCAAAAGGGGATCGAGGCCTCTCACATGGCAGGAGCAAGAGAGAGAGTGAGCAGGGAGGTGCAACACGTTTTTAAACAACCAGATCTCACAAGAACTCACTCACTATCACAAGAACAGCACCAAGGGAATAGTGCCCAAACCATGCATGAGAAATCCACCCCTATGATCCAATCACCTCCCACTAGGTCCCACCTGTAACACTGGGGATTACAATTCGACATGAGATTTGGTGGGGACACAAATCCAAACCACATCATTTGCTCATGATTCTGCAATTTGAACAGAATTTGGCAGGGACAGCTGGTCTCTAGTCTATGTGGCAAGGGTTGGGGCAACTTGAACAGGGCTGAATGATCCACTTCCAAACTGGCCTTACTCACACGGAAGGCAAGTAAGACCCTAGCTGTGATGTTGGCAAGGGTCTCCAGCTCTTCTCCACATGGGCTCTCCATGAAGCTAGGTTGGGTTTCTCACAGCGTGTTGGTCTCAAGGTGATTGGACTTCTGAACATGGTGTCTGGCTTCCTCCACAGGGCAAATATGGAAATTGTCAGGCCTTCTTAAGGTTTACATCTGTAACTGACACAGCATCACTTCTACCACATTCTCTTAGTTAAAACACGTTACAGCCCAGTCCAGGTTCAAGGGGAGGGAACTAACAATGGTGTGAATATTCAGATACACAGTTATCTGGGGACGACCAAGGTTACTCTCTATCACAGTCCATCTTCTGTCTCCTAATGATTCACTTGCTCTTACATGTACAATACACTCACTGCTCCTTAATTCCCCCCAAAGTCTCACCCCATTAATGTGCTAGTATTGAGCTTGACGTCCATACTTTCCTCATCTAAATTAAAGCCAAGTACGAATGAGGCTTCAATTTCAATGGATGCTGCTCTCGATCTGAAGATCTTTGAACTTAAGAGACAAGTTATCCACTCCCCACACACAATGGTGAGGCAGGGAAGAGAAAATTATAATTGACACTTACTAAAAAGGAGGAAATAGCCAGGCATGGTGGCTCACGCCTGTTATCTTATCACTTTGGGAGGCCGATGCGGGCAGATTACCTGAGGTCAGGAGTTCAAGACCGGCC
Source organism: Homo sapiens (assembly GCF_000001405.40). Classification (NCBI taxonomy): domain Eukaryota; kingdom Metazoa; phylum Chordata; class Mammalia; order Primates; family Hominidae; genus Homo; species Homo sapiens. Next base: position 35,699,855 of record NC_000006.12, read on the forward strand.
TGGTCAACATGGCGAAACCCTATCTCTACTAAAAATACAAAAATTAGCCAGGTGTGGTGGTGCATGCCTGTAATCCCAGCTACTCGGGAGACTGAGGCAGGAGAATAGATTGAACCCAGGAGGCAGAGACTGTAGTGAGCTGAAATTGCGCCACTGCACTCCAGTCTGGGCGACAGAGTGAGACTCTGTCCAAAAGAAAAAAATGCAACTACCCTGAAGAACAAGGACTTAACTAAGGAATTGTGTCCAGCTGGATTTCAGAATTGCTACGGACCTGTGGCTGCTATGTGCCTGCCACTTCTTTTTTATTTTATTTATTTTTTTCTGAGACAGTCTCGCTCTGTCGTCCAGGCTGGAGTACAGTGGTGCAATCTCGGCTCACTGCAATCTTTGCCTCCTGGGTTCAAGCGATTCTCCTGCCTCAGCCTCCCAAGTAGCTGGGACTACAAGCATGTGCCACCACACTTGGCTAATTTTTATATGAAGCTGCCTTCTTAAGGCTTAAGCCAGAAGTGGCACAACATCACTACCACTATATTCTATTAATTAAAGCAGGTCACAGAGCAGCCCAGAATCAAGGGATACACAGGATATGAATACCCGTAGCCATGGCTCAGTCTATCACAAGAGTGATTTGTCAGGGTATCCACCTTGGTAGGCCCCGAACTCCAAATTCATACCCTTAATCCCAAGAAGCTTTCAAAGGTATGGCTCAGCCTCTCCAATGGCTCCTTCAGATTGGCAAATGCACTTGGGCAAAAGCAGGTCCGAGTGCTGGGCTCACCTCTCTGGTAGAGTTGCCACATTTAATAAATAAAAAAGGCCAGGCACGGTGGCTCACGCCTGCAATCCCAGCACTTTGGGAGGCCGAGGTGGGCGGATCACCTGAGGTCAGGAGTTCGAGACCAGCCTGACCAATATGGCGAAACCCTGTCTCTACTAAAAATACAACAAATTAGCCGGGCATGGTGGTGCACACCTGTAATCCCAGCTACTCTGGAGGCTGAGGCAGGAGAATCACTTGAACCCAGGAGGCAGAGGCTGCAGTGAGCCAAGATCAAGCCACTGCACTCCAGCCTGGGCAACAGACCAAGACTCCATCTAAAAAATAAATTAAAAAATAAATAAATAAAAAAATTTAAAAATAGGATGTCCAGTTAAATTTTAATTTCAGATAAGCAACAAATACTTTTTTTAGTATAAGTATATCCCAAATATTGCAGGAACATAATTTGCATATGAAAAAAGTATTCAGTGTTTATCTGAAATTCAAATTTAACTGGGACACACACTGAAAAATTATCCATTATCTGAAATTCAGATAAGAATTTAACTAGGAGTGCTGTGTTTTTGTTTGTTTGTTTGTTTGTTTGTTTTTGTTTTTTGTTTTTTTGTTTTTTTTTTTTTGAGACGGAGTCTCGCTCTGTCGCCCAGGCTGGAGTGCAGTGGCGGGATCTCGGCTCACTGCAAGCTCCGCCTCCCGGGTTCACGCCATTCTCCTGCCTCAGCCTCCCAAGTAGCTGGGACTACAGGCGCCCGCCACTACACCCGGCTAATTTTTTGTATTTTTAGTAGAGACGGGGTTTCACCGTTTTAGCCGGGATGGTCTCGATCTCCTGACCTCGTGATCCGCCCGCCTCGGCCTCCCAAAGTGCTGGGATTACAGGCGTGAGCCACCACGCCCGGCCTGTTTGTTTGTTTTTTGAGACAGGGTCTCACTCTGTTGCAAGGCTGGAGTGCAGTGGTGCAATCTCAGCTCACTGCAGCCTCAACCTCCCTTGCTCAAGCAATCCTCCCACCTCAGCCTCCTGAGTACCTGGGACTACAGATGTGCACCATGATGCCCTACTAATTTTGTTTATTTTTTGTAGAGACAGGGTCTCACTATGTTGCCCAGGCTGGTCTCGAACTCCTGGGCTCAAGCACACCTCCCACCTCAGCCTCCCAAAGTGTTGGGATTACAGGTGTGAGCCACCACACCTGGCCAGGAATGCCGTATTTTTTTTTTTCTTAGGTGGAGTCTCACTCTGTCACCCAGGCTGGAGTGCAATGGCATGATTTCGGCTCACTGCAACCTCTGCCTCCCAGGCTCAAGCAATTCTCATACCTCAGCCTCCCAAGTAGCTGGGATTACAAGTGTGCGCCACCACACCCAGCTAATTTGTGTATTTTTAGTAGAGATGGGGTTTCACCTTGTTGGCCTGGCTGGTCTGGAACTCCTGACCTCAAGTGATCTGCCCATCCTGGCCTCCTAAAGTGCTGGGATTACAGGCGTGAGCCACCATGCCTGGCTGGAATGTTGTATTTTTATCTGGCAACCCTAACCTCTCTGGACTCCTACATTTTCCTCTATCTTGGTCCAATAACTCCTCACTATCTCGTTAGGTTTTTGATGCATTTAAGATTTAAATCATAATTACTGAATGATTAAATAATCTCTACAACAAACCCTTGTGACATGAGTTTACCTATGTAATAAACCTTCACATGTACCCCGAACCTACAATAAAGGTTAAAAAAAAAAAGACAGAAAAGAAAAGATAGTCTTTTGACAAATGGTGCTAAAACAACTGGATAATGGCATGCAAAATATAAACTTTGATTTTTTTTTTTTTTGAGACGGAGTCTTGCTCTGTCCCCCAGGCTGGAGTGCAGTGGCATGATCTCGGCTCACTGCAACCTCCACCTCCTGGATTCACGCCATTCTACTGCCTCAACTTCCCGAGTAGCTGGGACTACAGGCGCCCGCCACCACGCCCGGCTAATTTTTTGTATTTTTACTAGAGATGAGGTTTCACCGTGTTAGCCAGGATGGTCTCGATCTCCTGACCTCGTGATCCACCCGCCTCGGCCTTCCAAAGTGCTAGGATTACAGGCATGAGCCACCGCGCCCAGCCATATAAACTGATTTGTATCTCACACCACATAGAAAAATTAACTAAAAATGGATCCTGACCTACATGCAAAACCAAAAGCTCTAACATTATTAGAACACATAGAAAATCTCTGTGACTTTGTGTTAAACAAAGATTTATTTGATATGAAACTAAAGGAATAATACATTTAAAAATTCGTATTTTATCAAAAAAAAGGTTTTTTCAAAGTTAAATTCAGGCTGGGTGCCGTGACTCATGCCTGTAATTTCAGCACTTTGGGAGGCCAAGGCGGGCAGATCACCTGAGGTCAGGAGTTCAAGACCAGCCTGGCCAACATGGCGAAACCCTGTCTCTATCAAAAATACAAAAATTAGCTGGGTGTGATGGCAGGCACCTGTAATCCCAGCTACTTGGGAGGCTGAGGCAGGAGAATTGCTTGAGACTGGGAGGTGGAGGTTGCAATGAGCCGAGATCATGCCACTGCACTCCAGCCTGGGCAACAAGAGCAAGACTCCATCTCAAAAAAAAAAAATTAGCCAGGTGTGGTAGTGGGCACTTGTAATCCCAGCTACTCGGGAGGCTGAGGCACAAGAATCACTTGAACCCGGGAGGCGGAGGTTGTAGTGGGCTGAGATCAAGCTGCTGTCCAGCCTGGCCAACAGAACATGACTCCATCTCAAAAAAAATAAAAATAAAAGTTAAATCCCAACACATAGAAATGATACTCAAGGTGATTGATATCCTAAATACCCTGATTTGATCATTATACATTCCATGCATGTAACAAAATATCACATGTACCCCATAAATATGTACTAATATTATTTATCAATTTTAAAATATTTAAAGATATTTGTCTAGCATATGTAGTTGTCTTTGAAGTATTGGTCCAATTCTAATTGGCCTTTCTATACTTGGGGAAATTCCTCTATTATGGGTTTTGCCTCTCAAACTAGAAGTCAGAACTCAGATTCCCAGCCTCCCTTGCAGCTAGAACATTGACATGTGACCCAGTTCTACCAATCACACACCCAAGAAAGACTTCAATTCTGAAGTGCACAGCAGGAGGCTTGGTGGTCACAGTGGCAACAGAAGTGGTTCCCCAGGGGTTGTAAGGTCAAGTTCCTGAAGTTGAATTTGGCATTGGTGCTGGAGGCAGGAGTGGCTGTGCTAACATTAAGTTCTCAGCATCAGTGTTCAGCAATGGTGGTAGCAGCCATTTTCTCTGCAATGTGATTGTAGCCACTACCCCTGGAAGCTTAGCCTGGAATCTGTCTCTCTCCTCCCTCCCAACGATTCTGTGAGTTACCTAACAACCTGAAATAAGCCCCCTTTCTGCTCAGTCTAGTCAGATAAGACTCTGTTGCTTGTAAGTAAGATCCACTAATGATACACCTGGTTTCTGGTCTCTGATCTTTCACTAAATAGTTGTGCAAACTTGAGAAATTTCTCTCCCCTCCACACTGCAGTTTATACTTCTATAGAGAAGTGGGGGCAGGTATCTAGAAAGGAGCTCCAGGCCCACAGACTCACAGACAAGTAATTGAGAGCCCAGAGAAGTCTGTTGGCCACTGTGGTTTCCAGGATGACCACTGCCAGATCTCAAGCTGCTTCTTTCTGTTCTTCCTAAGGTGCTGAACTCCACTGTGGCACCTGCTGCCTTCATTTGGTTGTACCATTTCTGATGATCCAGTGACACCTCAAGAGGAAAGAATGGTTTTCCATCTTTATTGCTCAAAAACCAGGAATATATCTGGGTGGCTGGATTTAGCTCCTAAGACAATCTCCCAGTTGCAGAAGCTGCTTTGAGACACCAAGATCAGTGGGAGCCTCGGGAGAAAGCCCGATAGCTTGTCAACATGTTTTTTTGGGATTTATAGATACCATATATCACATATAGGCCTTTGTTTATAAATTGTATATTTTTGTAGACTGAGGTACAAAAATACTTACTGTTTGCAATCCCAATGACAATATGATTTTTTTTTTTGCCTTGACAAACTGATTCTAAAATTCATTTGGAAAAGTTAGCATGTAAAGACTGCTATGAAAATTCTGAAAAAGAATTATAGCCCTACCAGAGATGATAACATAGTACAAAACTGTCACTGAAACCATTTGATTCTGCTGGCCGGGCGCGGTGGCTCACACCTGTAATCCCAGCACTTTGGGAGGCCGAGGCGGGCGGATCACGAGGTCAGGAAATCGAGACCATCCTGGGTAACACGGTGAAACCCCATCTCTACTAAAAATACAAAAAATTAGCCGGGCGTGGTGGCAGGTGCCTATAGTCCCAGCTACTCAGGAGGCTGAGGCAAGAGAATGGCGTGAACCTGGGAGGTGGAGCTTGCAATGAGCTGACATCGCGCCACTGCACTCCAGCCTGGGCAACAGAGCAAGACTCCGTCTCAAAAACAACAACAACAACAACAACAAACAATTTGATTCTGCCATGTGAAATGCAAATATATATATATGTACAAATATATATATATATATATATATATATATATATATATATATATATATTTTTTTTTTTTTTTTTTTTTTTTTGGAGACAGTGTCTCACTCTGTCACCCAGGCTGGAGTGCAATGGCGTGATCTTGGCTCACTGCAACCTCTGCCTCCCAGGTTCAAGCAATTCTCCTGCCTCAACCTCCTGAGTAGCTGGGATTACAGGCACACACCACCATGCTCGGCTAATTTTTGTATTTTTAGTAGAGATGGGGTTACACCATGTTGGTCAGGCTGGTCTCGAACTCCTGACCTCATGATCTGCCCACTTCGGCCTCCCAAAGTGCTGGGATTACAGGCATGAGCCACTGTGCCCGGCCTGCAAATATATTTTAATTAAATCATGCAAATGAAATAATATAAAATATAGAAATAGTTCTAACTACCTATGGACATTTCAGAGCAGTGAGGAAACATTTAAGTATTCAGTACTAATGGTGGAAAAACTGATTAGCTATCTGGGGGTGAGGAGGGTGAGGGGAGCTAGGTCCTTACCTCATTTCTTACAACAAAAATACTCCAGATGAATCAAAGATCTGAAGGTAAAAGATGAAACTATAAAGATAATATAAGGGAAAATGTTGGCTAGATGCAGTGGCTCACACCTGTAATCCCAACACTTTGGGAGGCCCAGGCACATGGATCACTTGAGGCCAGGAGTTAGAGACCAGCCTTGCCAACATGGCACAACCCCGTCTCTACTAAAAATACAAAAATTATCCAGGTGTGGTGGCTTGCACCTGTAATCCCAGCTACTCGGTAGGCTGAGGCAGGAGAATCACTTGAACTGGGAGGCGGAGCTTGTAGTGAGCTGAGATGGCACCACTGCACTCCAGCCTAGGCAACAGAGCCAGACTCTGTCTCAAACAAACAAATAGTTTAGAAATACATAAGAGGGGCCAGGCGCAGTGGCTCATGCCTATAATCCCAGCACTTTGGGAGGCCGAGACGGGCAGATCACCTGAGGTCAGGAGTTCAAGACCAGCCTGGCTAATATGGTAAAACCCTGTCTCTACTAACAATACAAAAATTAGCTGTGCATGGTGGCGCATGCCTGTAATCCCAGCTAATCCGGAGGCTGAGGCAGGAGAATCACTTGAACCTAGGAGGCGGAGGTTGCAGTGAGCCAAGATTGTGCCATTGCACTCCAGCCTGGGCAACAAGAGTGAAACTCTGTCTCAAAAAAAAAAAAAAAAAAGAAAAGAAAAGAAAAAGAAAAAAGAAATACATAAGAGGATACTGCACCTCACTCATAATGAAAATTATGCAATTTAATATAATGATATGCCATTTGTATCTACTTGATTTAAAAGTTTGATAATATACAGTATAGGTAAGAATGTGGGAAACAGGGCAAAGCCATTTTCGTTTGTGGGAGTGAAGATTGTGTAACCTCTTTGTCAGACAATTTAGCAATGTTTATCAAATTTTAAAACCCACATACTCAATGACCTAATATTCCACTTCCAGGAATTCATTCTATAGCTGTACTCCTACATGTTGGCCAAACTATATATACAACGATGTTCTCTGCGGTATTTGTAACAGCAAGAAACTAAAGACAATTTGATCATCAGTAGCAGGGGATTGTTTTATTAAATTATGGCTTTGCCATTCAACATATGCAACAATTTAAAAGAATATGGTATGTATCTATGTGCTTACATAGAAAAATCTATAAAATATATTAGGTGAAAAAGCAAAGCATAGAACAGAGTATAATGGATACTCCCACTTCTACTTTTTAAAAATCTTATATGTATAGTTAAATGTAATTAAAGTCCCAGTGGAACTTTATGGAAAGATATGCAAGAAACTCTTAACGGTGGTTATGCCTAAGGGGATGGGACTGGGAATCTAGGGAGGAAAAAGGACTCGTTTTTATTGTATTTCTCTTTATATTGTTTTAAGTTTATTACCAGATACTTGAACTACTTTCATAATTCAGATCACTGGTAAGTATGAGAAGACTTTTTTTTTTTTTTTTTTGAGATGGAGTTTCACTCTTATTGCCCAGGCTGGAGTGCAATGACGTGATCTCGGCTCACCACAACCTCTGCCTCCCAGTTTCAAGCAATTCTCCTGCCTCAGCCTCCCGAGTAGCTGGGATTACAGGCATGCACCACCACGGCCGGCTAATTTTTTTTTTTTGTATTTTTAGTAGAGACGGGGTTTCTCCATGATGGGGCTGGTCTCGAACTCCTGACCTCAGGTAATCCGCCCGCCTCGGCCTCCCAAAGTGCTGGGATTACAGGCGTGAGCCACCGCGCCCGGCCATGAAAAGACTTTTGACCTAACTTGTTTTTTTAACTTTTATTTTAGGTTCAGGGGTACATGTGCAGGTTTGTAATATAGGTGAACTCATGTTAAGGGAGTTTGTTGTACAGGTTATTTTGTCATCCAGGTACTAAGTTAGCACCCAAGAGTTATTTTTTCTGATCCTCTCCCTTCTCTCTCCTCCCACCCTCCACCCTCAAGTAAGCCCCAGTATCTGTTGTTCCCCTCTTTGTGTCCATGTGTTCTCATCATTTAGCTCCTACGTACATGTGAGAACATGCGGTATTTGGTTTTCTGTTCTTGCATTAGTTTGCTAAAGATAATGGCCTCCAGCTCCATGTTCTGGCAAAGGATATGATCTCCTGACTTCTGACCTAACTTGTGATAAGAAAAATGTAAACAAAGACCATGTTATACCTGTCAGAAAGATACATCATTTTCTCCCTAGAAGACTGCTACAGTTCTGTAATACAGTAGGTCGGTCAAGGTGTGGGAAAATATTATTGGTAAGAGCAAAGATTGATGAAACTTCTTCAGAGGGAAATTTGGCAATAACTAACACAGTCTTTGACCTGATAATTCCACTTCTAGGAATTTTTCCTGCAGAAATATTCCCATATATGCCAAGGAAGTAGGTAGGTATAAAGATCTAGTTCCTTACAGCATCATTTGTACTGAGTATAAATAACTTAAGGTCTGCCAACTGGTTAAATAAATAATGGTACATTCGTACAATGGAATTCTTTTTCTTGGGACAGAGTCTCCCTCTGTCACCCAGGCTGGAGTGCAGTGGTGTGATCTCAGCTCATTGCAACCTCCACCTCTCAGGTTCAAGAGATTCTCCTGCCTCAGCCTCCTGAGTAGCTGGGATGGGTGTGCACCACCACGCCTGGGTAATTTTTGTATATATAGTAGAGGTGGGCTTTCACCATGTTGGCCAGGCTGGTCTCAAACTCCTGACCTCAGGTGATCTACCCACCTTGGCCTCCCAAAGTGCTGGGATTACAAGCATGAGCCATTGCGCCTGGCCTTGTACAATGGAATTCTATATAGCATTTTTTTTTTTAATGAGGCAAATCTATGTATACTTGTAACAGAGATTGTTAGTTGTGCCCCAGTATCCATTCTTCTCTTCCCCTCTGATTTTTGAGCTGGGTATATGGCTATTTGGAATAAAGAATAAATTTCCCAGCCTCCTTTGCTGGTAGGTGTGCCCCTGTGTTCTTGTTAATGTTTTTGTTTGTTTGTTTGTTTGTTTTGCTGGATAGATGCAGATGTAATGGCAGGAGCTCAGACAGCCATATTGAAACATGAGGTAGAAGCCCCATGTTGAAGATGGCATAAAAATGACAGAAGGATCCTAGGTCCCTGATAATTATGGAATCCTGGTATTGCCTGGCCACTTACCTTTGGACTTCATTAGAGAGAGAAATCAATGTCTAATTTTGCAAGACACTGATATTTTTAATTTTCTTTCACTAGCAGCCAAACCTAATCTTAACTGATAGATATTATATTAGTCTGTTTTCACGCTGCTGATAAAGACATACCTGAGACTGGGCAAGTTACTAAAGAAAGAAGTTTAATTGGACTTACAGTTCTGCATAGCTGGGGAGGCCTCACAATCATGATGGAAGGCAAGGAGGAGCAAATCACATCTTACGTGGATATTGGCAGGCGAAGAGTGCTTGCACGGGAAAACTCCCCCTTATAGAACCATTGGATCTCGTGAGACTTATTCACTATTATGAGAACAGCATGGGAAAGACCTGCCCCCATGATTCAATTACCTCCTACTGGGTCCAAACCATATCACATATAATGATGTGGAATGATTTCTAAGATAAATTGTTAAATGCAAAAGCAAGGTGCAAGCAATGCATACAGTATGATACTATTTTTGGAAAAAAGTGCAGAAAGATATAACTATGTTCGCATATGGGCAACATTTTCCAGAAGTATATACTGTTTGAATTTTTCACCATGTGCAAATATAACTTATTCAAAAGTGAACTTTTAAAAATCAGTTTTAAACTAATTAAAAAATGATTTGTATTTCTAAACCATAACAATTTGATTTTTTAGAAATCAACATAGTTTGATGAAACTATGGTTGTTTTTTCTTTTCTTTCTTGTTTTCTATATTTGCAGGATTTTAAGATATTTACATGCAAAATAGAACAGTCCCAGACAATAAAAATAACTTATGCTTTAAATATTTCTGATTTGATGTCATGCAAACGCTTTCATTCCCAGGACCCCAAAGGTCAATATGTTGAACATACACTTTAGACTTGCAAGTCCATTCAGCAATATATATTGTGCATCTATGATCTTTAAAGCACTGCTTTTAGGTAAAAAAAAAAACAGACAAGAGATGTTTGTTCATGGAGCTGATGTTCTCACGGGACAAACAGGGTAATGCGATAAAAAGTCTTGAGAATTCCATTAGAGAGGGTAGTGAGGGAAGACCTCTGAGGAGGCAACATTTGTGCTAAGGCCCAAAAGATGAGAATTCCAGGAAATGATCCTAGCACATGCAGAAACAGAAGGATGCTCAGAGCAGTTGTGGAAGAACAAGGGGCAGGAAGAGTAGCTTCAGAAAAGGTAGCAGGGCAGCATCTGTGTGCTTCAGCGAGAGATCCTCTGCACCTAACCAGAAGTGCAAAACATAGGGCTGGGCGCAGTGGTTCATGCCTGTAATCCCAGCTCTTTGGGAGGCTGAGGTAGGAGGATTGCTTGAGCCCAGGAGTTCGAGACCAGCCTGGACAACATAGGAAACCCAGTCTCTACAAAACATAAAACAATTAACTGGGCATGGTGGTGTGCCTGCAGTTCCAGCTACTCAGTGGGAGGATCACCTGAGCCCAGGGAGGTTGAGGCTATAGTGAGTCATGATTGCACAACTACACTCCAACCTGCGCTACAGAGTGAGATCTTGTCTCAAAAAAAAAAAGGTGTGAAAAATAAAAAGCCAATGATACCAAGAGCTGGTCAAAATGTGGAACAGTTGGAACTGTCATACTTTGCTGGTGAGAACATACAGTCACTTTGGAACACAGTTTAGCAGTTTTCTTTTGAAGTTAAGCATACACACATTTGCCATACGACTCAGCAATTCTGCTCCCAAGACAAATAAAAACATGTGTCCTCAAAAGGAGCTGTAGAAGAGTGTTCACAGCAACTTTTTCATAATAGCCCAAAATGACAAACAACCATAATGTCCATCAACAGGAGAATGAATAAACAAACTATGGTATAACCATCTAGTGGAATACAATACAGCAATAAAAAGGAACACACTACTTAATATGTGCAAAAACACGAACAAATCTTATAAACATTAAGTTGAGCAAAAGAAGCCAAGATACAAAAGAGTATATACTGTGTGACTCCATTTATGTAAAATTCTAGAAAATATAAATCTAATCTATACTGGTAGAAAGCAGACTGGACCGGGTAGGGATGGGCCCTTGCTTGGGCCAGGTAGCGATTGATTGCAAAAAGAAACAAACACAGCCAGTGCAGTGGCTCATGCCCGTAATCCCATCACTTTGGGAGGCTGAGGTAGGCAGATGGCTTGAGTCCGCGAAGTCAAGACCAGCTTGGGCAACATGGTGAAACTCTGTTTCTACAAAAAGAAAAAAAAGCCAAGAGTGGTGGCTCGCACCTGTAGTCCCAGCTACTTGGGAGGCTGAAGTGAGAGGATCACTTGAGTCTGGGAAGTTGAGGCTGCAGTGAGCCATGATCTCGCCACTGCACTCCAGCCTGGGCGACAAAGTCCCTGTCTCAAAAGAAAAAAAAAAAAAAAAGAAGGCCGGGAGCTGTGGGTCATGCTGTAATCCTAACAGTTTGGGAGGCCAAGGTGGGTGCATCACCTGAGGTCAGGAGTTCAAGACCAGCCTGGCCAACATGGTGAAACCCTGTCTCTACTAAAAATACAAAAATTAGCTGGGCTTGGTGGCGGGTGCCTGTAATCCCAGCTACTCAGGAGGCTGAGGCAGGAGAATTGCTCGAACCCGGGAGGTGAAGGCTACAGTGAGCTGAGGCCGTGCCACTGTGCTCCAGCCTGGGCAACAGAGCAAGACTCCACTTCAAAAAAAAGGAGAGGAGAGGAGAGGAGAGGAAAGGAAAGAAAGAAAAGAAAAAGAAACAGGGAAGCTTTTAGAGTGGAGGAATTAATCTATATTGTGATAGACATTACACAGGTAAACATTTGTCAAAACTCATCAAACTGTACACTTAAATGGGTGCATTTTATCATAAGTAAATTATGCGCATGTAAAGTTGATTTAAAACACACAGTGTGTGTGTGTACTTACTAGTCTGGTACATTATGTTTCTACTTCTGTCTGTTTTTTTGTTTTTGTTTTTTGAGACAGTCTCGCTCTATCGCCCAGGCTAGAGTGCAGTGGTGCAATCATAGTTCACTGTAACCTTGAACTCCTGGCTCATGATCCTCCTACTTAAGCCTCCCAAGTTGCTGGGACTACAGGTGTGTACAATCGCACTGGGCTAATTAAAAAAAAAAAAAAAAAAGTAGAAACAGCGTGTCCCTATGTCGCCCAGGCTGGCCTCAAACTTCTGGGCTCAAGCAATCCTCCCGCCTCAGCCTCCCAAAGTGCTGGGATTATAGGCATGAGCCACACCTGGCCTCTCTGTATTTTCTAGAAAATAGCTTGCGAATAATTGTTTGTTACCCGCTCTCTTTTTTCCCTTTATCCCCTGCGCCAAAGTGAATTAAGCCTGTCACCTGGAATTTCTAACTATTAAGGCCAACTCCATCATCTCAACCCTTGCCACAGAGTTGTTTGTTTGTTTCCATTTTACAGGGGAATCTTAGAGAAGGCTTTTGCAGAATGGGAGGTGTCAGGAGAAAGCCCCAGAAGGGGGTAAGGAGGGTAAGGGGTGGTAGGTATCTTCCAGGGAGATATGCCTGGAAGTTCAAAGAGAAGCATTGAGACCCTTATGGTTTGCTAAGGAAGAGCTAGTTGGGCCTGGCACTAGGAAAGGGCCCAGGCTTTGTTTTGTAAGCCAGTTCTCTCACTACCTGCCCCTTCACAGCAAGGAGCCAGATTTGTCTACCATCCTGTCCTAGTTCTCAGAGATCCGAGGGCTGTCATTGCATAGCTAGATCCTGCTTTCACCCTGTCATGCAAACCGCCAACAGGTATCTCCCAAGCCTGGCAACATGCAGGGTGGTAAGCTGGCTACCCTCAGGGAGATGCTGAGGCACCAGTGCCTTGTCTTCTGAGACTCACTTCTGATGGCAGGAACTGGGCTGACCCTAGAACTGAAGCTGGCCGTGTGGCCTGGGCACTCCCCAAAACTACTTAGTAAACCTTCATCACAGTTTTGCTTTCCTGTTCAGGTCCTGTGGGCACAAAGCAAAACTAATTTTATCCCAAAGCCAGGTGTGGTGGTGGGTGCCTGTAGTCCCAGCTACTCGGGAGGCTGAGGTGGGAGGATCACTTGAGCCCTGGAGGTTAAGGCTGCAGTGAGCCGTGATCACGCTACTGCACTCCAGCCCAGGCGACAATGCAAGATCTGGTCTCTAAAAAAAAAAAAAAAAAAAAAAAAAAGAAGAAGAAGAAAGAAAGAAAAAAATCTTATAACATGAAGCCAGTATTAGTAGAGTGGGCATAAGCGGGTGGGGCAAAAAGAGGGGAGTGACTCCTTGGGGCATGTGGTGAGTGAGGAGGATGTGGCTCAGGTCAATGGGAGCCACACTTGTTGGGGGAACCTTAGGACTAGAATGAGGCAGCAGCCAAGGCCAAATCCTGTGGCCTAGAAGAGGGACAGCCCAATGGAATTTTGCCTCATTATGAAGACCGTTGGCTCCAGTGACAATATTAGCTAATGTCTACTAGGCACTTAATGAAGCTGGTGGTCTAGATGGTCTAAGGTGCCTTCACTAATTTAATCTCCAACAACAACCTTATGAGGTAGACACTACCACCCTTTGACAGTTAAGGAAATGAAGGCACAGAGGTTTTAAAAGACCTACCCTTCTAGCAAGCAGCACAGCTGTGACATATGCTCTAAGTCACAGCACCTCTCAGAAGTCAGTGTAGGAGGCTGAAGCTGCTAGCTGGCGGGTGGGGGCCCAAGGAGCAGCAAACGCTCCTGCCCTGGGGATTCTCCTGTGAGCTTTTTCCCAGACTTAAATGCTCAATTTGCATAAAGGGTAGCAGAGAATGTAAAAAGCAGCCACTTGTCCAAAACTGTGCAGCCACCCAGAAGGGTTGTGACCTGCCTCTCCGGACTCACACCCTCACATCCTCTCTCCCCTGCCTTCTTGCCCCACCTGTCCAACTACTAAGCCTTGGGGTCCAAATATTTTCTTGACTTCCTGCCCTTCTCCCTTCCCTCTGATTGTCAAAATCTGTCAAGACTCAGCCCAAATCTCACCTCTTCCAGAAATCCCTCACAGACATCCCTGATTGGAACAATTCTGTCCCCAGCCCATCCACTGAGATGTGAGGCTCTTTCAACTGAGGCCTGGGGTCACTTCTCAGGGGGTCTGTCTCCCTGGGGGCATAAAACCACAGGGCTTGCTTAGTAAGGAGCTGACACCCACCCATGGTTAAGCAGGTCCTTAAGGGGTTATGAGGACATCTCTCTTTACTGACTTGAAAAATCTTAGGCGGCCAGGCACAGTGGCTCACACCTGTAATCCCAGCACTTTGGGAGGCTGAGGTGGGTGGATCACCTGAGGTCAGGAGTTCAAGACCAGCCTGGCCAACATGGTGAAACCCCGTCTCTACTAAAAATACAAAAATTAGCCGGGCGTGGTGGCATGTGCCTGTAATCCCAGCTACTCAGGAGGCTGAGGCAGGAGAATTGCTTGAACCCAGGAGGCAGTGGTTGCAGTGAGCCGAGATGGAGACATTGCACTTCAGCCTGGGTGACAAGAGCGAAACACTGCCTCAAAAAAAAAAAAAAAGAAAAGAAAAACAAGATGTATAGGATTTTACTCTCAAAATGTATTTTCTTCAAAATACTCTGTGTTCTGCTGGGTGTGGTGGCTCACGCCTGTAATCACAGCACTTTGGGAGGCCAAGGTGGGCAGATCACCTGAGGTCAGGAGTTTGAGACCAGCCTGGCCAACATGACAAAACCCCATCTCTACTAAAAATACAAAAATTAGCTGAGCATGGTGGCGGGAGCCTGTAATCCCAGCTACTTGGGAGGCTGAGGCATGAGAATCGCTTGAACCTGGGAGATGGAGGTTGCAGTGAGCTATCGTGCCATTGCACTCCAGCCTAGGCAACAAGAGTGAAACTCTGTCTCAAAAAAAAAAAAAAAATTCTGTGTTCTATAAAAATAAAATAGGTTTAGCGTGGCAGATGTCTTACATAAATGAAGGTGAGCCCTACTTCTTCATTCCATTAAATTTATTTATTAATTTTTTTAATTTGGAAAGAAAAGGCTGGAGTGTAGTCGCACGATGTCGGCTCACTGCAACCTCCACCTCCTGGGTTCAAGCGATTCTCCTGCTTTAGCCTCCCAAGTCTATAGGTGCATGCCACCACGCCTGCGTAATTTTTGTATTTTCAGTAGAGACAGGTTTTCACCATGTTGGCCAGGCTGCTCTTGAACTCCTGGCCTCAGGTGATCCACCCGCCTTGGCCTCCCAAAGTGCTGGGATTACAGGTGTGAGCCACTGCTCCTGGCATTCCATTAAATGTTAATGAGTCCATTCATTTATTCATTTCACAGCATCTTCAGCCAAACTGGCTGTGAGTAAATCCCACTCCGCCACTTACTAGGCACGTCAGCTTAGGTCAATTGGTTACTTCATCTCTCCGTGTATCATTTTTCCCAACTAGAAGATGGAGATGATAATGATAGTACCTATCAAGGTTGTTATGAGGCTTAAACAAGCTTATATATATATGCTTGTTTATATATATGTATGTGCAAAGTAATCAGAACAGTGCCATTATTGCCAGCACTATTATAAAATGTGTTCCAATAGAGACAAAGAGGGCCCCCCTCAGTCTAGAAAGATTTGGAGTTCCTTGCTAGGTCAAGGAGGAAAGGGCATCCAGGCAGCAGGAACGGCATGTACAAAGGCTCAGAGGTGTACACCAGTACAGCAAGCTGAGGGAACCAGGAGGAATTCCATGAGGCTGGAACTTAACGTGCAGCTGGGGGCAGGCTGCGAGTTGCATGCTGTGCATGGCCGGCTGGCTGTGCCATGCCAGGCATTTGGGTTTCCAATCTGATGGTAATGGGGAGCCTGTAAAGGGCTCTAAGTTACAGATGAGCCGTGTGTTTGTGGCAGATCATTCTGGCATCCATGTGGAGGATGGAGAGAGGAGGATGGTATAAACCTGAAGATGGGATCCTTCCAGCCCCTGTGCCATTAGAAACCCTGGGAGGGAAGTGGTGAGAAATGCCAAGGCAGTGGTGGTGAGGCCTTAAGGAGGGATTGGATGGAAAGGATAGGGCAAGAATAACCCATGCGATATGAGGACTGATTGGATGAGGTAGGGGAGGGCAGAATCTAGGGTGGCCCGAAAGTTTCTGTCATGCAACATTAGTTACCAAGATAGGGGAGACAGGTGGGGGCAATGGCTCGCATCTGTAATCCCAGCAACTCAAGACGCCGAGGTAGGAGGATTGCTTGAGGCCAGGAGTTCGAGCCCAGCCTGGGCACTGTAGGGAGACCTCGTTTCTAAAAACATTTCTAAAAATTAGCCGGGTATGGTGGCACACACCCATAGTCCTAGGTACTCAAGAGGCCAAGGTGGGAGAATCACTTGAGCCCAGGAGTCCAAGGTTGCAGTGAGCTACGATTGTGCCACCGCACTCGTCTAGGCAACAGAAATCCTGACTCTAAAATAAAAACAAAATAGGGAAGACAACAGGAAGATCAGGCAGGTGGCAGTGTCTGTATGCTCTGGGAGGGGTGGGCAGAGGTGATGGCCTCAGTGTGCAGCACGGTGTTTGAGATTCATTCTCGGGAGTTCTTCTGCCTATGTGATGTTCCCCAGTCTCTCACACCAAGACACACACACTCTTAGAAGACAGTTACCGTGTCTTATGATTTCTGTGCCACCCCTCACCCTTCCTACCTGCCCCAACCCATCCCAGGCACATGCTCTGTACTCAGTGACTGCCGCTGAATTGGATTTAATGGAATCCAAGCTTCCTCCCTACCCAACTCTTGAGATCTGGTAATTGGGTCGCAAACATTACCCCCTGCTTGGCTGGTCTCTGGATTCCTGCTGTGCTGCCCTGGAGGAGTCTGGGAGAAGCCACCCTTCTGTTGAAGAGGGCTAGACTGCCTGGGACCCTGCTGCCAGTCCCAAAGCTGCCACATCAACCTTGGGATTGAGCCCTCTTCTAAGACTTTCCCACCTCCCCACAGGGGAGAGCATGGGCATGGGGCATCTGCAGCAATGGGAAGAATGGATGGGCTAGAGGGAGGAGTGTGGCAGTGAGAGCAAAGACCAGCCTCGTGTTTACTGGTCTCACCAAACCTCAGCTCCTTGGAGACCTTTGTTCCTAGAAGTGATGGAATCCTTACCCCACCCCCCGCCATCCCTATTCCTGCCAGGCACCCAAACAAGGTGCTGTCCCAGAGTAAACCCACAGCTCTTGAGCTTTTTCTCATTCCCACAGGGCCATCAGTAGGAAAAATTAATAGAAAAGATTCCAGTTGGATACAAAGCCAGAGGCAGCTGGGAACCAACAACTGAGCCCACATTTCCCCTACAGTGTCCTCAGCTCAAGGCATGTGAGCTGGGCTTGCCTGAGAGCTGAGGGTGGAGAGGAGCCTCCTATCATGAGAGAGCGTGTGAGAGTGTGTGCCTGTGCGCCCATGTGTGTGCACACGTGTGCCTGTGTGCCCATGTATTCATGTATGTGTGAGTGTGTGCTCCATGTGCACGTGTGTTTGTGGGGCTACATGCCCATGTATGCATCTGTGTGTATGCACGCATGTGTCCACATCTGTGTTGCCCATTACATGCCCACGTGCATGTCTGTGTGCACCCTGTGTGTATGTGCAATGAATGTGCACCTGTGGCAATGCACACCCATGGGAGGGGCAGGGGAGCTGTGGGAGCGTGGGGGACATTTTTGCAAACTCGGTGTTGTGGGCAGGCAGGTAGGAGTGGGTCTGGACATGGCTGTGGGAACAGGAGTCATGTGTTTGTGGTGGAAGGAGGATTTCTGCCCGGGTGTTTGTGAATGAGGACTGGACGACTGAGGTGGGGCAGCTGTGCTTCTGGCTGAGGCCCCGCCGTCTCATCCTTCCTGGGGTCACCTCCCAGGGCAGCCACCTTTGCCAGAAGTGCCCAGGTTTGATGCTCCAGCCTGGGCTGGCATGGCCAGCAGAAAGCACAATGTCTTGGAGGCCCAGCAGAAGGAAGACATCAGTCTCTGAACATTGAAAAGGGGCAGGTGAAAGTGTAGGGCGGGAGGAATAAGTCCCTTCGATTCCTCCAACGGTGGCTGGCAAAACAGACCCCATCTCCCTGGAAGGCTGTGCCCTAGGATGGGAGGGTTGCAAAATGGAGGCAGCTCTGTCTCTGTTCTAGTAGTGGAGACCTGGATGACACCACTCCCCAGATGTCCAAGGACTGGGGGGCCTCTGGGGGCGGCATTTGAATTAGGCCATAAACGATTAGGAGAATGTCAGAGGAAGGAAGTGGTAGGGGAAAGGGGGCATTCCAGGCGGCAGAAACAACTCGAGCAAAGGCACAGAGGCGGGAAAATGCAGGGTGTGCTCGCGAGAGCCAGAGGTCCTCTGCAAGCTGCCTCCCGCATGTTCATGGAAGAAAGCTGAGGCCCAGAGAGAGGAAGTGTTTCTAAGACCTAGCAGTAGAAATGAGGTCCTCTTACTCCAGGTCAGTGATTTTTGTCACCCTAAAAAGCTTGCAGGAGGGAACACCGGGGAATCGGCTGTTGGTTTGGTTTCCTTTGCTTTCTTATCCCCATCTAGGGCTGAATCAGGGATCCCTGTTCTTTGCCTTCCTCTGCCAGCAGCTAGCTGTGTGATTCTGAATAAGTCACTTCCCCTCTTTGGGCCCCTCATCTCCAATACAAAGGAGGTATAAGGCCCGGCCTCACCTGGGAATCCCAATTCGGACTCCATAGCAAGCTAAAATGTGGCTTAGTTATTCTCCTATCCTCAGCACCTAGCAGAATCTACAGCACAACACAGGTGCTCAAATAACTGTTTTTGAATGAAGAAAGGAAGGAAAGAATGAAAAGCATCATGACTCTTCCTTAGCACTCTACTTTGACAGCCTCAGCCTCTCCCCTCCCCAGGCAGGACAAAGGATACAGGAGTTCCAAACCTTGAAGAGGAAGGCAAGAAAAACAAATAATCTAACTACACAGGGGCCCTAAACTCTGCCTCTGGGTAGATGCCCCTGAGAGAACCTTTCCTTGCAGCCTTGGCCTTGCTGAAACTGTGCAGTGGGGAGGGCCTGGAGGAGGGGCAGGGACCTCTAGCAGAACAGGAGGCAGCTGGGCCTGAGCCACAGCTGGCCCTCCCCTTGCCCCCTCCCAACTCACAGCCTCTCTGCTCCAAGAAGTGTCCCAAGCCCTCTGGTCCCAACCCTGAGGGGTTGGGCTGGGTCTGAAACCTCCTGTTTCCCAGCCAATGATACCTTCATTTTTTCCAGTTCCAGTAACCCCTTTTTTGAGGCCTCCCTTTCATGTTAAGAACTTTATTGCTCATTTCCCTCTTCTATGACAGCAGCTGTATTTCTTTTAACTTTGTAAAACACACACATGATCTATGGTGATAGAAATCAGAATCAGTTGCCTCTGCGGTAGAGACTGACTGGAAGGGGGCACGAAGGAATTTGGAGGTGGTGAAAATGTCTGAAATCTTGATCTAGGTGATGGTTACATGGGCAGATATATTTGTCAAAATTCATCAGGCTGTACACTTAAGATCTGTGCATTTTACTGGATGTGGAATGTATGTACATTATACCTCATAAAGTACTGCTAGCATCTAAAAGATACACATACAGAAAAATACACGGAACGGACATGCTCAGTTTAATGAATTATTTAGCCAGCGCCTGTGAAACACCACCCACAATGCCTGGTGCCCCTGTGTAGTCCACAGAGCCTGGCTATAACCAAGCAGTTTCCCAGGGACACCAACACCCACAGACAGGGCACCTCGACTCCAGACACCATGTGCCTCTTGCTTCCCGGATTCATGGAAACACAGAGACCAGGGATGGGGCAGAGCCCACAGGCTTTGGAACCTAGAATTTCCCATCAGTTCAACCCCAAGCTTGACTGCAACTCCCATTCTAGTGAATTGAAGGAACAGAAAACACACCATTTCCCCTTTCTGGGAGGGGGGTTTCCGTACCCGGCCTCCTCCAGTGAGTCTTGGCTGAGGGGTGGGGGTTGTCCCTAGTTAAAGTCAAGGAGAACTGTGCCTTCCCTGCATCCCTGCTAAAAATAACCCCAGGCAGTGTTGCTGCCACTGAGCAGCAGGAAGGACAGAGTCATGTTTTGCTTTAAAACTAGAAGCAGCTCGGCAGTTGGGGGCTAGGGCGGGGTGGGAGAGCAGGCTAGGGATCTGAGAACCCTGGCTGTGCTCCGTGCACCCCCACCCCCAGCTGCAGCTGGTCTTCCGGGGGTGCCTGAGAGGGGTGTGTGTATGTTAGTGCGTGCACGCGCATGTGTGGTGACAGGGCCTCCCAGCAGCAGAGCAGGGAGCCAGGGAAGCCTGGGAATGGGTGGGGAGGGGTCTCTGTCCTGATAACTGGAGCATGCAGCTGGAGGGCCAGGCGTCACGTACTCCATGGGGTCCCTACCTCCTCTGAGAAGCGTTCTGTCCCTGCAGCCCACACCAGGCTCCCTGGGGGTCGGAGAGTCTAGCCTTCTGCAGCGTGGCTGCCTGCCCCTCGGGGGCTCCTTGCACACACAGGGCTGGGGATTGTCGCTTCGTAGTCCCTGTCTCTGTCTGGCTTCCGCTCTGCCCAAAGAGAATGTGAGGTCCTCAAGGGTGGGCGCAGTCCGGCAGCGAGGAATTTCCCTGGAAACAGGAAGTACAAGATGTGTCAATGCAGGATCCTAGCAGAGGAGTGACAGGCTGAGTAAAGGGAAGGGAAGAGGCCCTCCTGGCTGCTCACTCTTGCTCTCTCCTCCCACTACTCCCCTGCCTGTCTCATGCATCAGAGGCCTCACATTGTTGGTCTCTCTTTCTCTGTGCATGTCTTGGGTCCCCAGCTCCTTGGAGCCACGATCATCCTGCAGTTGGCCTCCATTTTCCAAGGTAACAATAAAGAAGAATCACCATTAATTTCACAGGTACCCCATTCCGGGCACTGTGCTGACCCTGATGTGGATGATCTCATTTAATCCTCCCAGCAAGCCTGTGATATTGGAATGATTACAATTACTCCTTATTTACAAATTAGGAAACTGAGGCTTAAAGTGGTAAAGTGCTAGTCTAGGATCCCACTGGTAGTACATGAAAAAGGCAAGGCTTGAAGTCATGATATGGAACACAGAGCATGTCCAAGATGACTGTCCAGAAGACAATAAGAATTTTAGGGCCGGGCACGGTGGCTCACACCTGTAATCCCAGCATTTTGGGAGGCTGAGGCGGGTGGATCACCTGAGGTCAGGAGTTTGAGACCACGCTGGCCAACATGGTGAAACCCCGTCTCTACTAAAAATACAAAAATTAGCCAGGCATGGTGGCAGGCGCCTGTAATCTCAGCTACTTGGGAGGCCGAGGCAGGAAAATTGCTTGAACTCGAGAGGTGGAGGTTGCAGTGAGCTGGGATCATGCCACTGCACTCACAGCCACAGAGCGAGACTCTGTCTCCAAAAAAAAAAAGAATTTTAGAAATTTGACCATTCTAGATAATTTAGGACACATGGTTGCTGAACTTGATTTTTTTATTTAAAAAACACACATATACACACACCCCAAAATAGTGGCTTTTTTTTTTAGATGGAGTTTCCCTCTTATTGCCCAGGCTGGAGTGCAATGGCATGCTTTCGGCTCACCACAACCTCCGCCTCCCGGGTTCAAATGATTCTCCTGCCTCAGCCTCCCGAGCAGCTGGGACCACAGCCATGCGCTACCACGCCCGGCTAATTTGTATTTTTAGTAGAGACGGGATTTCTCCATGTTGGTCAGGCTGGTCTTGAACTCCTGACCTCAGGTGATCTGCCCGCCTCGGCCTCCCAAAGTGCTGGGATTACAGGCATGAGCCACCATGCCCAGCCGACAATAGTGGCTTTACAGCCAAAATGCGTACTCCCAGTTGTGATTTTGACCAAGAAACTAACCTTCCTGACCAAGCCTCAGTTTCCATCTCTACAAAATGGGTGTAATAATCCTTGCAGAGGATTACTGGAGAGTAGTGGATTTGAACTCAGCCTTTTTTCTAAACCTGGAAAACACAAAGCTCTTTCTTGCCTTGAGGACTTTGCATGTGCTGTGCTGTTCCCTGTGCCTGAAACCCTCAGCCTCCAGATGTTAACGTGACTAGTTTATTCTTGTCATCCAGGTCTCAGCTCAAATATAACCTTCCTCATAGCAGCCTTCCCTGAGTACTCAGCAGACCCCCCATCACACTCCATCGCATCCCTATTCATTTTCTTCTTTGCACATATTGTGATCTGAAATTTTCTTACTTATTTGTTCTGTTTTTTTTTTATGGCCTGTCCCCTTCCCAACTGCCAAGGATATAAGTTTCTTGAAAGCTGGAACCTCTGTGGGGTTTAATGACCCATTCACGGTGCTCAGAGCAGCACCTGGCAAACATCAGCGCTTGCTAAACATTTATGAATGAATGAATGAATGAGCTTTGGAAATAGCATTATATTTAAGTGACTAACTCTCACAGGCCTTGCTGAGGGCTGTGAATGTGGGCTAATGGGGGATCGGAGGAGAGTGCTTTGGGCCTGGCTCTGGCCCAGGCTCAGCCCTGAAGCTCCCGGGCTGCAGGGAACCATGAGGCTGCCTGGGCTTCCGGCTGCTGCAGGATAAAGGTCAACTCTTGCTGGAACACGAGGTTCTGCACCATCTGGGCTTGCCTGCCTCTGGCCTCATCTCCCCGGGCTCTCCAACCTGCACTCCATGTCCAGCCAGACCAAACAACTCCCAGTGCCCACCAGAGAACACCGGGCTGCTTCACGCCTGTGTGCTTTTATACACACTGTTCCTTCTACCTGGAACGTCCTGCACCCTTGCTCTGCCTGGCCAATTCCTCTCTCCCTGAACCTTCTGCTCTGGCCACACCCAGTCCCCAACTTCCCAAGACATTATAATGATCCGTTTTTGTGCATTTTCCCAAGTAAACCAGGGACTCAGACTTTCCAAGTAGCCCATAGGAGGGCAGCGACCAGGTTTTGTGTCCCCAGTTTGTAGCACAATACTTGGCACACACACACAGTAGGTGCTTAATCAATGCTCAGGCATGGCCGGGCGCGATGGCTCACGCCTGTAATCCCAGCACTTTGGGAGGCCAAGGCGGGCGGATCATGAGATCAGGAGATCGAGACCATCCTGGCCAGCACAGTGAAACGCCATCTCTACTAAAAATACAAAAAATTAGCTGGGCGTGGTGGCGGGGGCCTGTAATCCCAGCTACTTGGGAGGCTGAGGCAGGAGAATTGCTTGAATCCGGGAGGCAGAGGTTGCAGTGAGCTGAGATCACACCACTGCACTCCAGCCTGGGCGACAGAGCGAGACTCCATCTCAAAAAATAAATAAATAAAATAAAATAAAAATTAAAATAAAAATAAATAAATAAATGCCCAGGCACAGGTGTAGGACTTTGGTTCCCAGGGCATTAACTCAATTCCTGGGACACACAGTAGGTGCTCTGTAAGTGCCCACTGGATTAACAAGGCTGAGCAATCTGACACTGGCAGAAGCTTGGGGCAAGGTGAGGCATAGGGCGTGGAGGTAGGAACAAATGGAAGATGCTTCCTGGGAAAAAAGATGGTGTCAGAGGGAAGAAGGCAGAAGGGATCTTGGGAAAATTCCCAGAAGACTGGAAATACAAAAAGCAAAAATAAAAAGTAAACACCGATAGATGGAGGTAAACAGGACTCTCAGTGAACAAGGAGAGAGAAATTCAGAAGGAAAGATAAACAAAGAAGAATGAACTCAGAGAAAGAAGAAGGTCAGAAAGACAAAATGTGCCCATGAGAGCCATATTGGACAGATTGCCAGAGACCAGGACAGACCAACTAAATACATTACGTCTGGGGTCCCTGCTTCATCCCCTGGGGGTAGGCAGATAAGGCTGGCACGGGCAGTGTGGTGCTGTGGTCCCTTCCTTGGGTGATAGGGCTGAGTGAAAGCCCACACATCATCAGGACATCCTGGAAAACTTTTCCTCTCTTAGCTCAGGAGAGGCCCTGTGATAGGAAACAAAGTACCCCAGACAGCAACTACAAACCTAGTTTCTTGCCCTTAGGCAAGCAACTTAGCTGCTCTTGCTTCAGTTTTCCCAGCAGGAAAGCGAGTCTGATTCTTACTTTAGAGGCATATTAAGATCATACTGAGTTAAGGCAGGTACATTAAATGTACACAGCCTGATATAAGTGCCAGGGATTGACATAATGGTGGTGCTTTCTCCCAAAGGCCTGCTGTAAACGGGTCCTAAGAGAGGCCGTGTCACTGTCACTGGGTGCTGCAGATAGACCTGACTTCAGAGCCCTGGAACCCAGGCTCAGCCCCTGGTTTTTGGATCCCAGAGCCAAATCAATACAACCAGGAAGTTTATTCCTGGGTGAAGGGTGAGGGGCAGCAGGCATGCCAGCCAGCCAAGAGACACACGGAGCCCACAGCCAGCAGGCCTGACTGTCCAACTCCACTGCTGAGACTGTCCTCTGGGGCCTTGCTAGTATCCAGATTTCAGCCTGTCGAATGGGCTAAAAACAATTTTCTAGCTGTCAGATCACACCTCAAGGCATGCAGGAGCTCCAAGGAGGCAGAGTTCTCCTTCATTTGAAGGGAGAAGGGAGTAAGACTCTGAGGCTTGAGAAATGGAGAATTTGCATTTTAGTTACATAATCTGAGCAATCTTGAAGACTATTTTGAAGTGCTGGCTTTGGCCAGGTGTGATGGTTCACACCTGTAATCCCAGCTACTTGGGACGTTTACTCAGGAGGCTGAGGTGGGAGGACTGCTTGAGCCCCAGAGGTTGAGGCAGCAGTGAGCCATGATCTCCCCACTGTACTCCAGCTTGGGCAACAGGGTGAGACCTTGTCTCAGAAAAAAAAAAAAAAAGGTGCTGGCTTTGATGTCAGACAGACCTGAGTGTGAATCTCAGCTGAGCTCTGTTATTTTTCTGAGCCTCAGTTTCCTTAACTGTCAAAGACGGCTAACAATAGCACCCACACCCCAGAATTGTTGTGAGGAGTAAATGGGATCCTGTAAATAAAGACCTGAACCTCAACCTTGGGTCTAGTAGTGAGTCTCCTGTGCCACAGTCTTTGGGTTCCAAACGCTGTTGGGGGTTGGTGTGCAGAGATAGTTCTCCATATAAGCAATCAAGATTAGCCATCAATGTGAATAATAATATCCCATGCTCCTGGGGGAGAAAGGCCAGATCATAAACGTATTGATCTCTCAATATCTAAGCCACTTTGAGGAGATTAAACTGGTCACAACTCAGAAAATCATTGAGAAATCATCAAGTGTCAAATTCCATTAGGAATGTGTGACTCCTGGGGGTGAGAGGATGGGTAGATCCCCCTCCCTGCCGCGAGGCCCCCACCTCTGCCTCTGTTCTCTGTGACTGACAAGGAAGGATCTGTGATTACCAGGTCTGCCGAGCTCTTGGAGGCAACTTACATAGTGCTGTCACTTGTCTAGCTGGGCTCAGGAATATTGCTAAAAGGCTTGGGAAACAAGGCTGGCAAGGGGAGAGGGATCAGCCTCAAGGGTCCAGAGAAACTCCAGACCTGGTGTGGAGACTCCACAGCTTTAGAGGCAGTTTCAAGGCTGGGTGATGGGAGAGAGAAAGGACTGGGGGCTTCACCCTTCTGGAGTCTAACTTCTCCAGGGTCTCTCTGCACCCCACCTTCCCACCCCCAGCAAGAGTTTAGAACCTAAAGACGGGGAGTGGGAAGCAGGAGACTCATTTCTTGATCCATGGGGAGTTGGGGAGCCCAAGTGGAAGATGGGGAGATGAGAGCAGGGGTAACTGACAGCAGGATGCCACAGCTAAAGAAGGAAGTATAAATATAAAGCGGCCAGTGTAGGACTGGACAGAGGCCATATGAAACACACGGTACATTCCGGTCCCAGCGTAACAAACTGTACCAGCCTTTTTGAGAGCTGTGAGCACTAAAATGGGGAGGGAAGAGAGCAGAGGTTCCTTCGAGGTTGGCCCTGCCTCCTCCTCCCCCACTTCTCCCACAGCTCGGGGCACCGCAGGGAAAGTCCTGATGTTCCTTTTGCAACCACAGGAAACCTACCATCCCTGCTCACACTCTGTACCCTGTTCCTCTCAGCAGCTCCAGACTGGGAGGGAGCAATGAGTGTGTATGCATGGGGGTGTTTGGGGGAATGTAGGGTGCAGACAGCCCCAGCAGCCCAGGTGACACCCGGAAAGGCGGCAAGCATCACTTGGATACTGACTGGAAGTCACAGCCTGTAAGGGCTGCAAGAGAGGTACAGATGACGGTGAGGAAGTGCCTTGTCCAAGGTCACACAGGCAGTTGTTCACCAGGGTGGGACCAGAGTGCATCCAGAACTAGGCAGTGCTGGGCAGCTCTCTTGGGTGTAGTACGTAGGAGTGGCAGGCCAGAGAACAGGCAGTGCCCAGGGACTGAGGGTGGGGAGCCCAGATCCAAGGCTGCCTCTATGCTCTGGTTGGCTTTGGGAAGGCAGGCCTGGCTTGGGCACTGTGCCCTCCAAGCCTCCCAATCCTATCCCCCCAACCTTAAATATTAGAGATAATGCATGTGAAGTGCCTAGCGTGGAGGTTGTTTTGTGGTGATGTCAAGCAGAATGAGTCACGTCCACCCCTCCCATCTCCTCCTCCTCCACACACACACACACACACACACACACACACACACACACACACACAGCTCAAGGCCTAGAACCTCCTGGGATCTTTCTCCCATATCTTTCTCCCTAGAACCACCTTCTTTCTTCTGAGTCCCTATAGCTATTACACACATTTGGTACTCACCACCTGCTGGCTTGGGTTATTATTTAACCTAACATCCAGCGTGTTTGTCTCTTCAATTGCCCAAGGGGAGGATATCATTTCAATACACCCAATATTTATTGAACATGAACTCCGGTGCCAAGCCTGGCCTGTGGGGGATGAGTTGGAATGGTGGTGGGAGGCGGGGGCAGTGGAGGAGAGGGCTCAAAGAAGAAGCAGACTTTGTTTCTGCCTCAAGGACTTTCTAATCTGGTTAGAAGAACAGGATTAGTAAACAGATCGCTAGAATATGAGACAGGCCACACGCTGTGCCGTGAGAAAGGTACAAACTGAGTGTGCTGGGCGTTCAGAGGAGACAGGAATCAGATTTGGCTGGCACTGTTTCAAGGAAGCTTTATGAGCTGGAGCAGCAGAGATGGGTAGACAGGGAGGACAGGCACTCCTGGCATGAGAAATGGCACAGCAAACTGTGGAGGTGGGAAGGAGGGAGAACAAAGGACTTCAGGACTGTGTCTTAACCTCATGGTGACATTCTTTAGCAGGACCCAATACAGAGCCTTCCACACGGTAAACGTGCGATATAAATGCTTTGTTCCCTCCTTGGTTTGGAGAGGGTGGGATCTTTAGGACCAGCACTTAGTGATGTCTTTCCACAGAAGGATGGGTAAGGAGAAAACGTGGCTCTGAATAAACCAGGGGTTTGGAGCTAAACACAGGGAAGGGTCAGATTCCAGGGGCAGTTTGGGGTCGTCTTCCTTGGCCTTGCCCTTCTTTCACCCTGTCGTCCACACCCACTCGCCAGTGTCTGGGCTCTCCCTACTCCCGGCGTCGTGCCAGGGATTTCCCAAACCGTCCAAAAGGGCTGGGCTTGGTTTGCCAGCCCCGGGAATCCCTGGAGTCTCCGTGTTCCAGGCTTCTGTGAAGGATCAGGGAAGGGGGGCTAGGAAAGGGGAGGCTCCTCCTGGGGATTGCTTGAATTGGCCCCCTCAACACGGGCTTCCGTTGTCACGTGACTGCGTCCCAGGTCTCGCAAGTCTGGGGCTGGCGAGCTCCAGCTATCCTCCTCCCGCCCCCCGGACTGAGCGCTGGAGAAGCACGGACTGAGCGCTGGAGAGCGCTGGCGGCAGCCTGGGTGGCTCCTTCTGCTCGTAGAGCTCCCCACACCTGCTCCCTCCCCCAGCTGTGCTAATCCAGGCGCCACCCAAGCCTGGGGTACCCAAGCAGGGGCAAATGGGGGATGGCTAGGTCTGGGTGCTCCAAGGCCGGTGAGTGGGCAGGGCTGCGGGGCCCACGCGCGCCCCGGAGGTTGCTCGCCAACCCCTGCCCCAGCGTGCAATCGCATGGTTGCGGCGGCCGGGAGGCTGCGCGCCGAGCGCAAGCCGCGAGCACAAACAGGGCGAGGAGGCTGGTGTGAGCGCCTGGGCCCGCTGCCAGCGCGCCGGGGCTGGAACACAATGTCCCGAGCGGGCGGGCGGGCGGGCGAGCGCGAGCGAGAACAGCCTGACTCAGCAGCTGGGTAAGTGGGTGTGCTCGCTCACCAGATCAACCGCTCTTGCAGCCTGCGGTCAGCGACGACCCGGCACTCGGCAGCTCCCTGGAACGGGAGGGGCAAGCATACGGCCCGCTCCTCTGCTCGCGCCCCAGCCTGCCGCGCGAGACCTCCACGTGGCCGGTTTGCGCATCCCTCTGCCTTCTCGCCCCTCTATTAAAGCGTCTCCCAGCCCCCAGCCTGAGCGCAGCAGGCTCTGCCCACCTGGGAGAAGCACTCTCCTCACCCCACCCGACAGGTGTGGCCAGGCACACAGCTGCTGTGTACATGTCCTGTTTTCCCCAAATCTCACCCCTCTGGGACGCCTCGGAAGGTCTTGGCATGGGGGATGTAACTCTTAGTTGCAAACAGAGGTAGGAGTTTGTTCTGGGGTAGTGGTGGAGTAGGGAGCCGAGGAAGGGGATCCTAGGAGAAAAGAGGGACATAGGGCAAGAGGATCTCCCCTATCTCTGTCCTCAGCTGACCCAGAGTTCAGAGTCTCTTCCTGCCCCCTCCCCTCAAAACCACTAGGCCCCTGAAGATTTCCTCCTCGGAGGGAGGGAGAGGCAGGTGGTGTGGTGTTTTGAAGCCCGAGACCCTGCTTTTCTGCCCCCACCCCCAAACCACAATAAAGACCCAATAAAGATCCTGCCACCTAGCCACAAAGCTCCTCCTTCCCCCTCTATGCAGGGGAAATGGGGTCCCATTTGGGGTCCCCACTGGGGACTTATGCTGTCCCTATGCTGTCTCCTGGCGTCTTGTGGGGCCATTGTGAGGATGACAGCAGCCCAGAGCAGGGTTATTCCTGGGGGTGGGGACCTGTCTCACGTCCCAGCTTCCTGGGGTGCCTGCGCAGTGCCCTGAGGGATGCTTTGTGCCTGGAGAGTGCCAGGACAGGCGGGGAGGAGTGGTTCCGGGAAAGGCCCTGGCAGGCAGCATAGGCCTGGGCTCCAGGGCCTTTGAGAGTGGGCCTAGGGGAGGGACCTCAGGCTGCTGAAGTGCCTCACCTGGGCCTCCTGCCATCTGGTGGCATCTCTGGCACCCTCTGTGGCTAAAGATGCCAACACAGGCCTGGGCCGTGGACCCCCTTCCCATACACACATCACGCTTCCCACACAGGCTCTTACCCAGCCAATGCACACTGCATCTCCCAGTCGAGAGGCACCTTCACTGCCATCTACTCCCACCTTCTTCCTGATGCTTGAAATCTGTCCGTGATCCCAGGTCAGTGATTGCTCGAGGCTGTGACAGGGACACTCTCAGACAGCAGCCCACTGCTCTTCTGGACTTCCCTATCTCCAAGTCCAGTCACCTACAGGACACCTGCCCTTACATGGCCTAGAAGTGACTGAACTCATATTCATGCCCCTCATACCAGCTCCTCCCCATTGCCCACCATGACCCTCCCAGTCCTAAAACTCACTGCAAAGGTAGATTAATTTTTAACTGCTTTCTCTCCTTCACCATCCTTATGTCTGATCTCTTATCAAATTCTTCCCTTTGTTGCTTTTATTTCAAAAGATATTGTTTGTTCATTACTTTTCTCCTTCACCCTTTCCCCTCCAGCCCCATAGAGTCCACCTTTGGCCCAAATTCTCACAGCATCTGCCACACTGTCCTTTCTTTTTCCTTCCTCCTACACACCCTGCTGGAATAATCTTTCTCAAACATCATTTATTGTGTATGTTATCAACTTCAGACTCCTCAACCAAGCACAGTGAGTACACTAGCTAACCTGTGTACTCTCTGTGATGGGACCTGAGTTCATTCATGGCATGTCCAGGCCACGGGGTTTAGTGCAGTGCCTCCTGCACAGCAGTAGGGCAGCAAATGTTCCTCGTGACCCATTCATTTGGTGGTGTTCCCTTTCCATCCTTCCTATTCTCTCTCCTGCCTTGGTCTCCCCAGTCCCATCAAGCCTATTGGCTTACTGGTGCTCACTGGGGCCCTTTTGTTTGAAGTGCCACTATTTTTCATTTCCCCAAAATCTTTGGTGGGGGGCGGGGGGTGGTGGCTGGTGGGGAAGGGAGAGGCTGACATCCAAGTTAATATCAGGGAGGTTGTGGCAAATACCAACTGCAAAACCTTGGGTGCAGAGTAGAATGAGGGCAGATGCCTGCTAGGAGGGCAGATGCCTGCTCAGTAAGAGAACAAAACCACAGAGGAGGGCAGAAGGTGGAAAGGAGAGTGGCGTAACTAGTGGCTTCCCTCTGAGCCTGTGAGCTGCCTTTAATCTTTTCCTTTTTTTTTTTTTATTTTTTGAGATGGAGTCTTGCTCTGTTGCCCAGGCTGGAGTGCAGTGGGGCAGTCTCGGCTCACTGCAACCTCTGCCTCCCCGGTTCAAGCAGTTCTCCTGTCTCAGCTCCCCGAGTAGCTGGGACTACAGTTGAACGCCACCATGCCCGGCTAATTTTTGCATTTTAGTAGAGACAGGGTTTCACCATATTGGTCAGGCTGGTCTTGAACTCCTGACCTCAGGTGATCCACCCGCCTCAGCCTCCCAAAGTGCTGGGATTACAGGTGTGAGCCACCGCGCCCTGCCTAATCTTTTCTATATTTTATTGCTTAGTTATGTCCTGCAGTATTTTAAACCCTTTCTCCCATGGGCTGTAGGCTCCTTAATGGCAGGGACAGTGTCTTTTATTTATTTGATACCATTTACTTATTTTGAGAAGTGGGCATGAAATACTTTGGAGGGCACATAAAACTTGGGTCTGGATCCTGGTTCCAACACTTAGCTGTTTGGCCCTGGGTAAGTCTCTTAACCTCTCTGAGCCAGTTTCTTCGTCTGTAAAAGTCGCTAGTGACACTTGTTTTGCAGAATGAGGGGCAAAAATTACAGAGAATACAAAGCACCAGGAAAGTGTCTGTTGTACCCAATAGTTTATATTCCTTCCCCGTATGGTTAGAGCCTTTCCTAAATTGGGAGGAAGGTGTTCCTTAACTACTGCCCATACTGGGACACTTTAAACTTGAAAAGGGGCACTGTTAATAATTACGTCCGTTCCAGGGACGCAGAGCCACCCTACCCTAGTTCACAACAACTGGCAGGGTTCGGATAGCACGCAATATCCCAGTGCCTAAGCACAGCCCCAAGCATAACGCTCAATAAATGCCTGTTGAATCAACGAGCGAACAGAAGCTGACCCTCACTCCGTTTTTTGGACATCATTGAGTGAAGCAAATTGAAAAGCCCGCCCCCGCTGCGCCCCCACCCCCACCCCGTCCCAGAGCCACCAGCAGCCTCAATTCCCCGAGGTCTGCCCTTCTCTAGCCCACCGTCCCGCCCCCAGTTGCCTTGACATCAGTGACGTCGCGAGGGGCGTGGCCTCTCTCCATCGTCTCCTGGTGCCCTGGGCCCCTCCGCATCCGAACCTGGGGGGAGGATGAGGTTGGTGGCCTTTGACCGTACTCGCCTCCCGCCGGGCCAGCATCTAACTAAGCCCGCCTGGCCGCCCTTCTCGGGCGCGCAGTTGTCTCGAGTGTGGGTACCCACCTCCACCCCCACCCTCACCCGGGTGAACTAGCGGGGGTTCTAGAGAGTGCCGGCTCCCAGTGAGCCCTCTCCAACAGCTGCGGGCCACGAGATCCTGAGAACCTGGGCCCAGCGCTCAGCCCAGGCCCGCCCCTTCCCGGGCAGCCCCGTCGCTCCGCGTCCTAGGGGGCGGGCGGGAAGGATGGGACCCCCGCCTAGGAGGCGCGCAGGCGCCGCCGAGCGCGGGAGAGAAAGAGTTAAACTAGGTGCCGGCGCCGGGCGCGGCGGGAGTGGGGGAGGGGAGCGAAGAGAAAGTGAGAGCGGGGGCGGAGCGGGGACGGGAGCGAAAGAACATCCTGTGCCCGTCGCCGGATGCGCGCGGGGGGAGGAGGTAGTCCGGGGAGGGAGAGCAAGACCGGGGGAGGCCCGGGACGGGGAAAGGCGCGGCCTCCTTCCCCCCGCCGCAACCTCCTCCTCTGGGGGCGCTGGCCCCCTCTGCTCCCCGCGCCTTAGGCTGAGCTACCCGGAGGCCCCAGGATCTGGTTCCTGGGCAGGAGTAAGCGCTAGCTGGGGAGATGATCTCGGAGAGTGTGGGATCCACGTTAAGGCAGGGGCGGCCCCCAGCCTTTCATCTCTTGGCTTTCTGCAAGGGAAGCTCGCACGTGTTGAGCGTCCCCTGTGCACCGAAAGTACACACATTATCTCAGTCCTGACAGCGGCACTTCCAGGCAGTAGACAGGAATTCATAGACTCGCATTCTAGAGGAGGAAACAGACTCAGATTATGGAATTTGTCCAAACCCCACACTGTTGGGATGTGAATGCAAGCCTGTCGGACTGCAAAGGGCTTTTCACTGGAGTTTAGGGTAGGGTAATTTCCCCTTAGCTTCTATGCGCACAAGTGCTGGGCCGCTGCAGCGTCACCCTCGGGAATGGCGGTGTCTTTTCGTAGAGGACCCCCAACAGTATCTGTCTGGAGCTTCTGTCATTAACTAGGCTTAAACAACCATTGCCAGGATACTGGTAAAGAGAATGAGGAAGGGGCCTTAGGATTCCACAGGTAGTTGGATGGTTCTTAGGAACACAGTTTAGGGGAATGTGTTGCAGGGCTCCTGTTCCTCATTTAGGTATTTGTGGGGGCTTCAAAGATGGCTCCAGAGTCACTCAAAGCAGTTACATGGATTACAGGAGTTGGGATTGATTGACTTTAAGAAGACCAGGGAGGCCTGGTGTGGTGGCGTAAGCCTGTAATCCCAGCACTTTGAGAGGCCGAGGCAGGCGGATCACCTGAGTGTAGGAGTTCGAGACCAGCCTGGCCGAAATCGTGAAATCCAGCCTACTGAAAATACAAAAATTAGCCGGGCGTGGTGGTGCGTGCCTGTAGTTCCAGCAACTTGGTAAACTGAGGCACAAGACTTGCTTGAACCTGGGAGGCGGAGGTTGCAGTGAGCCGAGATGGCGCCACTGCACTCCAGCCCGGGTGACAGAGCCAGACTCCGTCTCAAAAAAGAGAGAGAGAGAAAAAATAAAAAAGACGACCAGCGTGAGAGGTAGTGGGTAAGTGGAAGGAAGGGCTGACTCATGTGCTTTTCAGGCTGGGATGCTTCGAGGGCTACCATCTGTGTTCTCACTGCCTGCCCACGCCCCACATGTTGTCCAGGTGAAACCTGCGGAGATAATTAGGATTATAGTAAACATTTGTTGAGCTCTGTGTGTTGGGCACTGTTCCAAGTGCTTTACTTAATCCTCACAAACAATCCCATGAAGTAAGTCTTATTGTTTCTATTTTACAGGTGGGGAAAATGAGGCACAAGGAGATCACAAAGCTAAGTCCATGACTAAACTGGTTTGTTTGTTTTGAGATGGAGTCTTGCTCTGTCACCAGGCTGGAGTGCAGTCGTGCCATCTCGGTTCACTGCAACCTCCGCCTCCCGGGTTCAAGCAATTTTGCCTCAGCCTCCTGAGTAGCTGGGATTACAGATGCACACCACCACGTCCAGCTAATTTTTGTATTTTTTAGTAGAGACGGGGTTTCCCCATGTTGGCCAGGCTGGCCACTCTGACCTTGTGATCTGCCCGTCTGGGCCTCCCAAAGTACTGGGTTTACAGGCGTGAGCCACCGCGCCCAGCCCTGAACTGGTTTTGAACCCTGCCTAGAACCCATACTTACTTACTAAACTCAAATGTACTTAACACGATGAGAACATCGGCCTTGAAGGTAAAAATGCTGGCATAGATGGCAAAGAGGTGTGTGCTTGGGCAGCTCATGTCCTTTTCCTGGGTAAGGCAGGTAGTAACTCACAGCTGGCTGTGTGTATTTTGGCTCTCAGACTTCTTTTTAACCAGTGGTTCCAGATTTCTGGATTTGACAGAAAAACAAAGCCAGAAAACAAGTGAAAGCCAGGTTCCCATAAAGAGTTGCAGCTTTAAATTTACGCTCCCTAAGGGCATGGAGAACATACCTACGATCTATTATCACCATCATTAAAGAAAATACTTCTGTTTCTTTGAGACAGGGTCTGGCTCTGTCACCCAGGCTGGAGTGCAGTGGCATGATCTCGGCTCACTGCAACCTCTGCCTCCCAGGTTCAGGCAATCCTACCGCCTCAGCCTCCAGAATAGCTGGGACTACAGGCACGCACCACCATGCTGAGCTAATTTTTGTATTTTTTGTTGGGGGTTGGCGGGGTTTGCTTCAGCCCAGGCCAGGCTCGAACTCCTGGGCTCAAGCAATCCACTCGCCTCAGCCTCCCAAAGTGCTGAGACTGCAAGTGTGAGCTACCACGCCTGACCTAAGAAAATACATTTTAATTCTCAAAATAGGAGTGACATCATCTGAATCTGTTAGTTCCAGCCAGGCGCGGTGGCTCGTGCCTATAATTCCAGCCCTTTGGGAGGCCGAGGCAGGCGGATCATGAGCTCAGGTGTTCGAGACCAGACTGGGCAACATGGCAAAACCCTGTCTCTACCAAAAATACAAAAAATTAGCCTGGTGTGGTGGCGCATGCCTGTAGTCCCAGCTACTTGGGAGGCTGAGGCGAGAGGATTGCTTGAGTCTGGGAGGCAGAGATTGCAGTGAGCCAACATCGCACCACTGCGCTCCAACCTGGGTGACAGAGTGAGAACCTGTCTCAAAAAAAAGAAAAAAAAAAAAGAAAGAAAACAATTATTCCCAAGAAAAGATGGTCAATGGACTTTATGCCAACAAATAGACATTCCTTTGTCTTTAATTTTTTTGTTGTACTGTGGACTAGTAAAAATGTCACTCTAGGAATGACTCTGCCTCTAATCTCTCTGAATCATTTGAAGGCAGAACCAGAAGAAATGGGCCTTAGGTGTGGCAGGAGGGAGTTAGGTTGCAGCCAAGAAAGAACACTTTTTGGAGGTCTTTAAAGAACAGGTGAGCCTTACCTGTGCTTAGGAAGTGAGGGTTGCAGAATCGGCTCCATGGGATGGAGGGGCCAGTAACTCTGGGTCCCACCCTGGAGAAGGGCAGAGCAAGGACCTTGTCTTGAGGGATTTATTCTCAGATCCACCAAAGTAGCCTGGGAACCTAAATGACAGTTCCCATCAGGCAGCCGTTTTCTGCTCGGAGTTCAGTGGAGATGCGATGGGGTTGCATGGCAGTGGGGAGGCTTCCATGGGCTTCTACTCACCCCTCACCACAGGGAGTTCATGTAGTCACCCACCTTGGGGCTAAATAGAGTGCCAGGAATGATGACCCTTGAGGAGGGCTGAGGACAGGAATAGAATGGCCACCCAGGAGTGTTGCTTGTTCCCTGCCTGCTGCCTAGGGTGTACTGGGCCAAGGCTCTGAGTGGGCAGGCCTGGCTGGCCGCAGCATCATTGGAGATGCTGTTTCCCTACCTCCTTCCATCCTGGGTGCAGCCCAGGACCCAGAGCCTTCTGTCCCAGTTCTCCCAAAAAGGGATCAGGGCCAGGTAGGTGAACACCTGTTCTGGTGCAGCATGCTCAGCACTGGCTGTGGGCGTGGCCCTAGTTTGGAGCTGGCCACTTGCCTGTTCTGCAACAGAGAGTGGGGACAGAAGTTGCGGGGAGACCCTGGTGGGGAAGAGGGAAGGGTCTGGTCTCACCTGCCCCATCCTAGTGGTGGGGATCAAGACCTCCACAGGTGGGCTCACATCCTCTGGGGTGGTGGCATCTTCTGACTCCAGAGGACCTCACAAGCCGCCTCATATCCCTGGGGAGGCTGAGAGGTGATACTTCCAAATTTAGCTGAAAGGCACAGACTTACCCACATTTTAATCCTGGAGTTTTAGAATGGTAAATCCGAATCCCTTTAGGTTACAAATGCAGAAACAGACTAAGGCAAAGGCGATCCCTTTCTCCTCCAAGGTCACTCTGGTTAGAAGGGTCTGGAGCCCCAGTTACTAGATGCTGTCATTGTTCTGCCGCCAAGTCCTTAAAGAATGGCAGAACATGACTTAAACCACCTGCTAAGTACAAGATTCTATGCTGGAGATGCAAAGGTAGCTGTCCTCAAGAGCACTTTGTCAAACAGGTAAACTTCAGGGCAACATGCAGATGCTGGAAAAGGGTGGATTTGCCTCAAGAGTCTGTGCATGCTTTCTAAGATACTCCCCTCCTTTTCATCCTCTGATGCGGGGAGGGAACCCTACCTGAAGAAACACCCCAAGGCCCAGGGGTAGATCTAGGGTGGAGAGATCACATATGGGAGGGCCCGGAAAGAAAAGGAACAGGGTTGTCAATGGGCATACCCCAAACACCTCACCCAGAAATGCCCTAAGGCCCCAGCCCGGAAATGGACCTCTGCTGCCCTCTAATGGTGGAAAGGCAGCCTCTGGAGCTACCTGCTGGGGTCCCCCCTTAAAGAAGAGGAGATGTGAAGGACACTTCTGCCCTCTCCCCTTTTATTCCCCTTCTGTCTTATGCTTCATCTCCTGTGGTCTCTAAAGCAGAACCTTCTCTTTTTTTTTTTGAAATGGAGTCTTGCTCTGTCGCTTAGGTTGGAGTACAGTGGCGTGTCAGCTCACTGCAACCTCAACCTCCCAGGCTTAAGCGATTCTCCTGCCTCAGTCCCCTGAGTAGCTGGGATTACATGTGTGCGCCACAATGCCTGGCTAATTTTTTTGTATTTTTAATAGAGACAAGGTTTCACCATATTGGCCAGGCTGGTCTCGAACTGCTGACCTCAAGTGATCTGCCTGCCTTGGCCTCCCAAAGTGCTGGGATTACAAGTGTGGGCCATGGTGCCTGGCCCCATCTGTTCTCGAGCACTCCTGGCTGCCCCATTTCCTGACCACTGCCCTCCATCCCATTATCTCCCCAGTTTCCTTTGTTGCCTAGGTTCCAATTCTGGTACCCTGGTTCCTGACCCTGCCAGAGTTCTGGTTCCGGAAGGCCCCCCACAGGTGCCTTGGGCCTAGCTCTCACCTGGGCCCAGGGCAACACTGAAGACATGGGCAAGAGCATCCCCCAATACCTGGGGCAACTGGACATCCGCAAAAGCGTAGTCAGCCTGGCCACAGGCGCCGGGGCGATCTACCTGCTCTACAAGGCCATCAAGGCTGGCATAAAATGCAAACCACCCCTCTGTAGCAACTCACCCATCTGCATCGCCCGTGAGTGTCCGGGCCCTGGGGAGAGGGCTCTGCCCCAGGAGGCACCTGCTCCCGAGGCCTCTGCTGTGGGAGGGCCCAAAGGTGATGCCTCCAAGTTCCTCTTTCCTTTGTCTTTCTCTTGTCCATCTTCCTCAAGCCCACCCTGCAGCGTCCTAGGCAAGGCCCTGCCAGAGATGCTAGCTCAGGGTCCCTGGATCTCACTCAAGTGGATCCTCAGACTCATCTGGCAGGTCTCCAAATACTACATTTCCTCTGGCTCCCAGGATTCCACTTCTTGGAAACTTGGTGTCGGCAGCTCCCCCCATCCCTTTTCTGCCCTAGGAACGTGAGGCTTTAAGGAAAGGGAAGATTGGAGGACTTACTATATGCCCAGAGCTTCCACTAGTCCACATGTTCTTTTGTGCAGAGTAGGAAAATGAGCCCCTTCTGCAAGACTCTTTATTGCCATCTGCTGGAATATCATTGCCACATACTGGTTATGATGAAATACTACTTGTTACCGCCATATGCCAGACAGTTGTTAGAGTAAATGGACAAATCTATGATGGTACGTTATGGACAATACAACATTAGATAGGGTGCCCTTGTGCAGTAAACATTCGTTCAACTGTACATGGTGGTCCTGCATATGGCGAGAAGGCTTCTCCGAAAAGGCAAGGCAGCCTTGTCCCCAAGTCCCTGTCCCCTACTTCCCAACCCCATTCTTTCATCACTTCTGAGTCCACAGCCTGAACTGGGCTGGGGTGGCTGTCTAGGCCTGGCAGTCGAGCGAGAGCGGCACGGGCGGGACTCAGGTGAGCTCCGGAGGCTCCTCAACTCTTTGGAGTGCAAACAGGATGAGTATGCCAAGAGCATGATCCTGCACAGTATCACTCGCTGTGTGTACTTGCTGGAGGCTGAGGTAAGGGAAGCAGGAGGTCCCCCCTAGCCGGCCTGGCCCCTGGGGGTTACGGCCGATCCCTGCCCCTGGAATGGCCAGACTATATCCTGGGACCTCTCTCTGGCTGATAGCGGTGGGGGGGGGGTGTGCGGAGGGATCTTGGTGACATGGGGGGCAGTGGGCCCAGAACACCCGCTTCTCCTGCCTCTTCCATCTCTCCCCAATACTCCAGGCCTCTGCTTGTACTACGGATGACATCGTGTTGCTGGGCTACATGCTGGATGACAAGGACAACAGTGTCAAAACCCAAGCTCTGAATACACTTAAAGCTTTCTCTGGCATCAGAAAATTCAGGCTCAAAATCCAGGTGAGCCCAGGGATGCGTGGTGGGGCATGCAGGATGTCTATAGTCCTTAAGTCCTTTAATTGCCATAGGATAAATGGTCATGTTCCAGAAGTTTGTTTGGGTGTGAATTTGTAACCCAGAAATAAGTGGGAAAACGGTGGTCAGATTCCCAGCAGGGTCATGAAGGCCTTTGAATTTCAGGATGAAACTGAATTGAGGCACTAGTGGTATCTCTCAACCCCAAAGAGAAGGACCCCCACTACCCCACAAGCTCCCTACCACTGCCACGTTTTTTCTGACACCAATTCCCAACACTGGCTGGGTGTTCAACAATTCAATTCAGTTCAGACACTATCCATAGTTAGGGCAGACTTCACAGGTTAAGGGCTGAGTCCCCCAAGACTTCCCCCCGACTTCAGGTACCAATCATAGGTCTGACTTCTGACTGGCCCGCTATGAATTCGGGGGTTCCCACAACTCCCTTTTTAGATCTACTAATTTGCTAGAATGGCTCCCAGAACTCAGGAAAGGACTTTACTTACTATTACTGGTTTTTTATATAAAGGACACAACTCAGGAACAGCTAAACGGAGGAGACACATAGGGCAGGGTGTCAGGGCGCGGAGCTTCCAGGCCTGTTCCTGGACCAAACTGAGGGCTGGGCTGCTATTGCTCCTGGCCCAATAACGAGATGCAGATGAACTGGGGAGGAAGAGAGTTTTTATTTCTGTAACCGGTTACAGGGAGAAGGCCAGGAAATTATCGCTGGACCAACTCAAAATTACAAAGTTTTTCAGAACTTATATACCTTCTAAGCTATATGTCTATGTGTAAATGTGCATTCATCTAAAGACGTGATTAACTTCTTTTAATTTATAACTAAGGTCTGAGTCCTGAAGACCTTCCACTGGAGCCTCAGTAAATTTACTTAATCTAAATGGGTCCAGGTGCTGGGGTGATTACCCTTATTTTGTCTCTTGCTAAATCAAGGAGTTTTGAGGAATTCCTTCAGATCCCAATAAACTTGTTTGTGGAGACCTGTGGCGTTTCTTCAGATCCACAGTAAAACTTGTTTAATCCTAAATGGGTCCCATTAAGAATTCCTTCGTAATTTTGTCATGCTTTAAGGCCCAGGAAAGGCCTAGGCAAAACTCCTGGTGGGCTTTTGTTACATTCCAGCCTTTGTATAAGGGCACTGGCTTTTAACATTTAACTTAACCACGCAGTCAGTACTGAAACAGTTGTTATGGAGGCCTGCCACAAGCTCACTTCAGGAGTGCCCTGCTGTTCCCAGCACCTCCACACGTTCAGCAACCAGGAAGCTCTTTGAACCCCATTGGTCAGAGGTTTTTATTATGTAGTCTTGATGAATTAAATCATGTCCAGCTGCTCACCCCTCCCCAGAAGTTGGGAGCAAAACTGAAAATCCCAACCTTCTAATCATGCTTTGGTCTTTCTGGCAACCAGAAGCTATCCAAGGACCCTGCCTGGAGTCACTTCATTAGCATAAGCTCTGTTGTGACCAAAAAGGGTTGGTTTGCAGTAACAAAGGACACTGCTGTCACTCAGGAAATTCCAAAGGTTTCAGGAGCTCTGTTCCTGGAACTAGGGACAAAGATCAGATGTATTTTTTATACTCTATCCCCTGGGCCTGTGTTAATCAGAGGTTGGTGTCATGGCCACGGATAACTTCTCCATTACTCCATAGACAAAATGTAAAACACCACATGTCACTTCCCCCTTTCCCTGCTATCATACCCCCAAACTTACAGTATCCACACCCATCCTCCCTGCTTTCCTGCTGCTGCCATGAAAAAAATGGCTTTCTCCTGGTCTGTGGCCAGTGATAGTCTCAATCCTGCCTCCCACCCCTTCCTTAAGGGCCTCTCTGATTGCTTACGCTCCGCTCCCCCATCAGCATGCAGTAGGCTCCAACCCCTCCCATCTTACAAAGCAAAACCAAAAAAGCCTCTCCCTTGACCTCCACATCTCTTCCTGGCAAATAGTCTATCTCTCCCAAATTAAAAACAAATAAAATATGTAAAACTTGCAAATATTGTATATGTGTAAGTTAGAAGGAATAACAATAAAACAGAACATGCCCAGGCCAAGAAATAGAGCACAGCCCCCTCCCACATCTTGGCTGCCTCCCCCACCAGAGGCAGTCATTACCCTGCATTTTGTTTAGCAGTTCCAAATTTTCTTTGTAGTTTTACCATATATGTATGTATCCTTGCATATTCTAGCAGGGCATAGCAGATAATAAAGAGGTAAAATATAGTCTGGTATGTTTTTAAGCTTCATGTACATGGAAGTAGATGGTTTCTATTCTGTGGTTGGCCTTTTCTCCCTGCTACGTGGAGAGATTCATCCTTATTGGGCAGCTCTGCTTCCTTCTGGTTTTTTTTTTTTTTTTTTTTGAGACAGGGTCTCGTTCTGTCGCCCAGGCTGGAGTGCAGTGGCGTGATCTTGGCTCACTGCAGCCTTGACTTCTCAGGCTCAAGCAGTCCTCCCACCTCAGCTCCCCTAGTAGCTGGGAGTACGGGTGTGCTCAGTGAGTACGGGAGTACTATGTTTCTCAGGCTGGCCTTGAACTCCTGGGCTCAAGCAATTCTCCCCCCTGGGTCTCTTTCACCGCTCTGTGGTGGTCTCTTTCGTGAATACTCTGCCACTTGCCCGTTGTTAGGCATTTGCATTGTTTCCAGGTGCTTGTCACACTCACATTGTGCTGTGAACATTCCTGTGTTCGTCTCCCTTGTGTG
This sequence comes from Homo sapiens, assembly GCF_000001405.40. NCBI lineage: Eukaryota > Metazoa > Chordata > Mammalia > Primates > Hominidae > Homo > Homo sapiens. The sequence goes on from NC_000006.12 coordinate 35,741,260, forward strand.
CCTGAGAGAGGATTCTAGGGTGTGTATGCAGGAGTGGAATGGTTTGGTCAAAGGGTATGCCCAACTTTTCCAGGAGGGAGGTATCCATTTTCACCCCACCAGCCCTGCACGAGTGTTCTATTGTGTCATAACCTAACGTTTGATAATTTCACATTTTAATTTTTTTTTTTTTTGAGACAGAGTCTTGCTCTGTTGCCCAGGCTGGAGTGCAGTGGCACGATCTCGGCTCACTACAACCTCTGCCTCCCAGGTTCAAGCAATTCTTGTGCCTCAGCTTCCAGAGTAGCTGGAATCACAGGCGTGCGCGCACCACCATGCCTGGCTAATTTTTTTGTATTTTAGTAAAGACAGGGTTTCACCATGTTGGCCAGGCTGGTCTCAAACTCCTGGCCTCAAGTGATCTGCCTGCCTCGGCCTCCCAAACTGCTGGGATTACAGACATGAGCCACCATGCGTGGTCCACATTTTAATTTTTGGCATCAAACTTTTTTGGGGAAAAAATTCTCTTTACATGTATCCTCAAAATATGCACAACTATGATATATCAATAAAAGCAAACACACAAAAGAATAAAAATAGATTGAGAAACAAACAGAAAAAAATACCTAGAGAGATCTCTGCTTGCTGCCTCATCCCTCAGCCTTCTCAAGTGCAGTGGTACGATCTTGGCTTACTGCAACCTCCACCTCCAGGACTCAAGTGATCCTCCCACCTCAACCTCCCTAGTAGCTAGGATTACAGGCATGCACCAATATGCCCGGCTAATTTTTGTATTTTTTTAGAGGTGGGGTTTTGCCATGTTGTTCAGGCTGGTCTCGAACTCCTGAGCTCAAGTGATCCACCTGCCTCAGCCTCCCAAAGTGCTGGGATTGCAGGTGTCAGTCACCACACCTGGTCAGGCTGTGATTCTCAAGCATATTATAATCACCTGGAGAGCTTGTTAAAAGCAAAGATTTTGGCTGGGCGCAGTGGTTCAAGCCTGTAATCCCAGCACTTTGGGAGGCTGAGGTGGGCAGATCACCTGAGGTCAGTTCGAGACCAGCCTAGCCAACATGGAGAAACCCCGTCTCTACTAAAAATACAAAAATTAGCCGGACGTGGTGGCGGGCACCTGTAATCCCAGCTATCCGGGAGGCTGAGGCAGGAGAATCACTTGAACCCGGGAGGCAGAGGCTTGCAGTGAGCCAAGATCACGCCACTGCACTCCAGCCTGGGCCACAGAACGAGACTCTGTCTCAAAAAAAAAAAAAAAAAAAAAAAAGCCCAGGGAGTTCAGTTCAACAGGAGAACTTTGTTTTTCACAAATCCCCCAGGAAATTCTGATGCAGGCGGCCTGAGTCCCACTCTTCCTTTTTTTCCCCAGTGTCTTTATGCTGAGGGCCTGACCCCTGGTCTCTTTTCAGGTGAAAGTAGTTACTCCTTGATCTCAATTTCCATCTAGCTGTGCCCTTCTGGATCTCTGCAGCCTGTGGGCTCCCCTGCCTTCCCCATGGGCAGCTGCTACTAGGCATATCCACTTAGATGCCCTCCAAGTTCTCTAACCCAACATATCCAAAATGGAGCTCACCCCATTCCCTGAATCAGCCCACTCTCTCCAGAGGGCTCTTAGGCCATCAGGCCCTTTGGGTCTGCCTCAAGGCTCTCAGCATAAAGTGCGTGATTGGCCATGGGCTGCACCTCCTTGCCCTAACCCCAGCCACGTACAATGCATGCTTTATGCTCTCACATGCCCCCTTGCTGCTGTTCCCTCGTTCTGAAACCCTGTCCCAGACTTGCTGACTCCAACCTGTCCTGCGGGTCGCCACGGCTTTTGAGGGGTGGGGGAAGGGAAGGGCAGGTACTGATGGGAATGCTCACTTCCACTCCAGGACTCTTGCTTACTTCTTACATGGCTCATAAAGGTGCAGCTCGTGAGGTTACCTGTCTTTGGTAATGCCTCTAGGTCCAAGCATCTTACTTTTTTTTTTTTTTTTTGAGACGGAGTTTCGCTCTTGTTGCCAAGGCTGGAGTGCAATGGCGCGATCTCAGCTCACCGCAACCTCCGCCTCCCGGGTTCAAGTGATTCTCCTGCCTCAGCCTCCCGAGTAGCTGGGATTACAGGCATGTGCCACCACGTTCCGCTGATTTTTTGTTTTTGTAGTGGAGATGGGGTTTCTCCATGTTGGTCAGGCTGATCCTGAACTCCCAAGCTCAGGTGATCTGCCCACCTTGGCCTCCCAAAGTGCTGGGATTAAAGGCGTGAGCCACTGCGTCCTGCCCGCATCTTGCATCCTAGAACCGAAGATCCCTTTATTCACTCAATAAATGTAATATTGAACACTTTGTGCCAACACGCTGCTCTAAGTACAGGAGAGAAAGCAGTAAACAGAACAGGGAAGATCCCTGTGCTTGTGGAATTTATATTCTAACAGGGCAAGGCAAGCAATACACAAATAAGTAAAATATATAGTGTGTTTCATGTGGTAAGTGCCATGGAGAAAAATAAAAGGCGGGGGGTGGATAAAGGAGTCTGGGTGGGGGTGATGCAGTTTTCAAGAAGAAAATCTTGAACCCAGGAGGCCTGTAATCCTAGCTACTCAGGAGGCTGAGGAAGGAGAATCACTTGAACCCAGGAGGTGGAGGTTGCATTGAACCGAGATCACCACATTGCACTCCAGCCTGTTTGATGGGAGTGAGACTCCATCTCAAAAAAAAAAAAAGAAAAAAGAAAAAGAAAATCTTTTGAGATGTTGGGCTTGGTGAAGAGTTCATGACATCAAAAGCATGATCTATAAAAGGAAAATCAATACATTGGACTTTATTAAAATTAAAAACATTTGCTCCATGAAAGATCCTGTTAAGAGAATGAAAAAAGCTGCAGACTGGGAGAGTGTATTTGTTTTTGTTTTTGTTTTTGTTTTGAGATGGAGTCTTGCTCTGTCACCCAGGCTGGAGTTCAATGGCACAATCTCGGCTCACTGCAACTTCCGCCTCCCGGGTTCAAGCGATTCTCCTGCCTCACCCTCCCAAGTAGCTGGGATTACAGGTGTACACCACCATGCCCAGCTGATTTTTGTATTTTTAGTAGAGACGGGGTTTCACCATGTTGGCCAGGATGGTCTCGGTCTCTTGACCTCTTGATCCGCCCACCTCGACCTCCCAAAGTGCTGGGATTAGAGGCGTGAGCCACTGTGCCTGGCTGAGGGAGTATATTTGAAAATCACATATCTGATAAAGGACTCAGCTAAATTGTATCAAGTGCTTTCAAAACTGAATGTTAGGCCAGGCATGGGGGATCACGAGGTCAGGGGTTTGAGACCAGCCTGGGCAGCATGGTGAAACCCCATCTCTACTAAAAATACAAAAACTAGCTGGGCATGGTGGTGGGCACCTGTAATCCTAGCTACTCAGGGGACTGAGAAAGGAGAATCACTTGAACCTGGGAGGTGGAGGTTGCAGCGAGCCGAGATCGCACCACTGCACTCCAGCGTGGGCAACAGAGTGAGACTCTGTCTAAAAACAAAAACAACCCTGATGTTAAAACAAGCAGTCCAATTAGGAAATGGGCAAAATACATGAACAGATATTTCACTGAAGAGGATATATGGATGGCAAATAAGCACATGAAACCATGTTTAATATCACCAGCCATTAGGGAAATGCAATGAAGACCATGCTGAGATATTACTGTGCACCTATTAGAAGATCTAAAATCAAAATTAGTGACGATACCAAATGCTGGCAAAGATATAGAAAAACCGGATCTTTCATATATTGCTGGTGGGAATATAAAATGGTACAGCAGCCACTCTGGAAAATAGTTTGGCAATTTCTTTCAGAACTAAACATACATTTACCAATTCAGCAGTTGAACTCTTGGGCCTTTATCCTAGAGAAATGAAAACTTATATCTGCACAAAAACCAGTACACGATTGTCGATAGCAGTTTTATGTGGAATAGCCCCAAACTGGAAACAACCAAAAATGTCTGTCAATCGGTGAATGGTTAAACAAAATGGTATAGCCATTACCATGGAATGCTACTTAGTAATAAAAAGGAATATAATATTGATATGCACAACAACTTGGATGGTTCTCAAGGGCGTTATGCTGAGTGAAAAAAGCCGATCTCAAATGATCACATAAAGTGTGATTTCATTTATATAACATCCTCAAACTTAAAAGGTCATATATAGAGATGGAAAACACAAGTGGTTGCCTGGGCTTTGGGCTGGGGGAGCAGGTGGGAGTGAGTCTAAAGGGGTCTCTTGAGATAGATCTTTGTGGCAATGGGACAGTTCTGGTGGGATAATCTGTTGGCTGCAGTTGTGGTTACACAAATATGTGCATGTGCTGAAATGACATAGAACTATGCACACATATTACACCAACACCAATTTCCTAGTTTTGCTATTATACTATAATGCAAGATGTGACCATTGAGGGGAACTGGGTGAAGAGCACATGGGACCTCGCTGTACTATTTTTGCAACTTCCTGTAAATTTATAATCATTTCAAAATAAAGGCCGGGCGCGGAGGCTCAGGCCTGTAAACCCAGCACTTTGGGAGGCCGAAGTGGGCATATTACCTAAGGTCAGGAGTTCAAGACCAGCCTGGCCAACATGGCGAAAACCCGTCTCTACTAAAAATACAAAAATTAGTTGAGCACGGTGGCGTACACCTGTAATCCCAGCTACTTGGGAGGCTGAGGCAGGAGAATCGCTTGTACCTGGGAGGCAGAGGTTGCAGTGACCCAAGATCTCACCACTGCATTCCAGCCTGGGCAACAGAGTGAGACGGTCTCCAATAAAATAAAATAAAATAAAATTAAATTAAAAAACAAAATTAAAGAAATGAAAATGTGTGTTACACGTGACAATGCTGTAGAGAAAAATAAAATAACAGTGGAGGGTGGTAAGGAAGGCTGGGATGGGGGTGGTTAGAGAAGGCCTTACTGAGAAGGTAACATTTTAATGAAGTCTTAAAGGAGGTGTGAGAGTGAGTTGTGAGTATCTGGGGATAGAGTGTGCTAAGCAGAGGGCACAGCCTATGCAAACACCCTAAGACAGGTGTGTACCTGGCATGTTCATGGAATATGTAAGAGGCCATTGTGATGGGAACCTTGGTCATGAGGGAGAGAAGAGAAGATGGAGTCCAAGACATAATAGGGAGAGAGGGGCAGATCACATTGGACCGTATGCCACTGTAAGGACTTTAGCTTTTACACTGAATGAAATGGGGGCTCTTGAGCAGAGGAGTGACATGTCTAACATGTCAGCTGCTCTGAAAGTAGATGCAGGGGGTGAGAATGGAAGCAGGGAGACAGGAGGCTATTGCAGAAATCCCGGTGAGATGCCAGTGGCTTGAAAGAGGGTGGTAAGAAGTGGGGGTGAGGAGAAGTGGCTTGAATTTTGATAGATTTTTGAAGGTAGTGCCTACAGGATTTTCTGAAGGGTTGGAAAAGGAGTGTGAGAGAAAGAAAGGAGTTGATGCCAGCAGTTTTTGGCCCGAGCCACTGGAAGGAAAGTGTAACCCATAGCTGAGACAGGGAAAGCTATAGAAGGAGCAGGTCTGGGGATGGGGGAGCGTGTTAACTCTGAGAGCTCTATTAGACATTTGGGGAGAAAAGTGGAATTGGTAGCTGCATATATGAGTCTGGATTCAGGGGAGGGACAACATAGCTGGAGCTAGAGACATAAAGGGGAGAGTCACCAGCATGTGGATCGTATTTAACACTGTGAGTCTGGATGATACCGGTATGGGAGTGAGGTAGGTAGAAAAGAGGAGGTTGGGCAGAATAGCTAGGAAAGAAGTCTGTAAAAAAAAAAAAAAAAAAGCCAAATAAAGAATTTCAAGGCAGTGGGAGTGGGCAACTGGGTCAAATTATGTTGAGAGTTAGGGAGAATTGTCTATTGGGTTTGGCCCAGGGGACATCCATGGGGACAGTGAAGAGTAAAGTCAGATACTGGGATAGTGGTGATCACCTGTAAAAGTAAGCCCTTTTGTTCTCCCCCACTCCAGGAACACTCCATCAAAGTACTCGAACTGATCTCCACCATCTGGGACACGGAACTGCACATTGCGGGCCTCAGACTCCTCAACAACCTTCCACTGCCCGACTATGTGCATCCACAGCTGCGACGGGTGATGCCTGCCTTGATGGAGATCCTGCAGTCAGACTACATCCTGGCACAGGTGCCTGAGGACCATGGCCAAGGCCCTGCCTTGCTGACCAGCCCTAGCACAGTACTTAGAGGGAGGAGCAGAGGTTTATATCTTCCTTGCTGAGGCCCAGACTCACCTGCCTTCTCATGCTTTACTCTTTCCTTTATTCAGGTGCAAGCCGTACGACTGCTGAGCTACCTGGCACAGAAGAATGACCTTCTCTATGACATTCTCAACTGCCAGGTGAGAAAGAAATTGAAGAGGGGCTGATGAATGCCAACTCAGGTATAGGGGGAGGGAAGAATCATGGCATCTCCAGACAGATTTACCCCTGATGAATTGTTTTAGTATCTTCCTGCCTCTGCACTAAATGCACTGAAAATCATGCCTCTTCTGTTCCCCCCAGTAGAAGGAGACTCCATTTTATTGGGAGGGGGATCCCCCTTTGAGGCATTTCCTGAACTCTGAGAGTTAGGAACACAGGAGACAAAACAAAAGTTAATGTAGGTATTTTAATATTGGGGGGAAATTACTATGGCAAAGAGCATTATTAGGGATAGAAAAGGTTACTCTGTGATAATCAGTGGTTCAGTTCACCAGAACAGTAGGGCAACTCTAAACTTGTATGCACCTAATAACATAGTCTCAAAATATATACGACAAAAATTGAAAGGAGAAATTAACAAATATACCACTACAGTGGGAGATTTGGAATATTTTAACCATTCTTGCAGCAACTGATAGATTAAAAAGCCAAAATTAGTGAGGATATACTCTTAGTGAATAACACAAATAAGCTTGAGCCATTAGACATACTCAGAACAGTCTACAAGGATTAAATGCACAGTCCTCTCAAGCACACACACAATACTTAAGAAAATTAGTCACACACTAAGCCTTAAAATTTGTCTCAACAAAATTTCCAGAATGAATATTATCATATCACTCATGTTTTATGATCACAAGGCAATTAAATTAGAGGATAATAATAAAAGAAAAACTAAAAAATTACTATATACTCGAGTCTGAAATTTAGGTATATTTGGGAGTTTAGGCAATAGGAATATACAAGAACAAGAATTTTGTAACTTGCCTAGGAGTTTATTCCCATTCTTTCTCTATTCCCATCACAGGTTCACTCCAACTTCCTAAACCTGTTCCAGCCCACACAGTCAGGGAGTCTCCTGTATGAGGTACTGGTGTTTGCTGAGCGGCTGAGTGAGGGCCGGAACGCACCCCACTACCACGTGGTGAAATGGCATTACAACGAACAGTCCCTGCATGAATCCCTCTTTGGGGAAGAGTCCCGACTGGCAGACCGACTACTTGCCCTGGTCATCCACCCTGAGGAAGATGTTCAGATCCAGGCCTGCAAGGTCATTGTCAGCCTGCAGTATCCCCAGGACTTGAGAGCCCGGCCCTCCTCCTGCCAGCCCAGTCGTTCCTACTTTAAAAACACGGAATAAAATTAAGGAGAGCCAATAAATGAGTATAGGAGAGAAACTTGAAGTTTCTTGAAGCTCGAATGTCTGTTGGTGGCCTTCCAGGGCTGGGTGGAGATTTCATTCAGCATAACCTCTGCTCCAGAGTGTGGTACAGCATGGGCTTATCTCTCAAAACACATCCCCACTTCTATGTTTGGGGGACTAGCTCCCCTCTTCTCTTGCTGCTTTTCTTTCTTTTTTTTTTTTTGAGATGGAGTCTTGCTCTGTTGCCTAGGCTGGAGTGCAATGGCACAATCTTGGCTCACTGCAACCTGCGCCTCCCTGGTTCACGCCATTCTCTTGCCTCAGCCTCCCGAGTAGCTGGGACTACAGGCGCCCGCCACCACGCCCAGCTAATTTTTGTATTTTTAGTAGAGGTGGGGTTCGGCATGTTGGCCAGGCTGGCTCTTGCTGCTTTTCAAATCAATGTGGAGCCATTGCTTTCAGGGGGTTGGAAGAAGGCAGGCTTGGGGATTGAAGCCAAAGATAATCAACAGGACGCAGTATAGCATTAGATTAGTTAGGATGGGCCAGGCTATCCCACAGTAACAACACTCACACCTCAGTGGCTTAAACATGGCAAAGGGGGCCAGGCGCGGTGGCTCACGCCTGTAATCCTAGCACTTTGGGAGGCCGAGGCGGGCAGATCACGAGGTCAGGAGATCGAGACCATCCTGGCTAAAACGGTGAAATCCCGTCTCTACTAAAAATACAAAAAATTAGCCGGGCGTGGTAGCAGGCGCCTGTAGTCCCAGCTACTCAGGAGGCTGAGGCAGGAGAATGGCGTGAACCCAGGAGGCGGAGCTTGCAGTGAACCGAGATTGCGCCACTGCACTCCAGCCTGGGCGACAAAGCGAGACTCCGTCTCAAGAAAAAAAAAACATGGCAAATGTTAATTCTTGTTTACACTGCATGCCCATTGCAGATCAGCGGTGGGGGTGGAAGGGCAGGCCTCTACTCCACAACATCCTCACACAGAGACCCAGGTTGAGGGAGGCTTCCTCATTGTGTTTCTACAACTATTACAGAAGGACAGGGAATGTGGTAGTGATAAATGTCATCACTTCTGCTCACATCTCATTAGCCAAAGGGGATGAGGAAGATCATTCTTTCCACGTGTCCAAGGAAGAACTGTTGATCCTTGGTGACAGCATGAATGACAGAGATCTGCAGGCATACTGGGTCAGAAAGGGAGCTCTGGAATCAGAGTGCTCGCTTCCAGTCCCAGCTCTGTCACTTACTGTGTGACCTCAGGGGAGCAGTTAACCCTATTTGAGCTTCAGGCCCCTCATCTATAAAATGCATATAATAATAGTACTGATTTCATGACGCTGTTGGGAAAATGAAAGGGGGATTATATGAGTTAACGAACGTAAGCCACAGTGTTCTGCATGCATTCCTCAAAGATGGGCTCTGAGGAGCTATGAAATCATCACTGAGAAAGCCGGGCAGAGTGGCTCACGCCTGTAATCCCAGCACTTTGGGAGGCTGAGGCGGGAGGATCACCCGAGGTCGGGAGTTCGAGACCAGCCTGACCAACACGGAGAAACCCCGTCTCTACTAAAAATACAAAACTAGCCAGATGTGGTGGCGGGCACCTGTAATCCCAGCTACTTGGGAAGCTGAGGCAGGAGAATTGCTTGAACCCGGGAGGCAGAGGTTGCGGTGAGCTGAGATCACGCTATTGCACTCCAGCCTCAGAGACAGAGGTGCGAGACTCCATCTCAAAAAAAAAAAGAAATCATCACTGAGAAAACAAAAGATCATCACTGGGGAGGTCCTTGGAGAGTGTTGCCTCCAGCATTTCTCCAGTCTCTTCAGGTTATGGGCACTGGGGAGTCCTAGAGTCCTCTATGAAGCGTGCTGAAAAGTCATTGAAACTTAGCTTTGGAAACCAGAACAATGGTGTGAGTAATATAACACCATAACCATGAAGTTTCCAGAAACAAGAAGACTGTCAAACCAAATATGGTCATCCATTTTCCAATTCCCCATTCATTTGCGTTTCCCAGTTGTTCCTTCATTGTTTTTTTTGTTTTTTTGAGACGGAGTCTCGCTCTGTCGCCAGGCTGGAGTACAGTGGTACAATCTCAGCTCACTGCATCCTCTGCCTCCCGGGTTCAAGCAATTCTCCTGCCTCAGCCTCCCGAGTAGCTGGGACTACAGGAGCGCGCCACAACACCCAGCTAATTTTTTGTATTTTTTAGTAGAGAAGGGGTTTCACCATGTTGGCCAGGATGGTCTCGATCTCCTGACCTCGTGATCCCCCCACCTTGGCCTCCCAAAGTGCTAGGGTTACAGGTGTGAGCCACCACGCCCAGCCCTCATTCACTGTTTTATCTGTGAATCCTTGCTGGGAAACAGTAAGGATTGCTAACGGTTTAAGAAAATGCTACGGGAGAGAAACCTAATGTTGGAGCTATTCCCAGCCTGAGACTGCTCGATCTAGGACAAAGAACCTGGTCCAGCCACGGGCTCCCGGTGTTCTTCAGAAGCAGGATTTGAAAACTAGTCTCGTCCAGGACCAACCCTGGCATTTTCCTGAAAGGAAAACAAACCCAAAATGGAAAAGTGACTTGCTCAAGGTCACATGACTGGTCTAGGGCAGAAATAGGATTAGAACCTCCTACTACTGAGCTTTTCTTTTGCCCTCACATTCTTCGGTCCAAGCCCCGTAAGAGTGGGTCATGGATTCTAAGCCCAAACCTATGGAAACTGAGGAGGATCTTGATGCTTCTGGATTTTAGAGGCCAGTTTAGGACTGAAGTACTTAAAGGAAATCTGTCCCCACTTAATCCCTGGCCCAAGGTCATATCACTCAGGTGGAAGAGGGAGGGTGTTTCTTGATGAGGATGGGCTGATGAGAAAGAGCCAGAGCCTATAGAGAGGCCAACCCCGTCACTGTCTCCCAGAATGAGTGGGCAGTCACTACCAGATCTGAATCAGCATCCCTTGTTTCCCTCCTGAGTTCAGGCCTGAGGCTGCTCCTTCTTGCTGCTGAATACACTGCAGCCACCCCAGTGGAACTTGTCAAATGCCGACGTTTCCTTTCGACCAGCTCCATGTGTGCCCATGTCACCAACAAGGTGTTGGGCATCACTTTCAAATTCTCCTCCCCACCACATCCACCTAGTTCCCCCATTTCCACTGCTACTGCCCTGTCCTCCACATCAGGACTTGCCTACTTCTTTCTTTCTTTCTTTTTTTTTTTTTTTGAGACAGGGTCTCACTCTGTCTCCCAGGCTAAAGTGCAGTGGAGCAAACACAGCTCACTGCAGCCTCGACCTCCCAGGCTCACGTGGTCCTTCCACGTCAGCCTCCTTGGGTAGCTGGGACTACAGGAGTGTGCCACCGCGCCCAGCTAATCTTTTGTATTTTTTTTGTAAAGACGAGGTTTTGCATGTTTCCCAGGCTGGTCTCAAACTCCTGAGCTCAAGCAATCCACCTTCCTCAGCCTCCCAAAGTGTTGGGATTACAGGTGTGAGCCACCACACTGGGCCTGACTTTTCCTCCTCCTGGTTTCCATCCTCTCCAGCCCTACGCACTCCAGGCTAATTTTATAATCACACATGGCACCATTCTCAAAAACCTTCAGGGGCTCCCCATTGCCATGGTGAAATCTTTCTCGGCATCAAAGCAAAGTCACGTGATCTGACAGGTATAAATGTATTCTCAGCAAAAGGTTGAGTTTTGTCCTCAAAGATGTGGTCACTGGACCCCTTTTTTACATGACGAAACCAAATGAATTAGCTTTGCATTCAAGGCTCTTCACAGTGTGATCCTCTTGCCTGCCACAAGCCTACTGTGCCACATCTCTGCTCCAGCCAAACTGGAGCAAACTAGTCATTGCTGCCCTAATCATACCATGTGTACTCTTGCTCCAAACATGTTTTCTTTTTTTTTCTTTAAATTACTATTATAAAGAGAAGATGCCTCCAAACATTTTTTTTTTTTCCTTTTTTTGAGACGGAGTTTTGCTCGTTGCCCAGGTTGGAGTGCAAGGGCGCGATATCTCGGCTCACCGCAACCTCCACCTCCTGGGTTCAAGCGATTCTCCTGCCTCAGTCTCCCAAGTAGCTGGGATTACAGGCATGCGCCACCACCATGCCTGGCTAATTTTGTATTTTTAGTAGAGACGGGGTTTTTCCATGTTGCCCAGGATGGTCTCAAACTCCCGACCTCAGGTGATCTGCCCACCTCGGCCTCCAGAGTGCTGGGATTACAGGCATGAGCCACCGCACCTGGCTTACTTTTGATACAACTTTCCTGCTGCCTAGAATGCTAGAATGGCCTTCCCTCTTCTTCCAACTGGGTTGTGCCTTCTAGTGTCATCAAAGTTGACGTCCCACTGCAGCCTAGATCTTTTTTCAAGCATACTAGCCTCTGGTGCACCCTGCAGCACTTCTCATCTGAACCTCTCACTTGGCATTTGGCAAATTAAAGCTTGAATCTTATATACCTTGTTCTTTTATTCTTTTTTGCAGTAGGACATATGTTTTTTGTTCTTTGTGGTTTTTTTCTTTTGAGATGGAGTCTCACTCTGTCGCCTAGGCTGGAGTGCAGTGGCATGATCTTGGTTCACTGCAACCTCTGCATCCCCAGGTTCAGGAGATTCTCCTGCCTCAGCCTCCTGAGTAACTAGGATTATAGGTGCCCACCACCATGCCCAGCTAATTTTTTTTTTGAGACGGAGTCTTGCTCTATTGTCCAGGCTGGAGTGCAGTGGCACGATCTTGGCTCACTGCAACCTCTGCCTCCCAGGTTCAAGCGATTCTCCTGCCTCAGCCTCCCGAGTAGCTGGGATTATGGACACGCACCATCATGCCTGGCTAAATTTTGTATTTTTAGTAGAGACCAAGTTTCGCCATGTTGGCCAGGCTGGTCTCGAACTCCTGACCTCAAGCGATCTGCCTGCCTCGGCCTCACAAAGTGCTGGGTTTATAGGTTTGAGTCACTGTGCCTGGCCTGCCTGCAGTAGGACATATCTGACTGCTTACCAAAGCCTTGAAGAGCCGGGCGTGGTGGCTCATGCCCTGCACTTTGGGAGGCCGAGACGGGCGGATCACGAGTTCAGGAGATGGAGACCATCCTGGCTAACGTGGTGAAACCCCATCTCTACTAAAAATAAAATACAAAAAATTAGCTGGATGTGGTGGCGGGCGCCTATAGTCCCAAGCTACTCGGGAGGCTGAGGCAGGAGAATGGTGTGAACCCAGTAGGCAGAGCTTGCAGTGAGCGGAGATCGCGCCACTGCATGCCAGCCTGGGCGACAGAGCCAGACACCATCTCAAAAAAAACAAAAACAGAAACAAAAACAAAAAAAACCTTGAAGGAAGAGCCTGCTCAGGGCAGGCACATGATAATGGCAATTGGCTGATGGTAATGAAAGGAATTGGCAGTGGGAAGATCAGATGGGAGTGGTGTATTATCTGCTGCCATGTAACAAATTATGAGAAAACTTGTGTATCAGCTTGGGTCTGATCAAGAGAGAAACCTCACAGTAATTTAACAGGAAATTTTAATATGATTATTAAAACAGGGGATTGGAGTAACAAAGAATTGTTTAGTAAGGAGTTATGAGAACCCTATGGAATAATGAATAGCTGACATGAGGAGCAGCCCCTACCTCCCAAGATACAGCACCCAAGAAAGAGATACCCTCTCCCCACCCAGGGCTGAGATCCAGACCTTGTTGAGTAGAGCACAGCCCACAGCTCACTAGGTGGCAGAAAAGTCACTGTACTGTCATGCCAGTGGAACTTGCCAGAAATATGCCCTCTAGGATGCCAGGGAAAGCTCTTTCCCAAGGAGGTGTGGAACCAGAGACTTTCGACTACAGAACTAACTGAGTGGGGTGTGCAGGGGAAGCTGCTTCCCACTGGGTGCTGCTGGCCTTCATGTGCTGTGGGAGGCGGCACTGGAGTACCTGTGGGTGCTGCAGGAGCCTGATGCGGCAGAAGCCACATGCACGCAGGTGGTATGTGAGGCAGAAGTTGGAGGTATTCTGCTTACACTACAGCCCAAGGTGGACAGTGCCAGGAGAAGCTGCTAGCCACTGGGTGTTGCTGGTTACTCTGGGAACTGGGCACTGAAAGCTGTTTGCAGAGCAGGAGCCTGTCAATCAAGCACACTAGAACCAGGAAGCAAAAACCTCTTCCTCCCAAAATGTCTCTCCAGCTCCCTTCCTCTTAGTCATTTAAATATCAATAAACATATGTTACTTCTCACAGGAATTTGAGAGCATCTTGACTGGGTGGTTCTGGCTCAGTCAAGCTGTGGTTACAGTCACGCTTTTGCCAAGGACTGTTGTTATTTGAAGGCTTGACTGGGGCTGGAGGATCCCCTTCCAAGACAGCGCACTTATGGGACTGACAAGTTGGTGCCAGCTGTTGGCAGGAGGCCTCAGTCTTTCTACACGTGGGCATCTCCACAGGGGTGTTTGAGAGTCTTCATGACATAGCAGCTGGCTTCCCTTATAGTAAATCGTCCAGGAGAGAACAGAGCAGACGCTGCAATGCCTTTTCTGACCTCACCTCAGAAGTCATACACTGTCACTTCTGCCACATTCTATTCATTAGAAGTCAGTCTAGCCCCCATTCAAAGGAAGGCAGTTAGGCTCTACCTATTAAAGGGAAGAATATCAAGGAATGTGTGAGCATTTAAAAACCACTACAGGGACACTGTCAACAAAGACTAATTGGACACCTACTGTGTGCTCAGCAGCTAGATGCATCTGTATCCCCACAGAGACAATCCCTGCCAAGAAGAAGAGAAATTTTATAACCAGTAGTTGACACTCCATCCTTTCCCTCTGTCTTTTTTTCCAGCTGTTTAGCTTGTTTTCTCAACTACAGGCCTCTTTGACCCTCAGGCAATTCTATTTACAAAGAAACATCTCTTCTCATCTTCTCATTTAATTCTAAGGTTTCAGAGAAGAGGAGTGGCTTGAATTGGATCTCCAGAGAGGAGAGAGAAGAGCTCTCCAGGTTGGGATAGTTGGACTTTACAGGAAGGGAAACCAATCAGAGTTTCCCTCTGATGGGATTGTGATGGGGTAGGGTGCTGGTAGATGATTTTGGCCAGGCAGATGGCCAGTTACTTCTCTAACTGATTACCTGAAGGAGATGTATGAGAGACAGACACAAAGGGAACTCCAGCCCCACTGCATGGCTTCCAGTAGGACCTCAACACAGGGTTCTCAAGCAAAACTTGGCTGGAGTCCCCAGGTGTGTCTTAAAACTTAAAGCAGGGGCCGGGTACCTGTAATCCCAGTGCTTTGGGAGGACAGGCAGGGGGATCACTTGAGGCCAGGAGTTCCAGACCAACCTGGGCAACATAGCAAGACCCCCATTTCTTTTCTTTTCTTTTTTTTTTTGAGAAGGAGTTTCACTCTTGTTGCCCAGCCTGGAGTGCAACAGCGCGATCTGGGCTCACCGCAACCTCCGCCTCTCGTGTTCAAGCAATTCTCTTGTGTCTCAGCCTCCTGAGTAGCTGGGATTACAAGCGCCCACCACTACGCCTGGCTAATTTTTGGTATTTTTAGTAGAGACGGGGGTTTCACCATGTTGGCCAGGCTGGTCTCGAACCCCTGACCTGACCTCAGGTGATCCACCTGCCTTGGCCTCCCAAAGTGTTGGGATTACAGGCGTGAGCCACCATGCAAGACCCCCATTTCTTTTTTTGTTTTTTGTTTTTTGTTTTGAGACGGAGTCTCACTCTGTCACCCAGGCTGGAGTGGCACGATCTCGGCTCACTGCAAGCTCTGCCTCCCTGATTTCACGCCATTCTCCTGCCTCAGCCTCCGAGTAGCTGGCACTACAGGCGCCCGCCACAATGCCCAGCTAATTTTTTGTATTTTTAGTAGAGACGGGGTTTCACTGTATTAGCCAGGATGGTCTCGATCTCCTGACCTTGTGATCCGCCCACCTTGGGCTCCCAAAGTGCTGGGATTACAGGCATGAGCCACCACGCCCGGCCGAGATTGGTTTCATTTTTATGAAACAGGAATTTTTTTTATCATCATCAAATACAACCTTTATACATCTCTGATAATAATAAATGGCAAATGTGGTAGGCAGCCTTCTAAAACTATCCCAGTGACCCCCACTTCTTAAATATGTCCTGTTTAATTTGCTGCCCTTGAATCTGAGCTGGACCTAGTAATTTGCTTCTAATCTAGAATATGGCAAAGTGAGAGCATGTTCCTTTTTTCTTTTTTTTTTGAGATGGAGTCTCGCTCTGTCGACCAGGCTGAAGTGCAGTGGCACAATCTCAGCTCACTGCAACCTCCGCCTCCGAGGTTCAAGCAATTCTCCTGCCTCAGCCTCCCAAGTAGCTGGGATTACAGGTGCCTGCCACCATGCCCAGCTAATTTTTTTAAATTTTTAATAGAGACGAGGTTTTGCTATGTTGGCCAGGCTGGTCTCGAACTTCTGATCTCTGGTGATCCGCCTGCATCGGCCTCCCAAAGTGTTGGGATTACAGGCGTGAGCCACTGCGCCCGGGCCGCATGTTACTTTTGAAATTAAATTACAAAAGACTGTGATTCCTCTTGTTCCCATTCTCTCTTGCCCTTTCACATGCTCATGCTGATAAAGGCAGCTGCCAAGTTGTGAGCTTCCTTGTAGACAGGCCTACATGGTAAGGAACCCGGGAAGGACCCAGGCCAACAGACTCTGCAGAGCCAAAGTTGTCAATCCAACAGCTTGTAAGGACCCAAAACCTGCCAACAACCTCTCGAATAAGCCTGGAAGCAAATGCACCCCCCAGTGGAAACTGAAGATGACTGCAACCGCAGCCAGTGTGAGAAACTCAGAGCCAGACTACATGGCTAAGCTGTGATAGATTCCTGACACACAGAAACCATGAGATAAAAAATAATGAGTTAAGCCACTGATATGGTTTGGCTGTGTGTCCCCACCCAAACCTCCTGTCGAACTGTAATTCCCAATGTTGGGGGAGGGACCTGGTGGGAGGTGATTGGATCATGGGGGCAGATCCCCGCTTGCTGTTCTCATGAAAGTGACTGAGTTCTCAATGAGATCCGATGGTTTAAAAGTGTGCGACACTTCCCCCTCTGCTCTCTCTGCCATGGTAAGATGCGCCTGCTTCCCCTTTGCCTTCCGCCATGATTGTAAGTTTCCTGATGCCTCAGCCATGCTTCCTGTACAGGCTGTGGAAGTGTGAATCGACAAACCTCTTTTCTTCATAAATTACCATCTCAGGTAGTTCTTTATAGCAGTGTGAGAACAGACTAATACAGCCACTAAACTTTGGGGGAATTCGTTTATGCAAGAAGGTAATCAATACAACAGGTGATTGTTCCAAGGGTCCAGGCACTGGGTCAGTTCTCTTCTTCCACTCAAGGATGGGAAGAAGAATACTCAATGCTACATTCCAGTGTGAGCCTTTAATGACTGTGACTCCTCCCCACAAGTAACTATGGCCATCTGTGTGTCCTGGAACATGACATGGATTCCTTTGAGAGAAGCAGGAAGGGCATGGAGGGAGCTTCCCCCTCTACAACACCTGCTCCCCCTGAGCCCAAGAATAAACCAAAACCCCAGCCTGGGAGGCCCCCTTTCCTCTCCAATGTCTTCCTTTCCTCAAAATCCCCTTATTGCCCCCGAGTTGCTCAGTCATTGCCACCTTAGAATGTTCTTTCCCATGAGCTGGGCCAAGGAGTCCTACAGTCAAAACTAAGTGATGGCCAGGGACAGTGGCTCATGCCTGTAATCCCAGCACTTTGGGAGGCTGAGGTGGGCAGATTGCTTGAGCTCAGGAGTTTGAGAATAGCCTGGAAACATGGCAAAACCCCACCTCTACCAAAAAAAAAAAAAAAAGAAAAAAGAGAGAAAAATTAGCCAGGCATGATGGCACACGCCTGTAATCCCAGCTACTAGGGAGGCTGAGGTAGGAGGATGGGTTGAGCCAGGAGGTCGAGGCTGCGGTAAGCCATGATTGTGCCACTGCACTCTAGCTGGGGAGACAGAGTGAGATTCTGTCACAAACAAACAAACAAACAAACAAACAAAGTGATGCCTACTTTGGCCGGGCGTTGTGGCTCACGTCTGTAATCCCAGCACTTTGGGAGGCCGAGGCGGGCAGATAACTTGAGGTCAGGAGTTCAAGACCAGCCCGGCCAACATGGGGAAACCCCATCTCTACTAAAAATACAAAAATTAGCCAGGCATGATGGCGCGCATTTGTAGTCCCAGCTACTTGGGGGGCTGAGGCAGGAGAATCACTTGAGCCCAGAGGTTGCAGTGAGCTGAGATCGTTCCACTGCACTCCAGCCTGGGTGACAGAGTGAAACTGTGTCTCAAAAAAAAGCCCAAAAATAAACAACAAAAAAAAGTTTATGTATTTTTTGAGATGCAGTGAGAAGAGGAAATGAAGACAGAGAGAAAGAGAGCTGAGTTCCTGAAGTGGGATTAAATCTCCTGATGTTTCCTTGTTTCTACAGAGAGCACCAGAAGGTCCAGACTATCAGGACAAGCATGAGAATCACAGCTGCTTCTAAGGGAGTGAGCTGATTCCTAAAATTTGACCCATGGGTGGAATCTGGGGGAAGATTCCCCAAGGCCGAAGATACTCCAGGCCACATCACTGGAAAGTGGGGAGGAGGCACTGTGTAATGTATCCTGTCTGCTAACACTGGAAACCATCAAAGCTAACTGCTGAGCATCAGTGACATCCTCTCAGGACACGGTTGGCAAATTTTTGTTGTTTGTAAGAGCTGGAAATGTGGGCCACTGTGTCTGGTACAGCCCTGTCAGTAGGGGTGAGGCAGGATGACAAAGGGAATCTAACTCTTACTGTGGAATCTCTCCATTCGCATATCACCCTGGATACTTGTATTCTGGGGGATGTTGGAGTCAAATATGAGTCTAGGAGACAAAGAGGCCATGGAATAGAGATTTTGTAGTTAAGGAGCATAGAGACAGGACTCTTAGGCATAGGTGGGAGTGTAACTTGTGGAATTAGAAGGCACGCTCCATGCTACCTGTATTAGTTCATTTTCACATTGTTATAAAGAACTACCTGAGACTTATTTATTTATTTATTTATTTATTTATTTGACAGAGTCTTGCTCTGTTGCCAGGCTGGAGTGCAGTGACACGATCTTGGCTCACTGCAACTTCCACCTCCTGGGTACGCTCCTCAGCCTCCCGAGTAGCTGGGACCACAGGCGCCCGCCACCATGTCTGGCTAATTTTTTTGCATTTTAGTAGAGACGGGGTTTCACCATGTTGGCCAGGATGGTCTTGATCTCCTGACCTCATGATCCACCCGTCTCGACCTCCCAAAGTGCTGGGATTACAGGCGTGAGCCACCACGCCCAGCCGAGACTGAGTAATTTATAAAGAAAAGAGGTTTAATTGACTCACAGTTCTGCATGGCTGGGGAGGCCTTGGGAAACTTAGAATCATAACGGAAGGTAAAAGAGAAGTGAGCACCTCCTTCACAAGGCGGCAGGAGAGAGAGAGCGAGGGGGATGTGCTACACTTTTAAACCATCGGATCTCGTGAGAACTCACTCAATAGCACCAGAACAGCATGGGGGAACCTGTCCCCATGATCCAATCACCTCCTACCAGGTCCCTCTTTTGACACGTGGGGATTACAATTTGAGATGAGATTTGAGGGGGGACACAGAGCCATACCATATCACTACCCAAAGCAATCTACAGATTCCATGCAATTATCAAAATACCACTGACACTCTTCACAGAAATAGAAAAACCCTAACATTTGCATAGAATCACAAAAGACCCCGAATAACCAAAGTGTCCTGAGCAAAAAGAACAAAATTGAAGGTATCACATTACCAGACTTCAAAATATACTACAAAGCCATAGTAACAGCATAGTACTGGCATAAAAACAGACATGTAAACCAATGGAACCAAATAGAGACACCAGAAATTAATTCATGTATCTACAGCCAACTGTTTTGTTTTTGAGACAGGGTCTCACTCTGTCACCTAGGCTGGAGTGCAGTGGTGCAATTATGGCTCACTGCAGCCTCAAACTCCTGGGATCAAGCGATCCTCCTGCCTTAGTCCCAAGTAGTAGTATCTACAGGTGTGACCACCATGCTTGGCTAATTTTTTTTTTTTTAATGGAGGTAGGGTCTCACTATGTTGCCCAGCTGGTCTCAAGCTCCTGAGCTCAAGCGATCCTCTTGCCTTAGCCTCCCAAACTGCTGGGATTATAGGTGTGAGCCACTGCACCTGGCCAGCCAATTGGTTTTTGATAAAGGTGCCAAGAACACTCATTGAGGAAAGGACCATCTCTTCAATAGATGGTGCTGAGAAAACTGGATATTCAAATGTAGAAGAATGAAACCCCCACCTTTCATCCTATATAAAAATCAACTTAGGTCAGGCACGATGGCTCATGCCTGTAATCCCAGCACTTTGGGAGGCCGAGGCGGACGGAGCACCTGAGGTTGGGAGTTTGAGACCAGCCTGACCAACATGCAGAAACCCTGTCTCTACTAAAAATATGAAATTAGCCAGGTATGGTGGCACATGCCTGTAATCCCAGCTACTCAGGAGGCTGAGGCAGGAGAATCACTTGAACCCAGGAGGCAGAGGTTACGGTGAGCTGAGATCGCACCATTGCACTCTAGCCTGGGCAACAAGAGTGAAACTCCGTCTCAAAAAAGAAAAAAAAAAAAATCAACTCAAAATGGATCAAAGATCTAAATGGAAGACCTGAAACTATAAAACAACTAGAAGAAAACATAGGGGAAACACTTCAGGACATTGGTCTGGGAAAATATTTTATGAATAAGACCTCAAAAGAACAGGAAACAGAAGGGAAAATAAACAAGTGGGATTAAATAAAACAGGTCAGGCACAGTGGTTCACACCTGTAATCCCAGCACTTTGGGAGACCGAGGCAGGCAGACCATGAGGTCACGAGTTCGAGACCAGCCTGACCAACATGGTGAAACCCCGTCTCTACTAAAAATACAAAAATTAGCCAGGTGTGGTGATGTGTGCCTGTAATCCCAGCTACTTGGGAGGCTGAGGCAGGAGAATCGCTTGATCCCAGGAGGCAGAGGTTGCAGTAAACTGAGATTACGCCACTGCACTCCAGCCTGGGTGACAGAGCAAGGCTCCGTCTCAAAAACAAAACAAAGCAAAACAAAACCAGCTTCTACACCACAAAGAAAACAACAGAGTGAAAAGACAACCTACAGAATGGGAGAAAATATTTGCAAAGTACTCATTTAACAGGGGATTAATATCCCGTATATACAAGGAACTCAATCATCTCTACAGCAAAAAAACAAAAACAAAAACAAACCAAAAAAACCCCACAAAAAACAAAAAACAAACAATTTGATTTAAAAAATGGGCAAATGGGCTGGGCACAATGGCTCACACCTGTAATCCCAGCACTTTGGGAGGCCAAAGAGGGTGGATCACTTGATGTCAGGAGTTCAAGGCAAGCCTGGCCAATATGGTGAAACCCCGTCTCTACTAAAAATACAAAAAAAATTAACCGGGCGTGGTGGTGCACACTTGTAGTCCCAGCTACTCAGGAGGCTGAGGTGGGAGAATCGCTTGAACCCGGGAGGTGGAGGTTGCAGTAAGCCAAGATCACACAACTGCACTCCAGCCTGGGTGATAGAGTGAGATTTTGTCTCAAGAAAAGAATTCCAGGCCAGGTGCAGTGGCTCACGCCTGTAATCCCAGCACTTTAGAAGGCTGAGGTGGGCAGATCACGAGGTCAGGAAATCAAAACCATCCTGGTTAACACGGTGAAACCCCGTCTCTACTTAAAAATACAAAAAATTAGCCAGGCATGGTGGCAGGCGCCTGTAGTCCCAGCTACTTGGGAGGCTGAGGAAGGAGAATGGCGTGAACCCAGGAGGCAGAGCTTACAGTGAGCCGAGATTGTGCCACTGCACTCCAGCCTGGGTGACAGAGCAAGACTCTGTCTCAAAAAAAAAAAAAAAGAAAAGAAAAGAAAAAGAATTCCATTGTACGAATGTACCATGATTTATTTAACCAGTTGGCAGACCTTAAGTTATTTATGATCATTACAAATGATGCTGCAAGGAACTATATATTGGCATATATGGGAATATTTCTGTAGGAAAAATTCCTAGAAGTGGAATTATTAGATCAAAGAGGTGTATTAGTTATTGCCAAATTTCCCTTTTAAGAAGTTTCATCAATCTTTGCTCTTACCAATAATATTTTCCCACACCTTGACCAACCCACTGTATTACAAAACTGTAGCAGTCTTTTAGGAAGAAAATGATACGTCTTTCTGACAGGTATGATCTCGGTTTACATTTCTCTTATCACAACTTAGGTCAGAAGGCATGAGATTAGACAGAGTGAGACTTTTGTCTCAAAAAAAAAAACACACACACACAAACAAACAAACAAACAAAAAAAACGGCTAATGACCTAAACAGACATTTCTCAAAAGAAGACATACAAATGGCCAAGAATTATATGAAGAAAATGCTCACCATCACTAATCATCAGGGAATTGCACATTTTGATAATAGGATGCCTATTATCAAAAAGGCAAAAAATAAATGCTGACAGGGATGTGGAGGAAAAGGAACTCATACACACTATTGGTGGGAATGTACACTAGTACAGCCACTATGCAGAACAGTATGTAGGTATGTGAACCTCAAATATCTGAGACAGCTCTCAGTTTATTTAGAAAGTTTATTTTGCTAATGTTGAGGATGTGCACCTGTGACACAGCCTCAGGAGGTCCTGATCACATGTGCCCAAGGTGGTCAGAGCACAGCTCGGTTTTACACATTTTAGGGAGATAAGAGACATCAATCAACATATGTAAGATGAACATTGGTTCTGTCTGGAAAGGTGAGACAACTCGAAGTGGGGAGGGAGCTTCCAGCTCATAGGTAGACAAGACACAAATGATTGCAATTCTTTTGAGTTTCTGATTAGCCTCTCCAAAGGAGGCAATCACATATGCATTTATCTCAGTGAGCAGAGGGATGACTTTGAATAGAATGGGAGGCAGCTTTACTCTACGCAGTTCCCAGCGTGACTTTTCCCTTTAGCTTAGTGATTTTGGGGCAGCAAATTTATTTTCCTTTCACAGGTACCACAGAAAACTACAAGCAGAACTACCATATGATCCAGCAGTTTCACTGCTGAGCATTTATCCAAAGGAAAGGAAATCAGTATGGAAGAGACGTCTTCACTCTCATGTTTATTGCAGCACTATTCACAATAGCCAAGATAGTGAATCGACCTACATGTCCAACAGCAGATGAATGGGTAGAGAAAATGTGGTATAGGGCCAGGCACAGTGGTTCATACCTGTAATCCCAGCTCTTTGGGAGGCAGAAGCAGGAAGATCCCTTGAAGCTAAGAGTTTGAGACCAGACTAGGCGTGGTGGCTCATGCCTGCAATCCTAGTGATACAGCTCCCATGACTGGAGAAACACCAGGGTTCTTTCTCTCTCGCTGATTAGATAAACGACACGGGCACACGTGGAGTTGTTTTAAGGGGCGGAAAGTTTAATAGGCAAGAAAGAAGAAAGAAAGAAGAAAACGGCTCCCCCGTACAGAGGGAGCGGGGCTCCAAACGGACAAACCCCGTGTGCGCGGAAAGTAGTCCTTTATATTGGGAGGCTGGAGGAGGCAGTGTCTGATTTGCATAGGGCCCAGGGGATTGGTTTGACCAGGTGTGTCATTCACATAGCCTGCGAAAAACCTGGTCCTCCCACCTTAGCCTTTTAATATGCAAATGCAGGTATCCTTGATGTCCTGCATTCTTAGAGCCATCTGGAGGTGGTCACGACACCTGACACACGTTGGGACAAGGAGAAGAGGGCGGGAATCGCTACGTTGGATGGACCTAGTTTCTGACAGCCTGTGTTTGCATATCAAAGCTTGCCAGCCTGCTTTTCTGTTAGAAAAGAAATGTTGCCGCCGGGCCCGGTGGCTCACGCCTATAATCCCAAAGCTTTGGGAGGCCGAGGCGGACGGGGCGGATCACGAGGTCAGGAGTTTGAGACCAGCCTGGCCAACATGGTGAAACCCTGTCTGTACTTAAAATACAAAAAATTAGCCGGGCTGGTGGCAGGCGCCTGTAATCCCAGCTACACGGGAGGTTGAGGCAGGAGGGAGGATCGCTTGAACCCGGGATGTGGAGACCGCAACACTGCACTCCAGCCTGGGTGACTGAGTGAGTCTCAAAAAAACCCTGAAATGTTTGGGGTGGGGGGGTGCTTTTATTAAAAGAAAAAGCCTCCAACCTGGCTAACATGGTGAAACCCCGTCTCTACTAAAAATACAAAAAAATTAGCCGGGCGTGGTGGCGGGCGCCTGTAGTTCCAGCTACTTGGGAGGCTGAGGCAGGAGAATGGCGTGAACTCGGGAGGCGGAGCTTGCAGTGAGCCGAGATTGCGCCACTGCACTCCAGCCTGGGCGAGAGTGAGACTCTGTCTCAAAAAACAAAAACAAAACAAAAAAAAGAATAAGCCTTACTGAGGACTCCTTACCCTTACTGTCTGCCTAAAATAGTTTCTTAATAACTCCTATATTACCAGCACTTTGCGAGGCCGAGGTAGGCGGATCACCTGAGGTCAGGAGTTTGAGACCAGCCTGGCCAACATGGTGAAACTCCGTCTCTACTAAAAATACAAAAATTAGCCTGGCGTGGTGGCAGACGCCTGTAATCCCAGCTACTCAGGAGGCTGGGGCAGGAGAATCTCTTGAACCCAGGAGGCAGAGGTTGCAGTGACCAGAAATCACGCCACTGCACTCCAGCCTGGTCAACAGAGCCAGACTCTGTCTCAAATAAAAATAAAAATAAAAGTTTAAGACCAGCCTGTGCAACATGTCCCATCTGTACAAAAAATAAAAAATAAAATAAAATAAATTAAAAAAATAAGAAGCTCTCTTCCGACCGTGGGGCAGATGCCCTGGCAGCCCGCCCCTTTCCCACACCGCCTCCCCGGCACACGCCGCACCTGTCAGCCCTCTGAGCTCCGAGGTGCGGTGCAGGCTGAGCCACTGCCTGAGCCGCTGCTCCACGTCCTGGGCCTTAGCTTCCCGCTGCAGACCTGCCGGCCGATTCTTCGCTGCCCTCCCGGTCTCATGAAGCCGCTGGTCGTGTTTGTCCACGGCGGTCCCGGCGCGCTGGCATCCTTGAGAAAGATGGCTACACACACCTTTCTGCAGGAGAGTTACTTCATGATGAAAGGAAGAGCCCAGATTCACAGTATGGTGAACTCACTGAAAATTACATTAAAGAAGGAAACATGGGACCAGTGGAGATAACCATCAGTTTATTAAAGAGGGAAATGGATCAGACAATGGCTGTCAGTGCTCAAAAGAGTACATCTTTGATCGATGGATGGGTTTCCAAGAAATCAAGACAACCTTCAAGGTTGGAACAACGGACCGGACGCAGTGGCTCACGCCTGTAATCCCAGCACTTTGGGAGGCCAAGGGGGGTGGATCACCTCAGGTCAGGAGTTCACCACCAGCCTAGCCAACATGGTGAAACCCCGTCTCTACTAAAAATACAAAAAATTAGCCAGGCGTGGTGGGGCGCGCCTGTAATCCCAACTACTCGGGAGGCTGAGGCAGGAGAATCTCTTGAACCCGGGAGGTGGTCGTTGCAGCAAGCCAAGATCATGCCACTGCACTCCAGCCTGGGTAACAAGAGCGAGGCTCCGTCTCAAAAAAAAAAAAAAAAAAAGAAAAAAGAAAAGAAAAGAAAAGAAAAAAAAGAAAAAAAAAGGTTGAATGGGAAGGCAGATAGATGTATCTTTCATTCTGTGTGTGTGTGGTTTTTTAACTGTAATAATAAGATCTGTATTGAATGATGTCCTGAGAGAGGAAAGAGTAGCGGTAGGAGTGATGACAACAGAGAGAGCTTGAGAAAGAGAATTGAGACCCATCTTCAGTCAACAAAGCCAATTATTGACTTATATAAAGAAATGGGGGAAAGTCAAGAAAATAAATGTTTCCCAATCTGTTGATTAAGTTTTTGAAGTTGTGAAGATTTTTGACAGGAAAACTAATTCGAAACCTGAAAGCATCCTTGAAATCTTGCTTGAATACTGCTTTGATAGCTGCTATCGCGACCCCTTTTTAAGGCAATTTTAATCTTTCAAACTACATCTCACCTAGTGGCTGGAAAGTATAGGTAAGACAAATTAAGTTTTTTATGTACTTTTTTTTCGTCACAGAAGAGAGTTAATTAAGAGACATAACTTCATCTTAGTTATGGTGCTCACTAAACAAAGAAGCGTATCAAGCTATTTTTTTTTATTCAAAAAGACTATTCCTTTCATAGTTTGTGCCTTCTATGAGCAAAACTTTTTCGTATGTGTGTATGTCCCTTTAGTAATTACAACATGTTAGGATTTAGGGATACCCACTTCCTCCTTTTCTTGCAAGTTTTAAATTTCCAACCTTAAGTGAATTTGTGGACCAGATTTCAAAGGAACTTTTTGTGGAGTCAGTTCTTGCACAATGTGTTTAGTAAACAAACTCAAAGTGGATTCTTAGCAGTGTTTTAATATATATCAAATAACTAACAATTTCCTATAGAAAAGTAAGAAAACATAGGCTTTGTTTTACTACAACTTGAACAATGTTGTATGACAGGGCATATTCTTTGCTTCCAAGGTTTGGGTTGGAAGCACTAGAGGTTCAGAGCCTGGCAGAACTGTCAGCTTTATTCTGACATAATCTAAGGGTATGGGGCAAGGATCACATCTAATACTTGTGTTCCTCATCCTCTATTATATGGTGTTATTCATGATTCAACTGATCTTAACAAAATTCCTAGCAGTGGAACCTTGAAATGCATGTGACTAGATTTATGCTAAAATGATTCAGTTAGCATTTTAGTAACACTTCAAATGATTTTTTGTTCATTTTCTAGACCAAATACAAGGTTAGGATTAATTAGAAGAAGCAATCTAGTTAAATTTCCCATTTGTATTTTATTTTCTTGAATACTTTTTTTTATAGTTGTTTAAAAAAATTTTTAAATCATTGCACTTTGGTCAGAAAAATAATAAATATATTTTATAAATGTTTGATTCCTTTCCTTGCTATTTGTATTCAGTAAATTATTGTTTTGGCATCATGTTGAAGCACTGAAAGACGAATAATCTTTAAAAGGCTTAAAAAAAAAAAGCCAGGTGTGGTGGCGTGCACTTATAGTCCTAGCCTTGGGAGGCTGAGGAAGGAGGATCACTTGAGCCCAGAAGGCCAAGGCTGCAGTAAGTTATGATCATGCCACTGCACTCCAGCCTGGGCAACAGAGTGAGACCCTGTCTCAAAAAGAAAAAAAAAAGTGATTTGCAGCTGTAAAAACTGAAAAGATTTCAAATAGGAAGTAGAAGACTAACTTCACCCTCTCCAGGTAACCTTCGCCACCTCCAGGCACTTTTCCCTATAGTGGCTGCTGTAGCATGGCTTGTTCAGCTTTTCTTTCATCTCCTTCTGGTGTCCCTTCCTGCACTGCAGGGCAGGAAAGCTAAACACTAGAGTGGTAGACCTAGGTGTGATTGCTGATCACATGCACTGCCTAAAGCCTAATCTTCATGGAGGTAAGGGAGGGCAGTGGCATTTTTGGGAGGCATACTTTTTTTGTTTTGTTTTGGCTAGGGAAGACACAGGCAATACTTTTTTTTTTTTTTTTTTTAGAGACAGGGGTGTTGCCCAGGCTGGAGTATAGTGCTATGATCATAGCTCACTGTAACCCCAAACTCCTAGGTTTAAGTGATCCTCCCACCTCAGCCTCCTGAGTAGCTGGGACTATAAGGTGCACACCACCACACCCAGCTAATTTTTTTTTTTTTTTTTTTTTTTTTTTGTAGAGACAACGGTATCACTATGTTGTCCAGGCTGGTCTCAAACTCCTGGCCTCAAGCAACCCTCCTGCCTTGGCCTCCCAAAGTGCTAATATTACAGGAGTGAGCCACCACACCTGCCTATAGGCAATAGTTTTGCTGGAGTGCAGTGATGCAATCATAGCTCACTACAGCCTCAATCTCCCAGACTCAAATGATCTTCCCACCTCAACCTCCCAAGTAGCTTGGGACTACAGGTGCACCACCATGCTGGACTAATTTTTAAAAAATTTTTTGTAGAGACCAGGCCTTGCTATGTTGCTCAGGCTGGTCTTGAACTCCTGAGCTCAAGCGATCTTCCCACCTTGGCCTCCCAAAGTGCTGGGATTACATGTGTGAGCCACTGCACCTGGCAGGCAATAATCTTTCATGGCAGCTTCCTGAACCCGATATCACAGCTAAGGTGTGTGTTCCTGGGACTGCAGTGATGACTACCTACCTCCTCACCTGCCTGATGGCAGCAGGGGTAGTAGCTCCCCTGGTAGCACAGTTCTGCAGGGTTGTTTTGTTTTGTTTTTTAAGTCATTCCTGGAGGCTCAGTCTGGTTTCCACTCTTGCAGTCATTTCAATGTCTTCGTCAGCCCTCAATTATCTGTATTACATTCCTTTCTGCTTAAAATAAGTAGGATGGTATCTGTTATCTGCAACTGAGCTCTGATAAGGTACCTGACATACGATAGGTATCACTAAACGTTTGTTGAATACATGAATGAATGATGAATGAATAGGTAAATGGAATGGAGACCACCAAGATGTATACAGTGAGTTGGACAGACGAACCTAGTGGACTCAACAGAATGGTAGAGCAATTGATGGATCATAAGTGGACAATGAAACCAATTTGGTGCATCCTAACCAGCTTTTTTTTTTTTTTTTTTTTTTGAGACGGAATCTCACTCTGTCACCCAGGCTGGAGTGCAGTGGTGCAATCTCGGCTCACTACAACCTCCGCCTCCCGGGTTCAAGCGATTCTCCTGCCTCAGCCTCCTGAGTAGCTGGGGTTACAGGCACGTGCCACCACGCCCGGCTAATTTTTGTATTTTTAGTAGAGACGGGGTTTCATCATGTTGGTCAGGCTGGTCTGGAACTCCTGACCTCGTGATCTGCCTGCCTCAGCCTCCCAAAGTGTTGGGATTACAGGCATGAACCACCATGCCCAGCCCCTAACCAGCACTTTTAAAAGATGAAATAGAAAAGAATAGAAAATCTCAGATAAGATCACATATGGTAAATGTAAGTATTGTTTTGTGAAACTTTAGTTCCATACACACACCTACACATTGTATATATGCACGAGCACACACATGTTTGCAGTGGTGATCATCAAACCAGCATAACACAGACACCAACTAATTGGAGCTACTAGTTGTCTGAATACCTGTGTGAAATGTACCTTTACCATGGGTTGTAGTCAAAAAAAGTGATTGAGATCCATTGCTCTATAGAATGTAGCTTAGGCTTCTTGGGGGTGGTGGGGGGAACAAGTTTCCAAGGACCCTTCCTACAGTGTTACCCTTGGCTAAAGGATACTGTCCATGACTCCTTCCTGCCCCAGGGAGCTTTTCCTCAATCCAGGTATGTTTTTTTTTTTTTCTTTTTGAGACGGAGTCTCGCTCTGTCGCCCAGGCTGGAGTGCAGTGGCGCGATCTCGGCTCACTGCAAGCTCCGCCTCCCGGGTTCGCGCCATTCTCTCGCCTCAGCTTCCCGAGTAGCTGGGACTACAAGCGCCTGCCACCACGCCTGGCTAGTTTTTTGTATTTTTAGTAGAGAAGGGGTTTCACCGTGTCAGCCAGGATGGTCTCGATCCCCTGACCTCATCATCTGCCCACCTCGGCCTCCCAAAGTGCTGGGATTACAGGTGTGAGCCACCGCGCCCGGCCCAGGTATGGTCTTAAGCAGAGCAATCCTCCGTGTATGGCAACTTGGGATGTTGTGGGCACCTATAATTCTGCCCACTCAGCATCCATGTCCTATTCCTCAGGAAACAGCAACCCCCTATATCCCTGCCTTTGGGGAGCTGCCCTGTTCAGGTTCCATGAGGTTCTGGTCCCTAGTCCCCCTGGTCTTCTAGGAATTTCTAGATGGGTGCTGAAGGGAGGTGCATAGAGCTGTGCACAGCTCCCTGCTCCCCCCCACAGAGAGCAGGCTTCCTCCCTGAGAGGAAATGAGGCTGCCTGAAGGCTGAAGCTGAAGAGAGAGACACCTGTCAGTGGTTCCTCTTTGGAGCCTTGAGGCCAGCCTGGTGACTGACCCAATACTGTTTCTTTTGCTTTTTATTGTTAAAATTACATACTTTGGCTTGAATTCTTTCACTTGCAGCTACAGGAGTTGTGATTCCCTCATGGCTCCTTGAGGTAAGCAAGGGGCCCTCACTGCCAAGGCGACTAGGCACAAATGTGGCTCAGCCTCACCGAGTGGGAGAAGGAAGGGGCTCTAGAGCCAGCGAGTCTACACATGCACCCTACGCACAGGTGGTGTGGGCAGGGTGGCAGCACGGGGCATTCCCCTGCTATGTCCCCTCTGGAGACCTCTCTGTGCATGAACCTTTTGCCTGAACACAGAGGTTGTAGGGAGCCCTCCTTGGCCCGTCTGAGGAAGGCCCCTGTCATAGGCTAAGCTGCTTGGAAAAGCTCAGTCCCCTCCCATGGGTGAAGGCAATGGGGCAGCACACCTGGCCGCCAGACACCACTGCCCACTCTGTCCTTCAGGCCAAAGCCCTAGGGTCAAAGGGCCAGCCCAGTCCAGGAGGAGGCGGCAGGTCAGCTCCCTCTTCTCCCTCCGGGCCTGTCTTTCTCCCAAGCTGAGCTGATAGCCTCTCAGCAGGGCCAGCCTGTCCCGGGAAGAAGTAAAATGAGAAGTGTGTGTTCTGAGCCCTGCCCCTGGTTCAGAGTATGTTGTGTGGGTGGGGTGACTAGAAGCTGGGAAAGAGCTGATCTCCCTTGGGCATGCTGGGCCTCTCCTTCTAGAGACCCTCCTGTCCTCACAGACAGAGCAGGGCAACCCCACCCTCACCCTGCACCCCTGGCTCAATGGCTCAGGTCCCCCTGCTCTGACTCTAGCATTGCCACCACCAACCCAGCTTTCCACTGAGGAGCCACCTCAACAGGGGCTATTCCCACAGACCCTCAAGTTCCTTTGCACGCTGACCGCCCCATCTCCAATCTGTATCCCCAACAAGCAGACACCATCTCCTTGCTGTTCTACCCACAGCTACTCACTGTCACTTCCAAACCTTTGCCCACCCTGTACCCCTGGTTGGAAACCCTTAGTCTCTCTGCTTGCCAAATCCCAGTCCCCCTTCAAGGCTTAGCAAAACAGCGCGGCCCTCTCCTGCCAGGGTCCGGGACATACAACCTTGAGGCCTCCACCTCCTCACCTCCAAACACTTCCCACTCTGGTCCTCTTCTCTAGGAAGGCTTTGCTGATCTATCTTTGCATATCAAACTCTTAGGGCACCCACTCGTTCCTCACTCTCCCCAGATTACTTTTAGAGTTCCTTCAGGAAGGACTTGAGTAATGCGCAATTTTCATGAGGTCAGTTTTCCCCAGAATTTTATTTTGGATTTCAAAGACTGATAAGACTTCCAAAAAATTCTGAGGACTAACAGAATTTGTGCACATATATTTAATATATTGGCCAAAAGCCAGTTTCGGTGGCTCAAGCCTGTAATCCCAGCACTTTGGGAGGCCGGTGGATCACCTAAGATCAGGGGTTCAAGACCAGCCTGGCCAACATGGTGAAACCCTGTCTCTACTAAAAAAAATACAAAAAAATTAGCCAGGCGTGGTGGCGGGCGCCTGTAATCCCAGCTACTTGGGAAGCTGAGGCAGGAGAATTGCTTGAACCTGGGAGGCAGAGGTTGCAGTGAGCCAAGATGGCACCTCTGCACTCCAGCCTGGGTGACAGCGCAAGACTTGGTCTCAAAAAAAAAAAAAAAGTATATATATATATATATATATATATATGCGCCAAAAAAGAACATGAACAATGAAACAAAACTACTACTGTATCGTGGCTATTATTGCTTTTTTAAAATATATTTTTAAATATTTTATTTTATTTTTTACCTCCAAATACCATCACCATTTTATTTAATTATTATTACTTTTTTGAGACAGTCTATCTCTGTCACCCAGATTGGAGTGCAGTGGCATGGCTCACTGCAGCCTCAACCTCCCAGGCTCGAGATCCTCTCACCTCAGCCTCCCATGTATTTGGGACCATAGGCAGATGCCACCATGCCCAGCTAATTCTTTTATTTTTTGTAGAGACAGAGGTCTCACTTTGTTGCCAGGTTGGTCTTGAACCCCTGATCGCCATTATTTCATAAAAGCACATTTTAACACCAAAGAAGTAGAAAAGACATAATTTCAGAATAAATAATTACTTTTTAAATTAAATACATTTCCCTGCCTGGGCAATATGTTGAGACGCTACCTCTACTAAAAATGCAAGAATTAGCTGGGCGTGGTGGCGCGCGCCTGTATTCTCAGCTACTTGGAGGGGGGCTGAGGCAGGAGACTTGCTTGAACCCAGGAGGCGAAGGCTGCAGTGAGCCCAGATCGCGCTACTGCACTACAGCCTGGGTGACACCTCAAAAACAAATTTTTTTTTAATAATAATAAATTGAATATATTTACCTTTAACAAAAACACTACTACATTATCCTTATTGTTTTCATTTTGCTGCAGACCAGTGAGAACATTGTCATGGAAACCACCACTTGCACCACCAGAAAGATGCAGAAGAAAAGAAGTGAGACGTTAGAGACTGTCAGAGGAGGGGAAGGTGAAGAGGCAGGAAATAGGGGGTAAGAAGTCCACCAGCAAGGTGCTCCCCTGTCCTGAACTGACCCCCTTCTGCTCACTGAAGTCTGAGGTGGCCAGTTTTGGGCCCTGGGCAGAGCTGTGGCCATGCTCACAGGTCAGGCAGCTCAGGGATTCCCGGCGCTGGAGACCCTGGTGATCTTGTTCCTACTCCCCCGCAATGCAGAGGTACCCTGGACATGTGCCTGTGACCGGTGCTGGCAGGCCATGGTACAGGACTTGGAGTCAGGAGCAGAGCTAGGCCTGGCTCTGCTACTCACCAGCTGAGTTACTGGGAGAAGTCCCTGCCTTCTCTGGGCCTCGGTTTCCTCAACTGAAAATAAAGGTTCTGAACTAGTTGTTTTTGAGGAAACCGGAAGATCTCTGGCTTAAGAAAAAAAAAAGCCATGCCCATAATATT
Organism: Homo sapiens; assembly: GCF_000001405.40. Lineage (NCBI taxonomy): Eukaryota > Metazoa > Chordata > Mammalia > Primates > Hominidae > Homo > Homo sapiens. The sequence continues at coordinate 35,774,011 of NC_000006.12, forward strand.
TTGTACAGAATTCCAGGGGCTTCACCACCCCTCAGGGCCTTCAGTGGGTTCCCCAGGGGCTGCTAACCCTGACACGCAGTTGCTGGCCCCTTGCCTTCAAATTTGCCACTTTCCTAAGCAGTCAACAATACTTCTCAAGTATCTAACGGTCATGGGGGTATGGGCAAAGGAAGCCGGTGAAGCAGTACAAGGAAGTATCCATCCCCAGGCCTCCTCTCCAGTTCACAAATGGTCTGCGTGGATGGGTCGCTAGTCAGCCAAGGTAGCAGAACACACATATGAAGAGAGCTCAGACCGCGACTGCTGGAGCCCCCTTACTAGGTAATGATGGGAACCCCCTTACTAGGGCCAAAGCCCTCTGGCCGCCCGCAGCAGTGTAGATCAGTGGTAAGAACTTGGACCCAGGAGCTAGAATGCCCTGGATTTATATCTGACTCTGCCATTTAATCCTGTTCCTTGGGCAAGTAACTTTATCTTGAGCCTTCAGGTTCCTAGTCTGTAAAACAGGGCTAAGAGTTACGCAGCAGAAATGATAGTAGATGCTAAATATTCCAAGACTCCTTTGAATTTCCCAGCCTCCCTTGCAGAAGGTTAGAGGGTTGGGATCATGTGACTAGTTCCAGCAGGTGGTTTGTGAGTGGAGAAGGCAGGTCTTCCATGGAGACCTTGGATGCTAGTTTTTTTTTTTTTTTTTGAGACAGGGTCTCACTCTGTTGCCCATGCTGGAGTGCAGTGGCACGATCATAACTCACTGCAGCTTCAGCCTCCCGAGTAGCCAGGACTACATGCATGTGCCACCATGTCTGGCTAATTTCTTAAATTTTTTTTGTAGCAATGAGGTCTCACTATATTGCCCAGGGCTGGCCTTGAACTCCTGAGCTCACGAGATCCTCTCAGCCGGGCATGGTGACTCCCACTGGTAATCCCAGCACTTTGCGGAGGTTGCAGTGAGCCGAGATTGTGCCATTGCACTTCAGCCTGGGCAATAGCGTGAGACTCTGTCTCAAAAAAAAAAAAAAAAAAAAAAAAAAAAAAAACCAAAAAAACCCCCAAAACAACTGATCCTCTCTCCTTGGCCTCCCGAAGTGCTGTGAATACATGCATGAGCCACCATGCCCAGCCAGAGGCCAGTCTTATAGATGGCTACAGGATGGAAGAAGGGTATCTTGCCCCAAATCAGACTGTACATAAAGCATTATTGTGCCAAGCCACGAAATTCCAGGAGTTCTGTTGTTACAGCCAGTGTTAATTACTCTGTGACAGCTAGTGTTAATACAGGGAGGGCTCACGGAAATAATGGATACAAGGCCCTCTGAGTGCGGTGGGGGCTGTTATTCTTGGCTGTTATTCCCCACCAAGACAGGATTCCTCGGTTCATTTCTTAAGCGAAACTTCAAAAGCAGAAGCAGGCTGGGAGTGGTGGCTCACGTCTGTAATCCCACCACTTTGGGAGGCCGAGGCAGGAGAATCTCTTGAGCCCATGAGTTCAAGACCAGCCTGGACAACATAAGGACAACCTGTCTCTATAACAAATATTAACAATACAAAATTAAAAAAAAATAGAAATTAAAAAAAAGCAGAAGCAGGCAGGTGGGGTGAGGTGGAAGCTTCATCCATAGGGAAGTCCTGAGGAAGGCCTGCCTCCCCCGGTTCCAGGATTGCTCTGTGCAGCTCTAGCTCTCCCTTAACCCTCCTCCCTATTCTGAGTTTTCTTCTCTTCCCACTTCTCCATTTTGCCCCCACATCTTGACTTTCACACAATTCACAGACAAATCCTTAGACAATTAATAGAATGATTAAGACTGCAAGAGATTTAAGACTTAGAGACCATCTTGTCCCACCTCCTGGTTCTTACAGAAGAGGAGAATGGGGCCTGCAGCGGGTGTGAGCAGCCCAGAGGGTGGGGCTGGATTATCCCGAAGGTAAGGGGAGAATCTGGGGCTGCAAGGGCAGACAGAGAATCAACATCAGGAAGGAAGCTCTTTTTATTTCAGCATATATGTTTTGTGCCGTTTATAAAAATAAAGTTTTGAGGCCAGGTGCGGTGGCTCACACCTGTAATCCCAGCACTTTGGGAGGCTGAAGCAGGACCATCACTTGAGGCCAGGAGTTAGAGACCAGCCTGGGCGACATGGGGAGACCCCCGTCTCTACAGAAATTTTTAAAATTATCCCGGCGTGGTGGCGCACACCTGTAGTCCCAGCTACTCGGGAGGCTGAGGCAGGAGGATCACTTGAACCTGGGAGGCGGAGATGGCAGTGAGCCGAGATCACGCCACTGCACTGGGCGACAGTGCGAGACTCCGTCTGTAAAATAAATAAATACAATAAAATAGAGTTTTATCTTACAATAAAAATAGAGTTTTATCTTACAGTTTCAAGCTTCTACTTGGAAGTAACACGTATGGAGGCTCCCAGGGCCCCTACAGTCTGGAATCCCGCCCGTGCGAGCCTGAGCGCCTTTCCTCCCTCCTTCCCTTCCGCAGGCGTCCTCGCCCTCCACGTCCCTCCTCCGCCGGGGTGGCCTGGGGCGCCGGGTCACGTGGCCGGGGAAGAGGTTTTATCCCGCGGCCCCTCGGAACCCCGCCGCTGCTCTGCCGCCCAGGCCCATGGCCGCAGCCCTGGCGCTCGTGGCGGGGGTCCTGTCGGGGGCGGTGCTGCCCCTCTGGAGCGCGCTTCCGCAATATAAAAAGGTGAGCCGGGGAGCGCGCCCAGCCGGCCGCGACCGCAGGAGAGGGTGGCCCCGCCGCCGGGGCACTGGAGCCCGAAGGCGCCGGGCAGCCTGAAAGGGAGAGGTGGGTCCGGAACCACACCCAGGCGGGTAGCCTGGGGCATCCTCAGACGGACTTCAAAAGCCGCTTCACTTTCCCCTGGTGGCCTCAGAGGGGAGAGAAATTGGCCTATGACCAGCACCCTCGCTCCCTCCACCTCCCCCGCCCGTGCCCCTTCCGATGGCCTCAGTCCTGGGCTCGCTTCCCTCCCCAAACTGCTCACAGGCAAACCCACCCTGCATGCTCTGGTTTCTCCTCCTCTTCTTCCACCTCCTCTCACTGTCTAGTGATTCTTCCAGGCACGAGGGCTCTCCCCTTTTCTCCTCTTTCTCTCCCTCTTTTTCGAGCCCGCAGCCCCTTCATTCTCATCCCCCAACCCTGCCCCGCAAAATGGGACTTAAGAGTACACACCCCATGGGACTCATGGAGGTGAGGGGGGTCCAGGAAAGGAGAGGCCGAGGGAAAAGTGCTAATCCCCCTCTCCTCCTCTCTGCTGCCCTGGGTCCTGCTGAGGGGCCGGGGTGGGGCTGGGGGGGGAACCAGCCCCCCAAGGGGTGACAACCTCATGACTTCTCCTGGATCCCTGGGCTCTTTGGCAATGGTGGGAACCCTCCCCTACCCGCCCACACGACTCAGGGATTGCTCCCAGCCTGGCAGACATTCTGCCTGTCCCCACAGAAAATCACAGACAGGTGCTTCCACCACTCTGAGTGCTACAGTGGCTGCTGCCTCATGGACTTGGACTCCGGTGGAGCCTTCTGTGCCCCCAGGGCCAGAATAACCATGATCTGCTTGCCCCAGGTGAGGCCCTAGTATGGGGCAACTTCTGGCAAGTAGAGAAGCGGGCAGGGAGGTTAAAAAAAAAACACCTGGCCCCACCTGTTTTTTCACCTCTGTCTGGAGTGCCCTTCTTCTTCTCCACTTGGCAAACTCCTACTCATGGTGCAAAACAACTCCAGCCACCTCCTCTGAGAAGGCTTCCCTCCTTGGAGCTCCTGTACCCTGGGGTCAGACCCTCAGCAGACCATGTATCTCCCTAACTGGCCATGTCTTTTCTCTGCCTCTCCCAGTGGTTGGAACTCTTCAAGGGCAGGGATCGCATCATATTCATCTATGAAGCACCTACCCCCAGCTTAGTATCTGCACATAGTAGGTGCTCAATAAATGCTTATTGTTGTTTGTTTGTTTGTTTCGAGATGGAGTCTCGCTCTGTCACCCAGGCTAGAGTGCAATGGCATGATCTCGGCTCACTGCAACCTCTGCCTCCTGGGTTCAAGCGATTCTTGGGCCTCAGCCTCCCGAGTAGCTGGGATTACAGGGGTGCACCGCTATGCCTGGCTAATTTTCGTATCTTTGGTAGAGATGGGGTTTTGCCATGTTGGCCAAGCCGGTCTTGAACTCCTGACCTCAGGTGATCCACCTGGCTCGGCCTCCCAAGGTGCTGGGATTATAGGCATGAGCCACCGTGCCCGGCCAATAAATGCTTGTTGAATGAATGAATATCTCTTCTCTCACACCACTGAGGCAGGGTAAGTAGGAAATGACCTTCCCCTTACTAGTCCCCATCTCCCTGCCACAGTGACATGATTTCTTGAGAGGAGCATGGCACTGCAGTGGCAGGACCACAGCTTTGCAGTTGGACCTGAGTTTAAATCCTGACTTTTCCACACCCTATCTTTGTGACTTCAAGCAGGTCATCATGGCTCTCTGAGCCTTAGTTTCCTCATCTACAAGGAGAGGCTAAAGTACCTACCCCACCAGGCTGTTGGGAAGATTATGTGGTCCTGGCAAGGAGAGTGTGCAGTCCAGCATGGTTGTCACTCGCTTTTAGGAATGCAGGGAGCAGAATGCTCAGTACGCCCTGTTCCTGCCCACCTGGCCCTGGGCCCAAACCTTTCTAGGATGGATGGACCCAGCCTCTATGTCCCTGTGTGGGGAGTTGCCAATGCCCTAAGGAAGCAGCAGGGCCCCTACCATGGCCTGACCCTATAGCTGAAGTGGCTAGAGGGTTTTTATTTTTTTTATTTTTTGAGACAGAGTTTTGCTCTTGTTGCCCAGGCTGGAGTGCAATGGCGTGATCTTGGCCCACTGCAACCTCCACCTCCTGGGTTCAAGCAATTCCTCTGCCTCAGCCTCTGGAGTAGCTGGGATTACAGGCATGTGCTAATTTTTATATTATTAGTCCATGACCATGTTGGCCAGGCTAGTCTCAAACTCCTGACCTCAGGTGATCCACCCGCCTCGGCCTTCCAAAGCGCTGGGATTACAGGGGTGAGCCACCGCGCATGGCCTAAAGGGTCTTTTTATTATCACCACTTGATCTGCTCTATCTCATTTAGTCCTCACAACAACCCTATGAGGGGGGTTACTATTACTGTCCCCATTTGACAGATGAGGAAACCGAGCTGGAGAGGTTCATTGACTTGCTGAAGGTCACGCAGTTATAAGCTGTAGAGACAGCCCAGGTCTGTCTTACTCCAGGCCTGGTACTCTTGGTTCTGGTCCCCAAGAAGTTTAAGTCCCCATCCTTCCTGCATCCTGGTGACTCCCGATTCTCATACCCACTCCCTGCAGACCAAGGGAGCTACCAACATCATCTGCCCTTGCCGGATGGGCTTGACGTGCATATCCAAGGACTTGATGTGTTCCCGCCGGTGCCATATGATTTAGAGGAAGATGCAGGCTGGTCACTGCTCCCTTGGGGCCATAGGCCCTGGTTGCCACCAACTTGCTCCAAATCCAGCTCCTGAGACATTAAAGTCACTTCCTGTCCTTGGCCTCTGTCTGTACTTTCTGGGCGAGGGGACCTGGTGGAGATTGTACCAGTCCAGGGGGCAGGCAAAAGGGGAGACTGGAGGCATGAATGAGCTTCTAATGGGATTTGGCCCTGTCCGGAGGTCAGGGTAGAACTGCAGGAAGGGAATGGCACAGGGAGGGTGTGGTGGAGCAGGGGCTGGGTCTGGGAAAGGGCTGATTCTCTGGTTGGAGGGCTGTGTGGGAGAGACGGGATTGAGGAATGTACCTGGAGAGTGTATGTTGGGGTGCCTATGGAGGGGTGTGTGGTAGGGAGAGACTAGGTGGAGGTATCTGAATGTTTTGCGGGGCGGGTTGTGGGGCACAAAAGGGTAGAGATCATTAGAGAGTTGGTGAGAATGTGCAAAGTATAAATGCAGAAATGCCTGTGGTGGGAAAGGGACCTGGTGCATGGATGCCTCCGCTCTCTCAGGTATTGTCGGTTCACTGCATGGACAAAGAAACTGAGGCCCAGAGAAGCGACATGACTTGCCCTAGGTCATATCATTGGGGTAGCAGTGAGGCCTCTTTCTGCTGCAAGTATCTTAAAAACCAACTCAAATTGGTCTAGGTGAGGAGGGGATTTACTGGTGATGGGAAATGAAAGTCCAGAGGTCAGGCAACCCTTAGGTAGGGCCAGAGCCAGCAGCTCTCAGGCTGAATTCCTTCCCAGTAGTCACAAACATTCCAGGTGTCACCTAATAACAGGTAGGATTTATTGAGCACTTCCTATGTGCCAGACACTGTGCAAAGTGCTTTCTTTTTCATTTAATTAAAAAATTTAAGACAGCACCCAGGCTGGAGTGCAGTGGCTCGATCGCAGCGTACTGCAGCCTCAACCCCCTGGGCTCAAAAGATCCTCCCACGTCAGCCTCCCAAGTAACTGGGACTACAGGTGTGTGACACCATGCCCGGCCAATTTTTTTTCTTTTTCTTTTTCTTTTTTTTTTTTTAATAGAGACAGGGCCTCACTGTATTGCCCTGGCTGGTCTCAAACTCCTGGGCTCAAGTGATCCTCCTGCCTCAGCCTCCCAAAGTGCTGGGATTACAAGCATGAGCCACTGCGCCTGGCCCAAAGTGCTTTCTTAACTGTATTGACTCATCTTTTTGTCACAACAGGGCTATAGTAGGTGTTATAATTATCCCTATTTTACAAACAGGGTATCGAGGCTCCTAAAGTAAGGGTTGGAACTGAGACTTGAACCCAGACAATCCTGCCCCAGAGGCCAGGCTCTTAACCACAAATCCACCATGTACATCAATACTGTGCCTTTCAGAGAAAGAAAACATCTCTGTTCCACAATTTTCAGCAAACATCCTAAGATCGGTTCTGATTGGATTGGCTTAGTCTGCCTGAACTAATTATTGTGGTGGAATTTGCTGATTGGCCTAGCCTGAGTATTGTGCAGGATGGGAAAATTCTGACGGGGTTGGGTGCTGGTTTTACATGGTGTTCCCACAGCTGGGAGGACACCCACATGGTCGGCGTGCAGGATATTTCGCTGGACCCTAGAAAAGCCACCACGACCTGTGGGCCATGATGCTACCCCAATGGCTGCTGCTGCTGTTCCTTCTCTTCTTCTTTCTCTTCCTCCTCACCAGGGGCTCACTTTCTCCAACAAAATACAACCTTTTGGTAAGAAAGCTGGAGAGTGCAGTCACCTCCCCCTCCACTGTCCTAAGGCCTGTACTATTTGGGGAGGTGAGCGGGCATGGGGGCTAGTGTGGGAGAAGGCCAGAAGTGGGGGCAGCAGGGAGTGTTGGGTGGAAGATGTCTCGGAGGAAAGAGAGAACAACCTGGTCCTGGAAGCTGTGCCAGGGCAGTGCCAGGTGCTGCTGCCACAGAGGTGAATGTGAGAGAGCCCCCCTGCCCATGCGCACATGTGGTAAGGGAGACAGATATTCACTCATGCAACACATTTTTATTGAGCACCTACTATATGTAAATTATTTTTCTACATTTAGTGATAGGGCTGTGAGCAAGAAAGATAAAAATCCTTGCCCTTGTAGAGCTGTCACTCTAGTGTGTGAGGCAAAGAAGTAAAACATTACAATAGATGCTATTAATAATAGCATCTATCTCAGGTGATAAGCAAGGAAAGGGAAAATAAGAATCGAGCTGTGGGAGTGGTGGTGTGAGAAGGGTTTGCAGGTGTTTTTTTTTTTTTTCTTTTTCTTTTTCTTTTTTTTGGGACAGAGTCTTGCTTTGTCACCCAGGCTGGAGTGCAGTGGGGCAATCTCGGCTCACTGCAAACTTAGCCTCCTGAGTTCAAGCGATTCCCCTGCCTCAGCCTCCCGAGTAGCTGAGATTACAGGCACCCACTGCCACGCCCAGCTAATTTTTTTTTCTGTATTTTTAGTAGAGACAGGGTTTCACCGTATTGGTCAGGCTGGTCTTGAACTCCTGACCTCAAGCAATCCACCCGCCTTGGCCTCCCAAAGTGCTAGGATTACAGGCGTAAGCCACCGCACCTGGCCAGGGTTTGCAGTTTTAAATGGGGTGCTCAGGGAAGAGTTTACTAAGAATGTGAAATTTTAGCAAAGACCTAAAGGGAGGGAAGTCCTTCCTAACCGGCAAAGCAGGGGGGTCTCTGGGAGAAGAGCATTCAAGGTGGAGGGAACAGCCAGGGCAAAGGTCTGGGGGCGGAAATGTGCTGGCATATTCAAGGAATAGCAAAGAGGAGTAAGAGAGAGTGGAAATCATGGGAGATGAGCTCAGAGAGATAAATGGAACACAGTTACAATATTCTCATTTATTCAACAGTTATGCATTCAGCACCTGCAATGTGTAAGGACTTTAGTCCAAGGGGGCTAAGAAATATAGCAGTGAACGTGAGAGCAGAAGATCCATGTCCCAGAGCTGAGGTTGCTAGCGGGGGAAATAAATTATTTTTAAACATATAAATAAGATGATTTCAGAGAGTCATAAGTGTTGTGAACAAAGTACAACCAGGTGATGGGGACTGCTCTGCTGGTGTCCAGGAAGTCTTCAGCCTGAGGCAGGAGGGGGAGGCAGCCGGGCAAAGAGTGCAGGACAGGGTGCTCTGGGCAGAGGGCCAGCAAGCGCAAATGCCCTGGGGCCAGGCCAGGTGTGGATTCAGAGCCCCAGTGATGGCTTTGAATCCAGAGAATGGCATTGTGGGAATTATCTTTTAAAAAAGACTCCTCTAGCTATTCTGGGAAGAACTGACTTGAGGAGGTTGGGGAGGTGGAAGTGAGAGTGGGGATGGTGAGGGGGTACCTGGGGGAGGTCACTGGCAAGGATGGAAGCAGGGAGGCCGGGAGGCGGCTATAGCCAATCCTCCTTTCCTGCCTTATTTTCTTTATAGCACATAATCGTACATAATAGGATTATACATATATAATATAAATATTACTTATTGTTATGTATATAACATATGTGGTAAAAATCACACCTTACTAGGTGCTCAGATCTTGAGTTTACATGGAAATCAATGGATTCGAACCTATGCAGACCCCCTCATCACTACCGTCAGAACAAGATATAGGACATTTTCATTACCCCAAAAGCCTCACTCTTACTCTCCTAGTCAATAGCACCAAAGGCAACTGTCTCCTGACTTCCATTATTATAGATTAGTTTTGAACTTTGTATGATGAAATCACACAGTATGTACTTTTAAAAAAAAATTTGGGCCAGGCGCAGTGGCTCACGCCTGTAATCCTAACACTTTGGAAGGCCGAGGCAAGTGGATCACCTGACGTCAAGAGTTCGAGAACAGCCTGACCAACATGGTGAAAGCCCATCTCTACTAAAAATACAAAATTAGCTGGGTGTGGTGGCACATGCCTATAATCCCAGCTACTTGGGAGGCTGAGGCAGGAGAATTGCTTGAACCCGGGAGGCAGAGGTTGAACTAAGCCAAGAAAGTGCCATTGCACTCCAGCCTGGGCAGTAGAGTGAGACTTTGTCTCAAAAAAAAAAAGGGGGGCTGGGCGCGGTGGCTCATGCCTGTAATCCCAGCATTTTGGGAGGCCGAGGCAGGCAGATCACGAGGTCAGGAGATCAAGACCATCCTGGCTAACACAGTGAAACCCTGTCTCTACTAAAAATACAAAAAAAATTAGCTGTGCGTGGTGGCGGGTGCCTGTAATCCCAGCTACTCAGGAGGCTGAGGCAGGAGAATGGCGTGAACCTGGGAGGCACAGCTTGCAGTGAGCCGAGATCGCACCACTGCATTCCAGCCTGGGCGACGGCGAGACTCTATCTCCAAAAAAAAAAAAAAAAAAAAATCTGACTTATTTTGCTCAACGTTTTTTCTGTGATACCGTATCATTTCACTTATGTATCTCTTCCCTGTCTTCCCTCTCTAGAGCTGTGTGTGTCCAATAGTGCAGTTACTAGTGTGAACCCAAAATATCTGAGACAGGTCTCAGTCAATTTAGAAAGTTTATTTTGCCAAGGTTAGGGACACACCTGTGATACAGCCTCAGGTGGCTGGGGTGCACCTTGCTTTTTTTTTGTTTTTTGTTTTTTGGGGTATAGCTTGCTTTTATACACATTGGGGAGACATAATATGTCAGTCAGTACCTGTAAGATTTACATTCGTTTGATCTGGAAGGGTGGGACAACTTGAAGTGGGGGGCATGACTTCCATTCCAGGTCATAGGTAGATTTAAACAAATTCTGATTGGCAGTTGGTTGAACAGCTATTATCAGCAGAAGGGAATGTCTGGGTTAAGATAAGGGGTTGAGGAGAGCAAGGTTTTATCATGCAGATGAAGCCTCCAGTAATAGGCTTCATAGAAAATAGATTGTACATGTTTCTGATCAGACTTAAGGTCTTTGTTAATGTTAATGCTGGAGGGGTATTAATGAGGCATGTCCAACCCCCACTTCCCGTCATGGCCTGAACCAGTCTTTCAGGTTAAATTTTAGAGTGCCCTGGCCAAGGAAGGAGTCGACTGAGATGGCTGTGGATTGGTGGTGGTGGGAGGCTTCAAATTTTATTTTTGGTTTACACTAGCCACATATAGTTACTTAGATTTACATTGATTAAAATTCAACAAAATTTAAAATTCAAGCCAGGTGTGGTGGTTCATGGCTGTAATCCCAACATTTTGGGAGGCCAAGGTGGGAGGATTGTCTGAGCCCAGAGGTTCGAGACCAACCTGGGCAACAAAGCAAGACTCCTGTCTCTTACTGGTGGAAGGTATCTGAGTTATTGGCAATGAATCTGTATGCATTTACAGCAACCTCAATTCTTGCCTCCTCAGAAGAAAGAATTCAACTGAGGGGCATAAAGCAGAAAAAGAGACTGAGGCAGGTTTCAGAGCAGGAGTGGAAGTTTATTAAAAAGCTTTAGAGCAGGAAAGAATGGAAAGTACACTTGGAAGAGTCCCAAGTGGGCAACTTGAAGGGCAAGTGCAGTGTTTAACCTTGGTCCTACCCCTTAACAGTCTTGCCTACCTCCAGTGTCGTGTGCCTCTCTCCCCTGATTCTTCCCTTAGGGTGAGCTGACCACATGCGCAGTGTCCTCCTTACCCTTGGGAAGTGAGCACATGCAGGGTGTTTAGGAAGTTGTACGCATGCCCATCTGAGGCTTTGTTCCCTTTTCCTGTGGAGTGTGCCCCTGGAAATTTTTTTTTTTTTTTTTTTTTGAGACAGAGTCTCGCTTTGTCACCCAGGCTGGAGTGCAGTGGTGCAATCTCAGCTAACTGCAAGCTCCACCTCCCGGGTTCACGCCATTCTCCTGCCTCAGCCTCCCAAGTAGCTGGGACTACAGGCACCCGCCACCACGCCCAGCTAATTTTTTGTATTTTTAGTAGAGACGGGGTTTCACCGTGTTAGCCAGGATGGTCTCGATCTCCTGACCTCGTGATCTGCCCGCCTCGGCCTCCCAAAGTGCTGGGATTACAGGCGTGAGCCACCATGCCTGGCCCTGTCCCCGGAAATTCATACTCCTCCATTTTTTCTCTTAATGTGCATTCCCCGGGCTCACTCACCCAACACCTGAGATTTTATTGGAAGCCCTTTTTGCTTCTCTCTGGCCCCTGCTTTCAATGGACACTTTAATGTTAACAGCTGTGGACCATTAGAAGCCTGTCTCTCCCTGGAGCCTAACTGCCAAATTATCATTTTTAGAGAGGCAATGTGATAACTGTTGAACCATCACCTGACATTCCTGGTGGGTGGGGGAGAGCCCTCTCCTACCCCACTCATGCCTGTCTAACTACCTGTAACATCTCTACAAAAAATAAAAAAATTAGCTGGGCATGGTGGTGTGTGCCTGTGGTCCCAGCTACACGGGAGGCTGAGCCAGGAGGATTGCTTGAACCTAGAGGTTGAGGCTACAGTGAGCTATAATTGCACCACTGCACTCCAGCCTGGGTGACAGAGTGAGACTTTGTCAAAAAAAAAAAAAAAAAAAGGAAAGGAAAGAAAGAGGGTTGGGCGCGGTGGCTCATGCCTGTAATCCTAGCACTTTGGGAGGCCGAGGCGGGTGGATCACCTGAGGTCAGAAGTTCGAGACCAGCCTGGCCAGCATGGCGAAACCCCGTCTCTACTAAAAATACAAAAATTAGCCAGGCATGGTGGCGCACGGCTGTAATCGCAGCTACTCGGGAGAATTGCTTGAACCCAGGAGGTGGATGTTGCAGTGAGCCGAAATCACGCCACTGCATACCAGCCTGCGCGATGGAAGCAAGACTCCATCTCAAAAAAAAGAAGAAAAGAAAATTTAAATTCAGCTCCTCAGTTGCACTACCACATTTCAAGTGCTCAGTAGTGGCTAGTGGCTATTGGACTGGGCAGAAAAAGCACATTTTCGTCACTGCAGAAGCTCTGTTGGACAGTGCTGCTCTGGAATGTCAGCTGCAGGTGGACAGGGATTTCTGTTTTTGTTGTTCCCAGCTGTATTCCCAGTGCCTGGAACAGTGCCTGGCACACAGTAGGTGCTCAGTATTTGCCTGTTGAATGACTATTGAAATTGTCAGAGATGATGGGTGGCTGTGATCAATAATGTTAATTACTGTCCTAAGCCCCAGTGCTGGGTGGAGGTCATTGATGTGTGTAGGGGGAGGGGCGGTGGGAATGCATGTAGGTGACCATCAGGCACAGGTGAAAGGGTGAGTATGAGTTTTGGGGCGAGAAGGCTCTGCAGCAGAATGAAGTGCAAGAGAGAGACAGGAAAGTCTAGACCACTCTGGTGTGTATGAGAAGCAGCCTATGTTGAGGACACCAAGAGTAAACCTTTTAAAAACTGTTCAGTCCCCTCCAGGCATCCACCGTCTGCACAGACTTACCCCGGCCCCCACGTAGAGACCACCCTGCCTGGCAGGAGCCAGAGGTGATGGTGGGAGCAGAGTCTGGGGAGGAGCCCCGTAGGGAGAAAGCCCCAGGCGGGGCGGCGAGGGCGGAAGGCGGGCGGTGGAGCCTGGCGGTGCCGTGTCCCTCCCTGCAGGAGCTCAAGGAGTCTTGCATCCGGAACCAGGACTGCGAGACTGGCTGCTGCCAACGTGCTCCAGACAATTGCGAGTCGCACTGCGCGGAGAAGGGGTCCGAGGGCAGTCTGTGTCAAACGCAGGTGGGTATCGCCGCCCGGGGGGAGCCAGAGGGGATCCAGGGGAAGTGGGAGCCAGGGCGGGCCCAGATTCCTGGGGAGGAAAGAAGGGTAGGTGGGCGGAAATGCCCTGGAGCCTGGAATTCCCCCGTGGGACTGCACCTCCAAGCCTTCTGGGGGAGCCTGTGGACGGAACCAATATGGTAGCCCACCCTAGGGTTTTGGAATCCTGGATTGGGGCGGGAAGGCGATGTTTCACTTTCTAATGTGGGTTCACATTCTCCAGGAGTCTTCTCAGCAAATTCCGAAAGTAGTACAGTAAATGGGCACAGCTAGGTCCAGCCTCTGCCCCAGAGCCCCGTCTTCATCCAGCTCAGGAGTTCTGCTGTGGCCCCGGGTGTTCCTGGTGGAGGATGGGCAGAGGCAGCCTCTGAGCTGGGTGTGTAGGGGAGGGAGTTGATTTGCCCATGGAAGGATTTAAAGACAAGACATAGAGGTCCTGCGATGGTGTGTCCATGGACTTAGGACAGGCAGATGGGTCAGTGACAGGCAGGGTTACAAGGTCTGGAGCTGGGAGGACACTGAACAATCCAGGAGCCAGCCTGGAGAAGGCAGCCAGAGGTGCCACTCTGAGCAGCTGGCAAGCTATCATTTATCCCTGGATCCTGGCTGTGGGCAAGCACATGGGCCCTGGAGCTGGGCTGGGCTGGGCTTAGGGGCTCAGGGAAGAGCTGCCGCCAAGGTCGAGGTCAAAGTCCTGTCTTTCCCAGGTGTTCTTTGGCCAATATAGAGCGTGTCCCTGCCTGCGGAACCTGACTTGTATATATTCAAAGAATGAGAAATGGCTTAGCATCGCCTATGGCCGTTGTCAGAAAATTGGAAGGCAGAAGTTGGCTAAGAAAATGTTCTTCTAGTGCTCCCTCCTTCTTGCTGCCTCCTCCTCCTCCACCTGCTCTCCTCCCTACCCAGAGCTCTGTGTTCACCCTGTTCCCCAGAGCCTCCACCATGAGTGGAGGGAAGTGGGGAGTGATTGAAATAAAGAGCTTTTTCAATGTTTGCTGCCCACAGAGTTGGGGCCTGGGTGGGCTGGGCTGGGGTGGGCATGGTACAGGTTTCTGGGGGGTGGGGAGGTGATATGAGGGAGGAAGCAGGAAGGGACACTGTTGGACTTGGGGTCTTTCCCCAGTTGGGGCATGAATGAAAGTCCCCCAGAAGAGACCAAAGCTCCCTTCCCACCCCAACCCCTTTCTGCCTTCAGCCCACTCTGTAATCTACCCCCCGGAAGCCCAGTTTACACCTGATATTCCAGTTCCACGACCTTAAATTTCAGAAATGTGAAAGAAGGTACACAAAATATCCATGTGTATAAAGAATTGAGGATGTTTATTGAGCACTTACTAGATGTTAGGGGCCGCTCTAGCTGCCTTATGCACATGATCTCATTTAATCCTGCAACAAACCTGTGGGGTCTCTCCTGTTATCACCTCTGTTTTACAGGTAGGGAAACGGGTTGAGCAACTTGTTCAAGGTCACACAGTTGGAAAGTGCTGAATCTGAATCTTCTGGGAGGCAAGAGAAAAGAGGGACAAGAAAAGAAGGAAGGAAGGAAGGAAGGAGAGCCTAGGAAAGAGTGAGAAAGAAAGACTGGAGCAGCGACTGTGGTGTGGGGTTGGAGAGAGAATGAGTCAAGTGGAGTTTTAGGAAGTCTCAGTGTGTGGTGAGGCTTTTGGAGTTAGATGCTAGCTCGCTTGTCTGTGAGTAGTGCCTGTTATATTCAGGTTACATTTTGGAGTTAATTATTTCAGATTTTGGACCTAAATTTCCACATTCAGCCACCAGAACTGAGCCAAACATGCCCTCCAGGATGTTGGGCTTAGGATGCAAGGGCTGGGGAGTTTGGAGGTAAACTATGGTTGTACTTAGAACGCCCCCTTGTAAGTCATAGCAAAACGATGTGAACCATACCTTGGTAGAATATGCTGTCCTGTACTAAATGTATCAGACAGATAACCAGACTTCCATTGTGTTATGTGAGCTCTCCCCATTCAGAGAAAACCTATGAAATGACCGTGGAAGGAGAGGTGGCAGGCTGGAAACCCAATGATACCCAATGTCTAAGAAGTTCCCAAGGATACCCAATGTCAAGAAGTTAGAAGGGGAAGGGGAGAATACAGAGCCCAGAAATAAACCCAAGCCTGTACAGCCAATTAAGTTTCAACAAGGGCACCAAGAAGACACCTTGGGGAAAGGATAGTCTTTTCAATAAATGGTGTTGGGAAAACTGAATATTCACATGCCAAAGAATGGAATTGGACCCTTATAGCACACACAAAAATAAACTCAAAATGGATTAAAGACCTAAATATAAGACCCAAAACTGTAAAACTCCTAGAAGAAAATATAGGGGAACTATTACACGACATTGGTCTTGACAATGATTTTTTGGATAAGACACCAACAGCACAGGCAACAATAGCAAAAATAAACAAATGGGACTACATGCTGAAAAGCTCTGGACCGAGCACGGTGGCTCATGCCTGTAATCCCAGCACTGTGGGAGGCCGAGTTGGGTGGATCATCTGAGGTCAGGAGTTCGAGACCAGCCTGGCCATCATGGTGAAACCCCATCTGTACTAAAAATACAAAAATTAGCTGGGTGTGGTGGTGCATGCCTGCAGTCCCAGCTACTCAGGGGGCTGAGGTGGGAGAATCACTTGAACCTGGGAGGTGGAGGTTGCAGTGAGCCGAGATCATACCACTGCACTCCAGCCTGGGCAAGAGAGCAAGACCCTGTCTCAAAAAAAAAAATTAATTTGAGGAAATTTTATGGTTTGGTTTTGTTTTGTTGGAGACAGGGTCTCACTCTGTCACCCAGGCTAGAGTGCAGTGGCTCCATCTCAGCTCACTGCAGCCTCATCCTTCTGGGCTCAAGTGATTTTCCCATCTCAGCCTCCTGAGTAACTGGGACCACAGGTGTGCGCTACCACACCTAACTAATTTTTAAGATTTTTGTAGAGATGGGGAGGGGGAGATCTCACCATGTTGCCCAGGCTGGTCTCAAACTCCTGGCCTCAAGCAATCCTGCCTCAGCCTCTCAAAATGCTGGGATTACAGGCATGAGCCACTGTGCCCGGCTGAAATTTCACTTTTTTCCAATATTGGATATTTTCATCCAGGAATATAAAATGCTTTAAAACAAAGTTGTTAATTTTTTTAATAAACGTTTTTAGCCTAATAAGGAAAAAAAAGAAACAAAAAAGAAAGGGAGTTGGGGAAGATACGTTGCTGACATGACTAAACTGGTTCCAAGTGTTGGGGGAGGAAAACTTTTCCTCTATCCTCTTAGGTTCAGTACTTGAAGGCCTGAGAATTAAACCGATAAAAGAGAAATGACCGATTTTTATTCAGAATGTAGGGAAGTTCATGGAAGAGTGTGACTCTAGAAGGAAGTTAGAATTTGCGGGTTATGTACCATCTCAATAGAAGAAGGGGAGGAGGAGAAAGGACACTTATAGAAAAGTAATTTTTAGGAAAGATGAATGGGCCCTTAGGAGAAAAGATGGGAGCTATTATAGTTTCGTGACCTGACTGTTTAGGTGTGGTGCCAACTATTCTCCCCTCCAGCAATAAGTCAATTTTCCCTGGTTTTGAGAAACTCCTGGGAGGGGGATTTATGACAATGGAGCTCTTTTGCAGGGCTCTGCATTTAGGCAGACAAAGGAGTTCAGAAAAGAGCCTATTCTCATCCAGCCTGGGCAGCATTGCGAAACCCTGTGTCTGAAAACAAACAACAACAGCAACATAGCCGGTGGTGGCACGCACGTGTAGTCCTAGCTACTTAGGAGGCTGAGGCAGGAGGATCACTTGAGCACCAGGAGGTTGAGGCTGCAGTGAGCCATGGTCGCACCACTGCATTCCAGCCTGGGTGACAGAGCAAGACTCTGTCTCAAAAAAAAAAAAAAGAAAGAAAGAAAAGAAAAAGGCCCATTTTCAAATGCCTTCTGCTCAGAATAATTTTTATGCTTCAGTGGCATTCTCTAGACCCCTTCACAAGCCATGGGGATTCCGCTGCCCTATGGGAAAAGTGGTCATTGGTAGAGGCTGCCGTTGTCAGAATCCAGAGAGATTTGTAGGGAATAAAGTACAGATGCTCCTTGACTTACGATGGGGCTACATCCTGATAAACACATTGTTTAAGTTGAAAATATCGTAAGTTGAAAATACGTTTAATAGGCCGGGCACGGGGGCTCACGCCTGTAATCCTAGCACTTTGGGAGGCTGAGGCAGGCGGATCACAAGGTCAGGAGTTCGAGACCAGCCTGACCAACATGGTGAAACCCCGTCTCTACTAAAAATACAAAAATTAGCTGGGCGTGGAGGGCACGCCTGTAATCCCAGCTACTCGGGAGGCTGAGGCAGGAGAATCACTTGAACCCGGGAGGCGGAGGTTGCAGCGAGCCGAGATCGTGCCATTGCATTCCGGCCTGGGTGACAGAGTTAGACTCTGTCTCCAAAAAAAAAAAAAGAAAAAGAAAAAGAAAATACATTTAATGGGCAGGTGTGGTGGCTTGTGCCTGTAATCCCAGCACTTTAGGAGGTTGAGGTGGGCGGATTGCTTGAGCCTAGGAGTTTAAGACCAGTGTGGGCATCATGGTGAAACCCCATCTCCACTAAAAATATAAAAATTAACTCCGGGCATGGAGGCTCACACCTATAATCCTAGCACTTTCGGAGGCCTAGGTGGGCAGATTGCCTGAGCTCAGGAGTTCGCAACCAGCCTGGGCAACATGGTGAAACCCCATCTCTACTAAAAATACAAATAAATAAATAAATAAATAAATTAGCTGGACGTGGTGGCATGTGCCTGTAGTCCCAGCTACTCGGGAGGCTGATTCAGGAGAATTGCTTGAACCTGGGAGGCAGAGGCTGCAGTGAGCCGAGATCGCACTATTGCACTCCACTCTGGGCAACAGAGACAGACTCCATCTTCCCCCCGCCACAAAAATAAATAAATAAATAAATAAATAAATTAGCCAGGCATGGTGGCACACGCCTATAGTTCTAGCACTTGGGGAACTGAGGTGGGAGGATCACTTGAGCCCAGGATGTCAAGGCTGTAGTGAGCCATGATCATGCCACTGCATTCCAGCCTGGGTCACAGAGTGAGACCCTGTCTCAAAAAAAAAAAAAAGTATTTAATACACCTAACCTACTGAATATCATAGCTTAGCTTAGCCTACCTTAAATGTGCTCAATCAGAATGCTTACATTAGCTGGGAAAAATAACACAAAGCCTATTTTAGAATAAAGTGTCGAATATATCTCATGTAATTTATTGATGTTCTACTGAATGCATATTGCTTTTGCACCATCATAAAGTTGAAAAATTGTCAGTCAAACCATTGTAAGTGGGGACCATCTGGTTCCTTGAGCTGTGGTTAGACTGTGCCTCTGCTGTGTAGGCGTGTGATGCTGAAAAGCAGCAGAAATTGAGAGTCTACAGGAGCACTGGCCGTTGGAAATAAAATGGAAGCTACATAATGGTTGGGGTCTTGGTCACTTGCTTCTGCAGAGCCCAAAGCCCAACTCCCTACTCACTTTTGAAGACCAGGGACATTTTCCTTATGCCCCCCACAGTCCAAAACACGGTGCCAGGCACACTGTGGTCATTCAGTGAACACATGAAGGGGACATGAATGCAGATCTCCAGGACCGAATGTGGCACCAAGAAGCGTGACTCAGCCCTGCTCAGGGCCTGAGACCCCTCCTGGGTTAAGGTATTGAAAGCTCCTCTTGTTGAGCACATAATTCATATGTGGCAGACACCATTACCTGGTTTCCTAATAGCCATTGCCCCCTTCCCTGCCAACTGAAACCCAATATTGTTTGGGCATCAATGAACCTGGCCCCAGGAGAAGGATCTTATTCCCTTTGCTTTCCCAGCGTCCCTTGCAGCTAGAAGTAGTCAGATAACCTAGTTCTAGCCACTGAGATATGAAGAGAAGTCGGCCTTGAGGATTTGAGGAAAGATAAGAAGAGGGTATGGTCCAGGTGCCATGGTTCATGCCTGTAATCCCAGCACTTTGGGAGGCCGAGGCAGGTGGATCACCTGAGGTAAGGAATTCAAGATCAGCCTGGCCAACATGGTGAAACCCTGTCTCTACTAAAAATGCAAAAAATCAGCCAGGCGTGGTGGCAGGCGCCTGTAGTCCCAGCTACTTGGGAGGCTGAAGCAGGAGAATCGCATGAACCCAGGAGGCAGAAGTTGCAGGGAGCCGAGATCGTGCCACTGCACTCTGGCTTGGGCAACAAGAGCAAAACTCTGTCTCAAAAAAAAAAAAAAAAAGGGTATGCAAGAAGAAACTCTCTGCTCCTTCTCCCGCCTTCCCAGCTGCCAGCTACTCCATGCTTCCTGCCTTCGAATACGGTGAGAACGTGAAGTCATGAGCTGCTGCTAAGGCATGTGGCAACCTTGAAGAGAAGGTCAAGAGCTACCAGCCACCAAAAGAATGCCAGCACTTCCTGTGTCTTTGCTTTGGATTCATGAGAAATATACGTTCCTATTTGCTTCAGCCATAATTACTTGGGTTTTTCTGCTACTCACAGTTGAATGCAATCCTAACTCATAAGCCTGTGGTTACAGGAGGATTCATTGATCACAGAACTGCAAGATCCTGGGGCTGGGACGACATCGAAGTTTCATTCAGTTCACTGTCCCTCACTCTCTGTGGGAATCTCCTCTCTAGCATCTCCACCGAGGGGTCAGTGAGCTTCCACCTGCGTACCTGGATGATGGGCACCTCAGTACTGCCTAAGGTAACTCATGTTTGATGGCTCCAGGGGATATACAATTTTTATATTAAGGCAAAATTAAATTCCTTGCAGTTTCCACCCATTTTTCTTAATGCGAATAATTGGGAAAGAAAAAGGAATCATAAGGCCGGGCACGGTGGCTCATACCTGTAATCCCAGCACTTTGGGAGGCTGAGGTGGTGGATCACCTGGGGTCAGGAGTTTGAGACCAGCCTGGCCAACACGATGAAACCCCGTCTCTACTAAAAACACAAAAATTAGCCGGGCGTGGTGGTAGGCGCCTGTAATCCCAGCTACTAGGGGAGGCTGGGGCAGGAGAATCGCTTGAACCTGGGAGGTGGAGGTTGCAGTGAGCCAAGAGATCACTCCGCTGCACTCCAGTCTGGGCAACAGAGAGAGACTCTGTTTCAGAAAAAAAAAAAAAAAGGAATCATAGAAGCAGGGCAGTGGAGTTAGATGGTAGAGTGCCAACATTTTCTGATTATGTGACATTGGGCAAGCTCCTCTCTGAAACTTGGTCTCTATCTATAAAGTGGAGATGAGAAATTCTCCCTCCTGGGATCCTTGTGAGCATTTGCTGGCAGAGAGTAAGCTCATAGCAATTGAGAGTGGTCTGACCCCTTAACACATGAGTTGTGTCAGCTAGCTGTCATATTTGAGAATTGTGTCCAGAAAAGAGGTGAGAGCCCAGGATTCTGATGCCTCTGATGCAGGGTGACGAACATGGGCCATTAAAACTCCTTACCCACAAGTGTGTGTGTGTGTGTGTGTGTGTGTGTGTGTGTATGTGCGCGCGCATGCACATGTGCCCGCTTGTCTCTTTGAGAACCGGAGGGACAAGGAGGGCATCCCAGGTAGGTGTGACTTCTCCCCAGAAATGGAGGGTTTCCTAGGCTGGCTGGGTCTCCTTCACAGCTTTGTCTTCAGTCTCCAATCTGTTTGGCCACAACTTCTTCAGCCCCAGACCCATCCCTTGTTCTTCTGACCTGCCTGAAGCCTGCCCTGGTGGACCAAAGGCCTGATGCAACTTCAGAGAAGATGCTGAGTCAGAAAGAATATGCAGGAGACTGGGAAAGGTTTGCAGGAGGCCTTTAATTGTGAAGAGCGCAATCAGAAAACAGATATGCTGGTCAAGGAGGTGGCCAGCCCGGGAGATGCGCTGGAGCAGGGGAGAGATGCCCCTGCGCCTAGTGGCCTACAGCATTCTGGGCTAGGTGTGGGAGTGGGTGGGCAGTCTCACTGCTTGGAGCGTCCAGCGTCATGGCAGATGCCAAAGTTGGTGTTGGTGATGGAGCCCACGATGGTCTTGTCTCCCTCACAGGTCAGGCCACGCTCACAGGGACACTTGTAGTAAATCCCATAGAGCGTCTGCAGAGACACAGCCAATGGAGTCAAGGCTATGGGGAGATACTTTGGACATCACTTGTCCCCTGCCTGACCTAGAGAACCAGTAGGCCAGCCTGTGTTTTCGGGGAGTGCCTCTCCCACCTGCCTCCCCAGGGGTGCCGTGGGCCCTGGAGACCCCAGCTCTGACCTCTGCTCTGGCTCATTTGCTCTTACTAGCTTGATCTCTCTGGGGAGCCTCTATTTACCCAGCCATGAAATGGGGATAACAAATCCCCACCCCCACCCATCTCACTGGTCACTCGGGAGGGTCAAGAGAGATGATGGGATGGGAAAGTGCTTTGACACCTGTCGACCTCCCTCTCGTCTCCTCAACATTCAGTGTCCAGGCTGACCCCCCTCCCTGATCCCACTCACAAGTGTTCAGGGCCCTACTCCCCATTCTCCCCCACCCACGCCAAGTCCTCAGGCACCCACCTTGACAGAGCACTCGCTGTTCTCGCTGGCCATGGATGTGCAGCGGGCCAGGCCCAGCGCACTTGAATGCTGGCAGCAATTGCTCTTACACTGGGCACTATTCATGCAGAGCTCACCGTTCTCCTGCCAGGAGCAGCCAGTCAGCCCAGGCCCCACTCCCTCAGGTCCCTTCTCCATTCAGACCTGTACCCACCACACACTACCACTAACAGTGTCTCCCCTGGTAGGGATGTGTGTGAAGGAGTCCATCCCCTGGGTCTGGTGGCCTCTGTGCCCCCCACCCACGTGAGAAGTGGGCATGCGGTGACAGAGAAGCAGACTTGCACAGAGGGTCAGGACCCCTGGGTTCTAGTACCGGCTGTGCTACCAACCTCCTGTGTGACTCTGGGCAAGTCACTGCCTCCCAAGCCTCAGTGTTCCCATTTGGAATGTGCACACAAGGCCCCTAGACAAGTTCTCCAAACCACTCTGGGTCCCACACCTCTTTAAGGAGGCGGTGAAGATTGCATCTCCCTGCAAGACTCCTTCCTCCCCCAACAGATCTGATCTATAATCTCCAAGGGTCCTGGACCTCCAAGTCCAGCCATGGCCCCAAGTTAAGAGAGTTCAGAACCTTTCAACCGCATGGACGTTCTGGAAGGGCTTTCCCAGCCAAGACCCATGGTGGAGAGGTGGTGTGGGGCAGTGGTGGGGCCCCAGCTGAACCACTTTCCAGCTATGTGACCTCAGGCAGGTTGCTCACCCTCTCTCTGTCTGAAGACAGGGCTGACTCTGAAAACACCTCCCTCAGTGGTTATTATGAGAACAGAATGAGTAAACATCTCCGAGGCATCTCCATAAGTCAGAAGCTGGAATGATTGGCGCAAAGCATTTTCTCAGGATGGAAGCCCAGGGCTCTGGATTTTTACAAAGCTCCCTCGTAGGGCCAGGTGAGGTGGCTCATGCCTGTAATCCCAGCACTTTGGGAGGCCGAGGTGGGCGGATCACGAGGTCAGGAGTTTGAGACTAGCCTGGGCAACATGGTGAAACCCTATTTCTACTAAAAATACAAAAAATAGCTGAGCGTTATGGCAGGCACCTGTAATCCCAGCTTCTTGGGAGGCTGAGGCAGGAGAATCATTTGAACCCGGGAAGCAGAGATTGCAGTGAGCCGAGATTGTGCCACTACACTCCAGCCTGGTGACAGAGCAAGACTCCGTTTCAAAAAGAAAAAAAAGAAAAAAAAGGTCCCTCATAGCCAGGTTGAGCTGCTGCTCTGAGCATGCTCCAGTTGGAGCTGGAGAGGGGCTGATCAGCCTTTCCTGTGGCCTCTGGGAAGAGGCATAGGACAGGACATGGAAGTAAACAGAGGGATGCAAGATGCCACTCCTCCCAGCCCCTGCCAGTCCAGGTGGAGACATCAGAGGTCAAGGTCCAAGCTTAGGAAGTCTTCATCTGGGGACTCAGGAGGCGCCTCCCCTGAAGACCCTCTTACCAGGTTGATAATGATCCCCCGGGGGCCAGGAGCTGCATAGGCCACAGAGAGGGCGACAAGCAGGAGGATCAGGATCTTCTCCATGGTGAGTGGGACAGCTGGTGTGGGTGGCGGGAGACAGAGCCAGCTGTGGTGATGGGGCTATAAAAGGGGCCCTGACCTCACGAGATCCACCTGCATCCCACAGGGCTGGCCGTGGGCAGAGGCACAGCTGTGGCCAATCTGCTGTGGGGCGGTTCCTGATAAGGAAACTGGGTGAGTACCTGGTGGCCTTTTTCGTGTGTGTGTGTGTGTGTGTGTGTGTGTGTGTGTGTGTGTTGGTGATAATTGTGTTGCATCGTGGTTAAGAGTATGGACTGTGTACAAGTTATTAGTGAGGCAAACTTACTATCTGTTCCAACTATTCTGCCTTTCATCTTATCTGTCAACTAAGGATAATTTAAAGAGTTGTGAGGGTTGAATTAATACACATTTATGTGTTACATATATATAAACATTATTATATACAATTATAAGAATATATTTATATTGTATATTCCCATATGCCACATAAGCAGTGGGTAAGGGTGGCTGCCCTTGTGTCTTGAGCTCCTGGGCAGTGCCTGGACGAATCCAAGGCAAGAGAGGCACCTATGGTGTGAGTGCCTGCTTACATTCTGTGTACTTGGGGCCTCTCTGCCTCACTATAGTCAGGCCTTGCCTTTGGCCCACCCAAGCCCAGGTGTCTAGCAGTGTCAGACTCCAGGGACGAGGATCCTAGCCTCCCACCCCTCAACCTTCCTTCAGTCTCCTCGGGGGATTCCAGGCCATGCCCAGATCCCTGGGGCTGACAGTTCTGCAACCCCCAGCAGGCCAGGGTGTGTGTGCTTTCACTTTGGCACCCTCCCCCTGCCCTCACACCAGGGGCTGCCTGCAGGCCTGACTCAAGGGCCCTTAGGAGGCCCTTCCTAAATGCCTCTCTCCCCTTTCCTTTCTACCTCACTTACTATCTGCAATTCCAGCATCAGATACTCACCCCTTTAGTTAAGGTTTCCACTCACGCTGCCCCCTACCCAAGGCCACGTGCGCGCGTGAGCAGTCGCTAGTCCTGGCTGAGAATGAAGAGGTCTCATGAGCCTCAGATGGAGCAGGGGCCTCAGGAAGCTGGGAAGGGCACAGCTGCCTGAGTTTGCTCAGGCATGGGAACAGAGCAGCTTTTCCTGAAGGACTAGTCATGGCAGCCAGAGGCCCCTGCCCTTCCCCTCTCCATCCCAGGAGGTAGAAGACAGCTCCACTGAGAGGCCCAGGCCTCAAGCACAGCTTTTAATTTAATTTAATTTAATTTTTTGAGACAAGGTCTCACTCTGTCACCTAGGCCGAAGTGCAGTTGTGCCATCTTGGCTCACTGCAGCCTCCACCTCCTGAGATCAAGCAATCTTCCCCCTAAGCCTCCCAGGTCTAAAACTCGTGGGCTCAAGCAATCTTCCCACCTCGGCCTCCTAAAGTGTTGGGATTACAGGTGTGAGCCACTGTGCCCAGCCTCAAGCACAGCTTTGATCCAGACCAAGCTGGCTTCAAAATTCAGCATTTACTGGAGCTACGTGGCCTCAGACACATTATTGAAAGTGAAGCTCCCTGAACCTCACTTTCCTTATTTATCTTAGGGGGATAACGCCTCCTACTTCCTGAGGTCATGATTAAGACAATGCACGTGGAACACCTTCGGAAGTGCCTGGCACATGGTGGGTGCCCAGCCATGTAATATGACCCCCTTCCTCTCACCTTTACATCCCTGGGGTGTGGAATGTAGAGAAATAGCTGGAGGAACAACCAGGAGACTCTCAAAATGAGAAAAACCAATTTGGTTCCAGCGATGCAGAAATACCATTGATGAAAGAACACTATCCCCCCTCTCTTTTATAGAACTCAATGTTTGAAAGCACTTTTTCCTATGAGTTCACTCTGATCCTTCCTTCTCTTTTCTCTACCTGCTCCCCACCCCCAGGACCTCTGTGAGGTGAGCCACAGAGAAGGGAATCACTATTCCCTTCTCACAAGTCAAGATGGAGACTGGCAAAGGAATCAGAGGAGTGATTTCTCTCCATGAAGGGAGCTGTGAAAACCATCAGCCCTGTCCCTAGTTGGTCTCAGCCAAGCTTGCAAAGAAAAAAGGCTGGAGTTTTTTCCATTACAAATGAAGTGTAGCAAAGAGAACTTTGACACTGTATGTGCTTCTAAAAGGAAAGCAAAAATTAAGTACCTGTCAATGAAAAGAGTCAAACTCTGTACAATATTTGAATAGATTTATTCTGAGCCAAATATGAGCAACCATGGCCTGTGACACAGCCCTCAGGATGTAACCACTGAAGGGGTTCACCTTGCCCACTACCTAGATAGAGCCGATTCATCAAGACAGGGGAATTGCAGTGGAGAAAGAGTATTTCATGCAGAGCCGGCTGTGCAGGTGCAGGAGACTAGAGTTTTAGAGTTGTTGTTGCTGTTGAGACAGAGTTTCGCTCTTGTTGCCCAGGTTGGAGTGCAATGGCATGATCTTGGCTCACTGCAACCTCCGCCTCCTGGGTTCAAGTGATTCTCCTGCCTCGGCCTCTCGAGTAGCTGGGATTACAGGCATGTGCCACCATGCTCGGCTAATTTTGTATTTTTAGTAGATATGGGGTTTCACCATGTTGGTCAGGCTGGTCTTGAACTCCTGACCTCAAGTGATCCACCTGCCTCAGTCTCCCAAAGTGCTGGGATTACAGGCATGAGCTACCATGCCCAGCAGGGAGCAGAGTTTTTGAAGATAACTTGGTGGGTGGGGGGAAGCCAGTGAGCCAGGGGTGATGATTGGTCAGAGATGAAATCATAGGGACTCAGAGCTGTCTTCGTGCACCCAGTCAATTACTGGGTGAGGGCCACAAGATCAGATGAGCCAGTTTATTGATCTGGGTGGGGCCAGCTGATCCATCAAGTGCAGGGTCAGCAAAATATCTCAAGCACTGATCTTAGGAGTAGTTTAGGGAGGATCAGGATCTTGTAGCCTCCAGCTGCGTGACTCCTAAACCATAATTTCTAATCTTGTGGCTAATGTTAGTCCTACAAAGGCAATCTAGTCCCCAGGCAAGAATGAAGTCAGCTTTGGGAAAGGGCTGTTACTGTCTTTGTTTAAACTATAAACTAAGTTTCTCCCAAAGTTAGTTCAGCTTACGCCTAGGAATGAACAAGGACAGCTTGGAGGTTAGAAACAAGATGGAGTCACTTAAGTTAGATCTCTTTCACTGTCTCAGTCATAATTTTGCAAAGGTGGTTTCAGAATGAGGAGAAAACAAAGAAAATGACCCCCTTTTGAGCACTCCGTAGCTTTTATGGCACCTCTACCTGACAAAGTTTATGTAAAATGGAAATAACGTGGTCTTTGTGCACATTTACATTAAGGAAAAAGAGCCCTAAGGTTGACCTGCAAACTATAGAATTCCTAAGTCATCTTTTTCTCTATTTTTCTTTTCTGCCTGCTCTAAATCTTCCTTCCTTCCTTCCTTCCCTCCTTCCTTCCTTCCTTCCTCCCTCCCTTCCTTTCGATGGAGTCTCACTCTGTTGCCCAGCCTGGAGTGCAATGGCACAATCTCATCTCACTGCAACTTCTGCCTCCCGGGTTCAAGTCATTCTCCTGCCTCAGCCTCCTGAGTAGCTGGGATTATAGGTGCCTGCCACCACACCCAGCTAATTTTTTGTATTTTTAGTAGAGATGGGGTTTCACCATGTTGGCCAGTCTGGTCTGGAACTCCTGACCTCGTGATCCGCCCACTTTGGCCTCCCACAGTGCTGGGATTACAGGCGTGAGCCACCGCGCCCGGCAATCTGCTGTTATTTTTCTATTAAGAGAAAAACCACTGTTTAGATCCAACAAGTTCTTTTTGCAAGCCAGGTGAATTTGTATTTATTTCATGGCTAAAAGTTCTGAAGTAAAAGCTACAAGGTGTGTGTGTGTGTGTGTGTGTTTAAAAGGCCTTTATAATTTCCATACTTTTATGTTTAATTGGCAATTAAATCTGTTTTAATTTCCCTCTAGAACACCAGACTTTTCTTGGCGCACCTTATAATGTAAATTTTGCTGTTTGACTTTCATCTGAACTGTTTCCTTTAATATGCAAATTTAAGGCTATTTAGCTGTCAACTGCCTAGGGTTGTGAAAGAGGTTATCAAGAATTTGATAACTCTTGAGGTCAGGTGTTTGAGACCTTCCTGGCCAACCTGGTGAAACCCCGTCTCTACTAAAAATAGAAAAATTAACTGAGGATGGTGGCAGGCACCTGTAATCCCAGCTACTCGGGAGGCTGAAGCAGAAGAATTGTTTCAATTTGGGAGGCAGAGGTTGCAGTGAGCCAAGATTGCACCACTGCACTCCGGCCTAGGTGACAGAGCGAGACTCCATCTCAAAAACAAACAAAAAGAATCTGAAAGATTAAAATAGGAAAAAAAAAGGTTTTTATAAATCTGTAAGATGTACTTCTATAGGCATGCCTGATATGTCTATGTATTTATGGGTGGTGTGCACAGTGTTTCACTACTGAAAATAAATAAAAGAGCTCTAATTGGCTTAAGAAAATAAAAGCACTTGAACACTTTATCAGGAAAAAAGACTAGTCAAATGCTGTTTCAAGTTTATGTAATGTAAGTAAAATCTTTAATACATAAGCTAGCTTCAAAATTATTATTAATGTTGGGATTACAGGTGTGAGCCAGCCACTGCACCCAGCCACTTTTTTACTATTAAAAACAACCTGAGCCAGGTGCGGTGGCTCACGCCTGTAATCCCAACACTTTGGGAGGCCGAGGCGGGCAGATAACTTGAGGTCAGGAGTTTGAGACCAGCCTGACTAACATAATGAAACCCCATCTCTACTAAAAATACAAAATTAGCCAGGCATGGTGGCACATGCCTGTAATCCCAGTTACTTGGGAGGCTGAGGCAGGAGAATCGCTTGAACCTGGGAGGCGGAGGTTGCAGTGAGCCGAGACTGTGCCATTGCACTCAAGCCTGGGCATCAAGAGCGAATCTTCGTCTCAATAAAACGAAACAAAACAAAACAAAATTAAACAAAACAACCTTACTGGCCGGGCACAGCTGTAATCCCAGCACTTTGGGAGGCCAAGGCGGGCGGATCACTAGGTCAGGAGTTCGAGACCAGCCTGGCCAACATAGTGAAACCCTGTCTGTATAAAAATACAAAAATTAGCTGAGTGTGGTGGCTCACGGCTGTAGTCCCAGCTACTTGGGAGGCTGAGGCAGGAGAATCACTTGAATCCGGGAGGTGGGTGGAGGTTGCAGTGAGCCGAGATTGCGCCACTGCACTCCAGCTTGGGCAACAGAGTGAGACTTCGTCTCAAAAAAAATAAATAAAGTGAAAAAGTGAAGGGCCAGGCTCAGTGGCTCAAGCCTGTAATCCCAGCACTTTGGGAGGCCGAGGCAGGTGGATCACTTTAGGTCAGGAGTTCGAGACCAGCCTGGCCAACATGGTGAAACCCCGCCTCTACTAAAAATACAAAAATTAGCTGGGTATGGTGGCTCATGCCTGTACTCTCAGCTACTTGGGAAGTTGAGACAGGAGAATCGCTTGAACCCGGGAGGTGGAGGTTGTAGTGAACTGAGATTGAGCCACTGTACTCCAGCCTGGGTGACAGAGCAAAACTCTGTCTAAAAAAAAAAAAAAAAAAAATGTGAAACTGACAAAACATACCAAAGGGAAAAAAAGTAATAGGAGAAAATATTAACATTATAATGCTAAGTGAAAAAAATGTACATACGGCCGGGCACGGTGGCTCATGCCTGTAATCCAGCACTTTGGGAGGCCGAGGCAGGTGGATCACCTGAGGTTGGGAGTTCGAGACCAGCCTGACCAACATGGAGAAACCCTGTCTCTACTAAAAATACAAAGTTAGCTGGGTGTGGCGGCCATGCCTGTAATCCCAGCTACTCAGGAGGCTGAGGCAGGAGAATCAGTTGAACCAGGAAGGTGGAGGTTGCCGTGAGCCAAGTTCGCGCCACTGCACTCCAGTCTGGGCAACAAGAGCAAAACTCTGTCTCAAAGAACAAAAAACAAAACAAAACAAAAAACTAGCTGGGCATGGCAGTGCATGCCTGTAATCCCAGCTACTTGGGAGGCTGAGACAGGAGGATCGCTTGAACCAGGGAGGCGGAGGTTGCTGTGAGCCAAGATCATGCCATTGCACTCCAGCTTGGGCAACAAGAGTGAAACTCTGTCTCAAGAAAAGTAAAATAAAAATAAAATAAAATAAAATAAAATAAAATTGTACATACATCATCCAATTGTGTAAAGGAGTATGTTCAGAAGGGGGAAACTGCAGAGATTAACAATGGTAATAATAATAATCACCAACATTTTTGAGTACTTTCTCTTTTTTTGTTAAAGCCCAGACTGGAGTGCAGTGGTGTGATCATGGTTCACTGCAGCCTCGACCTCCTGGGCTCCAGTGATTCTCCCACCTCAACCTCCCAAGTAGCTGCGACTACAGGCAAGCACCACCATGCCTGGCTATGCCTGGCTAAGTTGTGTATTTTTTGTAGAGACGGGAGTCTTGCTATGTTGCCCAGGCTAGTCTAGAATTCCTGAGCTCAAGTGATCGGACTGCCTGGCCTCCCAAAGTGCTGGGATTAGAGACCACTAATGTACCTTTGAGCACTTTAAAAAAAAAATTATTATTATTATTTTTTGAAATGGAGTTTTGCTCTTGTTGCCCAGGCTGGAGTGCAATGGTGCGATCTCAGCTCACTGCCACCTCTGCTTCCCGGGGTTCAAGCAATTCTCCTGTCTCAGCCTCCTGAGTAGCTGGGAATACAGGCACCCGCCACTACGCCCGGCGTAAGTGCATTTCCTGCATTTAATAGATGGCGAAACTGAGGCTCCGGAAGGAAGGTTAAGTCCATGGATGGTTACTTAGTAAGTAGCTCATTCAAATCCAGGCCTGTTGAACCCCAAAGTCCATGTTTTTAAGATTGTCTTGTCTTTCCTTAGCTCCGGACGTTGGTGTTATTATTATTATTATTTTTTTTTTTTTGAGACGGAGTCTTGCTCTGTCACCCAGGCTGGAGTGCAGTGGCGCGATCTCGGCTCACTGCAAGCTCCGCCTCCCGAGTTCACACCATTCTTCTGCCTCAGCCTCCCCAGCAGCTGGGACAACAGGCGCGTGCTGCCACGCCCGGCTAATTTTTTTGTATTTTTAGTAGAGACGGGGTTTCACTGTGTTAGCCAGGATGGTCTCGATCTCCTGACCTCATGATCCGCCTGCCTTGGCCTTCCAAAGTGCTGGGATTACAGGCGTAAGCCCCACGCCCAGTGGAATTTTCCTAGTTCTTTACACTAGCCATGTATTTACCTATAAAATCAGGAGAAATATGTATATATATAATATATTAAAACATATATATATTTAAATGGGGAAATATGTAACAAACAAATAGAAACAAGGGGAGAAAGGCATTGTATTTGACAAAACACATATGTTCAGGTCTGAGAAGGCTCATAAAGAATGTTGTCTGCTATACTTTGTAGTTGCTTCTGTTATCACACAATCAGTCTGCATATACAGGCGTTTTATATATATATTTATATAGACTACATATATACGTATATTATATATGTAAATATTTCACTGTCTTTGAGGACGGGGGCCCTGTCTTTTTTATCTGTGGTTTTGCTTAGATGTCCTCCAACATAATCTTAACACATAGTATGCTTTTAGAAATCGTTGACTGAATGCTAAGGACGAAAAACCGGTGACCAGAAGGCAACCAGGAAAGGCTTTGCTGACCTCCGGAGTGGTGGAGTTGGAGGTTCTGGGAAGGCGACTAGGGAGCCAGGCAGGGGCGGGGTGGGATGGGATGTGGACAGCGCTTTTGCGGGGGGAAAGCGTTTTTGCTGCTGGAATTGAGCAGTAGGAATGTGTCAGTCACATCCCCACCTTCCCAATTCTTGTCATCTCGGTTCAGGAAGGTGAACGGTGTTCCGATTCCCCGCGGCGGGGGCCTGTAGTGGGAGCTCTGCCCCTTCCCCGCCTCTGCTGCAGGCCCCGCCCCTCGCCCGGAACCCCGGGGCGCTGGCCGCGGTGCTGAAACGGCGCCCTCCGCGGACGGAGGAGGGGGCGGGGCTCTCGGGAGCCGTGAGCCGGGAAGAGGGAGACGGGCAGGGCGGCGCCAGCAGGCCCTGGTGGGCTTGGGAGGAGGCAGGAGACTGGAGACAGCCTCGGCTAGAGCGGACACAGGCACCTGGCAAGCTTTCCTTGACCAAATCAAGGTTGTCCTTGTCCTATTAAGCCTCTTCCCCTTGCCTTGAAGGGACCTCACCTGGTGCCCTGACCTCAGCCTCCTCCCCAAACCCCGCTGGGGAGTGACCTGCTTCTAGGCCTCCATCCACAAAGCTACGGACTTGCAGCCCACGGGACCCCAGCCCAGGGCCTGCTGCCCTCACCATGGTGAAATTGCTGCCGGCCCAGGAGGCAGCCAAGATCTACCATACCAACTATGTGCGGAACTCGCGAGCCGTGGGCGTGATGTGGGGTACCCTCACCATCTGCTTCTCCGTACTGGTCATGGCCCTCTTCATCCAGCCCTACTGGATCGGCGACAGCGTCAACACACCGCAGGCAGGCTACTTCGGCCTTTTCTCCTACTGCGTGGGTAACGTGCTGTCCTCCGAGCTCATCTGCAAGGGCGGCCCCCTAGACTTCTCCTCCATCCCCTCTAGAGCCTTCAAGACTGCCATGTTCTTTGTGGCCTTGGGCATGTTCCTCATCATTGGCTCCATCATCTGCTTCAGCCTGTTCTTCATCTGCAACACGGCCACAGTCTATAAGATCTGTGCATGGATGCAGCTGGCTGCGGGTAAGCAGAGATGGTGGGAGGGCAGGCAGGGGCCCACCCCGGGGCCACAGCTGCAGCTGCACCATCCCAGCCTCTGCCAGGGCTCTGGGCCTTAAATTTAGCTGTTCTCCTATAGCCCAGTCCTACTCAGTGCTCTGCAGAAGATTCTGAGGAGTTGAGAATCTTAAAATGGCAGAGGCAGAAAAGACCTTAGAGACCAAGCTGTCCAACCCTCTCATCCTACAGATGAGGTTCTGAGCCCAGAACCTCATCTGAGCCCAGAACCTCATCTGTAAGGGGAAGTGACTTGCCCAGGAGCACACAGTTGCCAGTCCTGATTCCCAGGCCATCACATCAGTTTTTGCAGCTGTGAGAGAGAGAAAGAAGGAAGCTTCCATTGTTGGCCATGTGGGAATAGGACTCAACCCTAGCACAAAGTAGTGACACCAGTCAAGCACATTCTAGATGCCTTCATCTCCCACCTCTGGGCTTTTGTTCTTTTTAAGAGTGCCCAGAACTCTGTCCTCATTCTCTCTCTCCCACTCCAAACTGCTCTCAGATTCTAAGGTCTCTTGCTGATTTTGGAGTGTTACTATTATGCAGGGTATGACCTTGCCTATAGAAACTTTCATCTAAATTCCCCTCTTTCATTGTGGAGTGAAAGTCTTTTTTCCTTGATCATGGGATTTTATACTTAAGGCAGCAAATGGAGTGATATTTTGTGAGGTAGAGGAAGCTATTTAGGGTCCTTTTGTTGTTGTTGTTGTTTGTTTGTTTTTTGAGACAGAGTCTCACTCTTTGGCTCAGGCTGGAGTGCAGTGGCATGATCTCAGCTGACTGCAGCCTCAACCTCCTTGGACTTAGGTGATCCTCTCACATCAGCCTCCCAAGTAGCTGGGACTCCAGGTGCGCACCACCATGTCTAGCTAATTTTTTTTGTATTTTTTGTAGAGACGGGGTTTTGTCATGTTGCCCAGGCAGGTCTTGAACTGCTGGGCTCAAGTGATTTGCCTGCCTCAGTCTCCCAAAGTGTTGGGATTTCAGATGTGATCCACAGCACCTGGCCTAGGGTCCTTTAAAACAATGTGGGGGCTGGGCACAGCGGCTCACACCTGTAATCCCAGCACTTTGGGAGAGAGCATCACTTGAGCTCAGGAGTTTGAGACTAGACTGGGCAAGATGGAAAGACCCTGTCTCTAAAAATAATAATAATAATAATAAATAAAATAAAACAAATAAAACTGTGGGGTAGGCAGCTACTTGTGCCTTGAGGCAAAACCTCCCTGGTCCTTTTTCCTGCTTCTAGCTCAGGAAGGCTTCTTGGTCCTTGTGCCAAGTGGTCTTGCTCTTCTCTGTAGCCCAGGAAGAGGGTTAAGACCTTGTGCTGCAGCCTCTGGTACCTTGGTCCCTGCACACCTCAGGGGCCACAAACTGTCCATGTCGGTGAGATGTCCAGGAGTAGTGCCGGGGACTGGAAACTAGAGTGAAACCATCTCATTGGTCAGAATGAGAAGTGCTGTCATCTTTAAGAGGGAGACTGAAACAGGCATCTGAATCCCAGACCACCAAACATGCAGATTCAAGACTGCAGAGTTGGAGGGGACCCCAGAGAGCTATATCCACCCCCCAACTATAGATGAGGAATCTGCTGCTGAGAGAAAGGACCAGACTTGGCCAAGGCTGTAGCAGATCAGCAGGCACCTGAGGACCAGGAAGAATTAAGCGGGCAACTGAGGACCAAGGAACTAGATGTATTCCTAAGATGTTTTTACTGAGCCACATATTTACATAAGTATAATGATCTATGAAATATCTTTACATATAATATCTGGAGGAGCCCCAGCACAACCCATTGAGGTGGGTATTTATCTATTTTACAAAGAAGGCCCCTAGTGGGTAACTTGTCTTTGAGCATACAAGTAGGAAGGCATGCACCTTTGATTCCAAATCTTGCACCCAGGCTACTCACATGGCTTCAGAGTTCCCAGCAAATCCCCTTGCCACCTCCCTGTTCTCTGTAGTCTCTCTGTATGATAAGAGAGAGGCCGGGGCAGGGGTGGGCAGTGGGGAGCAAGGTAGGTGGTGGCCATGTCAAGAATGATGGTGGGGGCAGGCACAGCGGCTCATGCCTGTAGTCCTAGCACTTTGGGAGGCCAAGGAGAGGGGATTGCTTGAGGCCAGAAGTTCAAGACTTCAAGACCAGCCTGGACAACATAGTGAGACCCTATCTCTATTTTATATATATATATATATAAATTAAAAATAATCATAATAAATAATATATATAAATAAAAATAATAATAAGGCCAGCTGCAGTGGCTCAGGCCTGTAATCCCAGCACTTTGGGAGGGCGAGGTGGGCAGATTGCTTGAGCTCAGGAGTTCGAGACCAGCCTGAGCAACATGGCGAAACTGTGTCTCTACAAAAAATACAAAAATTAGCTGGGTTAATAAAAATATTGAGTATATATATATATATTCTTTACTATATATTCATTTTATACATATATATATATATATATATATATATATATATATATATATATGAACAAAGGGAAAATGAAGATTTAGTAGTTTTATGCCAAAGAGGAGTGAAATAGACCCTAATATGCTTGCCAGCTCTTCTTCCCTATCAGGGTTATGGGATGCTGGAGACACAACCATCTCTCTCATTCTCAGGGCTGTCTGCAAACCCCCCTTCCCTGAAACATCCCCCAACAGGTGCCATGTGTGAGCAGGCAGTGCCAGGAGGGGGAGGGGTTGACAGGCCATCTGAGTCAGACACTATCTGGGTAGAAAAGCTGGAGACACTGATAGCAGAGGTGGCCAGGTGCCATCTCATGCAACATTTATGTTAGGGAAGGCAAGACTGGTGTCATGTTCCATTCTGCTGTGCTGCGGAAGGGGAAATGAGCCGAAGGGAGAGATGCAGAGTGGGCGGGTCCCATATCCAGCAGCTGGGAGATACATCTATTCATTAGTACCCTTGCCAAGAAGCCTGGGAACAGGGAGGGGGCAGGGGCAAGGAGGACTGATGCTTGGGCGATGTGGGGCTGCAGCTTAACAAGATTAATTGGGCTTCTGGGTGCCAGGTGTAGGCTGGGAGTTGTCCCAGCTCCTAGAAACACAGGTAGACCAAACTGCTTGTCTTCTCTGAGTCTTGGTAACCTCATGTCTTAGTCAGTTTTACTTAGTTCTATTTAGTCAGGGCTGCCATAACAAATTACCATAGATTAGGGGGCTTAAAACAACAGAAATTCATTTCTCACAGTTCTGGAGCCTGGAGGTCTGAGATCTGGGTGCCGGCATGGCATTAGCACGAGATCTCTGATGAAGGCCTCTTCTAGGCTCTAGACTGCTGACTTCTTGATGTCCTCACATGGTGAAAAGAGGATGACAGGGCTCTCTGAGGTCCCTTTTATGTATTTATTTGCATTGATGATTATTATTATTGAGTCAAGGTCTCAAAAATGATTATTTTTACCCAGGCTGGAGTACAATGGCATGAACACACCTCATTGCAGCCTTGACCTCCCAGGCTCAAGTGATCCTCCCTCCTCAGCCTCCCGAGTAGCTGGGACTACAGGTGCATGCCAGCACACCCAGCCAATTTTTGTATTTTTTGTAGAGATGGGGTTTCACCATGTTGCTCAGGCTGGTCTGGAACTCCTGAGCTCAGGCGATCTGCCTGCCTCAGCCTCCCAAAGTGCTGGGATTACAGGCGTGAGCCACCGCACCCGGCCTTATTATTGTTTTTAATTGACATAATAATTGTACATATTTATGGGCTACAGTGTGATATTTCGATACATGTATACAAGCTGGGCTTGAAATCCAGGCAGCCTGATCTAATGTTTCCTAGCTTTTCCTACTGAGAAAATGAAGGTAATTAGCATATCCATCACCTCAAACACTTAAAACATTTCTTTGAGTTGGGACGATTTCAAATTTGCTGTTCCAGCTATTTGAAAATATACGATAGATTGCTGTTGGTTATACTCACTCTACAGTGCTAAAGAACACTAGAGCTTACTCCTCCTGTCTAGCTATACTTTTGTATCCATTAACCAACCTTTAGCTGCCCCCGCTCCCCTCTGGGGTCCCTTTTATAAGGGTTCCAATCCCATTCGTGGAGGGCCCTACCCTCATGACCTAATCACCTCCCAAAGGCCCCACCTCCTAACACCATCACACTGGAGGTTAGGATTTCAACACAGGAAATCTGGGAGGAACAAACATTCCACTGTACCCCATCTGTAGAACATAGCAGCAGTACCCACTTCAGGGGGGTTCTGTGAAGATGGGATAATAGAATGCATGTAAAACACCTTGCACATGGTAAGTGCTCAGTACCTGTGAAAAACACAAAAAACAGGCTGGGCATGGTGGCTCAAGCCTGTAATCCCAGCATTTTGGGAGGCCGAGGTGGGTGGATCATGATGTCAGGAGATCGAGACCATCCTGGCTAACACAGTGACACCCCGTGTTACAAAAAAATACAAAAAAATTAGACAGGTGACATAATCCAGGATGCAACTGGGAAAGTCCCAGGCACAGCTGCCCTGTGGGCAGGGGATAATCCCCCCAAAAAATACAAAAAAATACAAAAATAAAAAATTAGCTGGGCTTGGTGGCGGGCGCCTGTAGTCCCAGCTACTTGGGAGGCTGAGGCAGGAGAATGGCGTGAACCCAGGAGGCAGAGCTTGCAGTGAGCCAAGATCGCGCCACTGCACTCCAGCCTGGGCGACAGAGTGAGACTCCGTCTCAAAAAAAAAAAAAAAAAAGAAAGAAAAGAAAAACACAAGAAACAACTATATCAGTGAGCATGAGAAGTGATGCCGTAGTAACAAACCACTCCCAAATCTTGGTGGCTTAGAACAACGGTTTATGTATTTCTTGCTTATGGTCCGTGCCAACCGGGGATCGGTGGGGGCTCCGCTCTCACTGTTGTCTCCTGGGACCCTCGCTAGTGGCATCAGTCACCATCAGCTGTCCTCGCATCAGAGGGAAGGGAACTCTGGGAGGTCTCCCACTGCAGCTAAGTGCTGTGGCCCGGAAATACACACATCTCTGCTCACATGTCATTGGCCAGAGGAAGGCAGATGGCCTCACTTAACCTCAAGAGAGCGGAGCAAGGAAGTACAACCTTGCCTTGCACCTGGAATATTCGTGAGCAGCTCTAATGGCATCCATGTCACTGAGGTGGCTTCTGTCTGACTCCAATGTCAATAATAATAGCAGTGACTAACATTAATTGGCCACTTTCCATGTACAAGACATCATAGTAAGCGTTTTCTGTAAATGATCACACTTAATCCTCACAGTGCTGCTATGAGTCAGATACTTTACAGACAACAGGACGGAAGTCAGAGAGGGTAAGTAACCTGGCCTGAGAACACTGTGCTGGCTTCTGCTTAGAGCCTTGAGATGCCACAACTGGGGCTGACACCCACTGTCCCCAGAACCGTGGGTGGATGGGTAGAGTGCTCGCAGGGGACTGTGGCACCAACACCCTGTTTCCAGGTCAGAGGCCCTGGGCTTTTTTCCGGAGCCCCCACAGGAAGATGGTGCAGGAGGGGAGGGGCCACGGGAGGAAGTGATGGAGAGAATGCAAAGCCTGGAAGGGCAGCTCCTTCCCACCTTCACCTCTGCCCATGAAGCCAGGGGCCCTGCCAGGCACTGGAGGGCTGGACTCACATCAAGTCGGGGAAGGGCTGGCTACGTAGGTTTCACCACGGAGCTGTGGATGGCTCCCTCTCCTCCACCGTGGGTATCTTCCTGAACACTTAGTTTTCACTGAACACGTAGGAAGTCTGAAATGTCACCGCTAATTACATTCAGCCCCTGGGAGAGATGTCATGTTCTGGGGGTGGAGGGAATAAACTTTGAAGTCAGGAAAGTCAGGAATGGAGAACTCAGGCCTTGGCCCTGTCATAGCTGGATGACTGGATGGCTGGTAAGTCACTTGGTTTCTTTGAGCCCTCAGTTTTCTAATCTGTAAAATGAGGATATTAATAGCCAGCCCACTTCACAGAAAGGTGATCACAGTCAAGATGGTACATGAAGTATTTTGTGATCTATAAAGAACTATCTAAATAAGCTTCTCCTAAAAAAGATCAAAGGAAGCGTGATACATTTAGGTGGGGAGGTGGGACCCTGATTTTTCCATTTACTGTGCATTTGTTTGACCTCCTGACCTTCTTTGTAGAACAAGCTGGAAGCAGGGAAGGTAACTTTAGGCCTGAAGAGGTGCTTTTCTGAGGGTCTCCTGAGTAGGGTACAACCTTGGGACTAGAGAGCCTCCAGACCTGTGGGAAAGTGGCACAGATAAGGGGAGCACCCCCTGCCCGTGGGGCAGCTGTGCCTGGGGCTGGCTGCCCCAGTTGCATCCTGGATTATGTCACCTGTCTCTGCTTCACCCCAGCAAAGCTAAGGTGAGGGGATGGTTTGATGGAAAGGGATGGAAGAAGTGGGGGGAAAGTGGGGGCAACAGAATTTTTAGCTGTAAATAATAAGTCAAGTAAGGCACAGGGTGTGATAATAACTCTCACAGTCAACTCTTATGGAGTGCCAAGTCTGTGCCAGGCACTGTTCTACACTCTTTTCCAGTATTAACTCATTTGAACCTTGCTGTAACCACAACAGGAAGGTTAGGGTTATTATTATGTCCATTTTGTAGATGAGGAAACTGAGGCAAACAAAGCTTAAGTATGGCTGGGCACGGTGGCTCACGCCTGTAATCCCAGCACTTTGGGAGGCCAAGGCCGGCGGATCACTTGAACCCAGGAGTTCAAGACCAACCTGGCCAACGTGGCAAAACCCCGTCTCTATGAAAAATACAAAAATTAGCCGGGCATGGTGGTACATGCCTGTAATCCCAGCTACTCAGGAGGGTGAGGCAGGAGAATCACTTGAATCCGGGAGGCGGGTGTTGCAGTGAGCCGAGATCGTGCCACTGCACTCCAGCCTGGGCGACAGAGCAAGACTCTGTCTCAAAAAAAAAGAAAAGAAAGCTTAAGTTGCTTGCTCTGAGTCACATAGCTAGGTAGCAGAGAACTGGGTTTGAAATCCAGGCAGCCTAGTCTAGTGTTTCCCAGCTTTTCCTACTGAGAAAATCACCTGGAAGAGTGCTTTTGAAAACAGGGATTATTGAACCCAACCATGACCTAGGAACTAGCATTTTTTTTTTTTTTTTTTTTTTTTGAGATGGAGTCTTGGTCTGTTGCCCAGGCTGGAGTGCAGGGGCGCCATCTCGGCTCACTGTAGCTCCGCCTCCCAGGTTCACACCATTCTCCTGCCTCAGCCTCCCGAGTAGCTGGGACTACAGGCGCCCACCATCATGCCCGGCTAATTTTTGTATTTTTAGGAGAGACGGGGTTTCACCGTGTTAGCCAGGATGGTCTCGATCTCCTGACTTTGTAATCCGTCCACCTCGACCTCCCAAAGTCCTGGGATTACAGGCGTGAGCCACCGCACCCGGCCTCCAGGGGATTCTTAAATTTAGGGACGTGTAGCAACTGGACTATGCTGTACTGGGTAAGAGTGAGGAGGAAACCTGTTTGCTTGAATGGAAGGCTTTTGAAGGAAGCAGCCAGGGACAGTCTGGAAAGCCTTCCTGTATACATTAAATCTAAGATACCTGAGTTGTAGGACACACTGTTATTCTATGTACCATAAAAACAAAATATACTGATAATCTGGCCATGGCCTGACACTTTCTTTTTCCTTTTCCTTTTTTTTTTTTTTTTTTTTTGAGACGGAGTTTCGCTCTTGTTGCTCAGGCTGGAGTGCAATGGTGTGATCTCAGCTCACCGCAACCTCTGCCTGCAGGGTTCAAGCTACTCTCCTGCCTCAGCCTCCCCAGTAGCTGGGATCACAGGCATGTACCACCACTCCCTGCTAATTTTGTATTTTTAGTAGAGAACAGGGTTTCTCCATGTTGGTCAGGCTGGTCTCAAACTCCCAACCTCAGGTGATCTGCCCGCCTCGACCTCCCAAAGTGCTGGGATTACAGGTGTGAGCCACCACCCCCAGGCTAGACACTTTCTTATTGAGCTTATTTCACAGATGTTGTAAGTACGAAGAAATGTACATCTCAGCAGTGATGAGTTCTTTGGGCTGGGACTAGATACCGGAGGGCTTTGAAGCCAGGGTAGGTGGTGCCTGGTTGAGTCCAAGGTGAGGAGAATGGCTGAAGGCCTGGGAGGACCACCTGGTGTGGTGGCAG
Organism: Homo sapiens; assembly: GCF_000001405.40. NCBI lineage: Eukaryota > Metazoa > Chordata > Mammalia > Primates > Hominidae > Homo > Homo sapiens. The sequence goes on from NC_000006.12 coordinate 35,814,288, forward strand.
AGCCGGCCTGGGCTTAGGAGCTCAGCTCTGCCTCCGCCCCAACTACTGGGTCTCGGGGGCCAGTTGCTTTAACTCTCAGAGCCTCAGTTTTCTCACCTGTGTTCTGCAAGAAGGATGGTAGAGGCTGCCTCTCATGCCTCCTGAGGCTGTTAACAGAAGGAGAAGGGAGGTGACAACATAACAGCAGTGCAAGGTGTGGGAGGTAGCGGGCTAGGCACACTCGGCCTGATGCCATGTGCACCCCTCCTTCCCCCTCAGCCACAGGCCTAATGATTGGCTGCCTGGTCTACCCTGATGGTTGGGACTCAAGTGAGGTGCGGCGCATGTGTGGGGAGCAGACGGGCAAGTACACGCTGGGCCACTGCACCATCCGCTGGGCCTTCATGCTGGCCATCCTCAGCATTGGCGACGCCCTCATCCTCTCCTTCCTGGCCTTCGTGTTGGGCTACCGGCAGGACAAGCTCCTCCCTGACGACTACAAGGCAGATGGAACCGGTAATCACCCAACTCCACAATGGTGTCCCCTGCCTGGAGACCCTGGGATGTGGGTGGGGGTTCATCTTAGCCAGTCCTCTAAGGCTTGGTCCCTGGCCAAGGGATGGGGACACCAAGACTAATCAGACACACCCCTTGTCCTCCCTGAAATCAAAGGCCAGTGGAGGGTTGCAAGCTAGCAGGTGATAAGGCGATCTGTGATAAAGGAATGTCCCCCTCACCCCTCTACACTCTCAGAGGCTATAGGGGAGAGAGCTGCAATCCAGCCTTGGGGGCTAAGTGTGGTCTCCCCTAGAAGGAGGCACTGAGGCGGGGTCTCGAAGTAATATTCCTGGAAGTTTGTTGGTGGAGATGGGGAACAACAGCAGATGAGTTGCTGGGGAGGGAGTGCGACCTTGAGAACAGGCCAATGAGGGTGCAGAAGTGACAGCTCCTGCAGTGCAGCTGGTGGGAGCCCGAGATCCCTGGAGGAACAGCAGCCTTGGGATTCTCGTAATGTTCGTCCTGTTTCAATTCCCTCCCATCCAAATCCTACCTGTCAGTCATAAAAGTCAGCTGTAGCTGATCCTTGAGGCCCAAGCACATCCTCCAGGAAGCCCTCCCTGATTGCTTCCCATTACTCCCTTCTTCCTAGGGTGCCTTTTGCTTCTGTTTCTCATTGGGCTCTTCCCCTGCCTGTCTTGGGCTAATTTTTCAGAGCATAAATTTCTTCCCCAAGTCAAGGGCAAGGCCTGTCTTGCACCCCTGTGAATCCCCAAATGCCTGATCTCAGCAGGTGGCCATCACTGGGGACCTGTTACACCTCAGAAACCTCTCCAGTCTCTTTTCCCCATAGCTGTCTTCACATTAGCCCTTGGATTAGAAGCAGCAGCCAAACTCCTCTGTGCACTATAACCAAGGACTCTTCCCACATGAGGAACTTGAAGCCCAAAAGGGAAAGTCACTCAGAAGTTCCCAGAAAGGCAGTGGCAAAGAAGCCCAGAACTCAGGTCCTCTCTGGCCAAGCCCGGGGCCCACTGCTCCATAAGGAAGTGATAGGAAACATTTCATCCTTCTTTGGGGGTGAGAGAAGGATAACCACCTGTTATGTGGTTAAAGATGAAAACAGGCCGGGCACGGTGGCTCATGCCTATAATCCCAGAACTTTGGGAGGCCGAGGTGGGTGGATCATGAGGTCAAGAGATCAAGACCATCCTGGCCAACATGGTGAAACCCCATCTCTACTAAAAATACAAAAAATTAGCCGGGTGCGGTGGCGGGCGCCTGTAGTCCCAGCTACTGGGGAGGCTGAGGCAGGAGAATGGCGTGAACCCGGGAAGCGGAGCTTGCAGTGAGCCGAGATTGCGCCACTGCAGTCCGCAGTCCGGCCTGGGTGACAGAGCGAGACTCCGTCTCAAAAAAAAAAAAAAAAAAAATAGCTGGGTGCGGTGGCTCGCAGCTGTAGTCCCAGCTACTCGGGAGGCTGAGACAGGAGAATCTCTTGGACCCAGGAGGCAGAGGTTGAAGTGAGCTGAGATCGCGCCACTGCACTCCAGCCTGGACGACAGAGCGAGACTCCGTCTCAAAAAAAAAAAAAAAAGAAAAAAAAAGAAAAAGAAAACAAATTACTAGAAAGAGCTGGGCCAAGGAGAGAAAAGATTTCTTCTCATCACAGTAGGGTAGATTCCTATAGTTCCTGGGTCAGGGAAAGGCCTAGATCCCGGATCCCTTGAGGATTCTATAAAGGGAAGAAAAAATGAACTAGTAGGGCTGGGTGCAGAGGCTTATGCCTGTAACCCCAGCGCTCTGGGAGGCCAAGGCAGGCAGATCACTTGAGGTCAGGAGTTTGAGACCAGCCTGGCCAACATGGCACAACCCCATCTCTACTAAAAATACAAAAATTAGCTAGGCTTGGTGGTGTGCCCCTGTAATCCCAGCTACTTGGGAGGCTGAGGCAGGAGAATGGCATAAACCCAGGGGGCAGAGCTTGCAGTGAGCTGAGATTGTACCACTGCACTCCAGCCTGGGCAACAGAGCAAGACTCCATCTAAAAAAAAAAAAAAAAAAAAGGAAATAAACCCAAACATTTATGGCCAATTTATTTTCAGCAAGGATGCCAAGACTATTTAATAGGGGAAAGAATAGTCTTTCCAACAAATAGTGCTAGAACAATCAGATCTCTGTATGTGAAAGAATGAAATTGAACCCCTACCTCACACCATATACAAAAATTAACTCAAAGACCTAAACACAAATATAAAACTATAAAAATCTTAAAAGAGGCCAGATGCGGTGGCTTATGCCTGTAATCCCAGCACTTTGGGAGGCCGAGGTGGGTGGATCATGAGGACAGATCGAGACCATCCTGGCTAACATAGTGAAACCCTGTCTCTACTAAAAACACAAAAAATTAGCTGGGTGTGGTGGTGGGCACCTGTAGTTCCAGCTACTCAGGAGGCTGAGGCATGAGAATGGTGTGAACCTGGGAGGCAGAGCTTGCAGTGAGCCAAGACTGTGCCCCTGCACTCTAGCCTGGGCAACAGAGCGAGACTCAATCTAAAAAAAAAAATCTTAAAAGAAAAAAATAGATAAATCAGCTTTCATTAAAATTTAAATTTTTTTTTGTTTCAAAAGACACCATCAAGAAAGTAAAAGGACAGCCCACAGAATGGAAGAAAATATTTGCAAATTATAATTGGATAAGATCTAGAATCCAGAATATATTAAGAACTCCTATAACTCAACAATGAAAAGACAGACTACCCAATGCTTAAAATGGGCAAGGGATTTGAATAGAGATTTCTCCAAAGAAGA